>NC_000021.9:33954754-34264708 GCF_000001405.40 Homo sapiens | reverse complement strand
CCCACATGAAAACTTGAAAACAAGTCAATTAAACAATTGCAGCTAGGAACAAGTAAGCACATTTTATTTTACCTCCTGGAAAAGGAGCCCAGCCCAAAGGAGCTCAGCTCCAGCAGTCAGCTGGAGACGAAGAAGGACTTCCTACCAGTAGCTGCTGAGTATCCATGGAGTTCCCCCATGACACTCAACCTGGGGGCTCCAGAAATCTGGAGAGGACAGGAAATGAGAGCAGACCCGCATCTCCTTGGAGGGTGTGGTTGGGGGTTTCCCCAGCAGGATGCCTGGAACCACGAATGCATAGACCTTAATGGATTAACAAGAGGACTTCCAACAGGACCCAGAAGAGGACCTAGCTAGGTGGCCAACACCCACATTTCTGTGGATTCCCTCTCCACTCAGCCCTTTTCTCAGCTCTCTGAAATTTGTGGTTATGGATGAAAAGATCATTCTGAGAAAGGTACCTCTCTCCCCACCTGCCGCCAGTCCATGACCTTAACATGGTTAGACTCACCAGACTTTGGATAAGTCCTCTGGATTTTCCAAGATATGGATTTTCACTTTATTTCACAATGCTTTGAGCAGTTCTTGAGTTTTTTCAGATATTTATTTTTCTCCTTATCTAGAGTGGACATGGGTGAGGCTCAGTGGGTTTTTCCTGGGGGCAGTGATCATCAACTCCTTGAAAGCAGTAACCATTCCATTTTTAAATTTATGGATTCAACCAATATTTATTGAGGATGTACCAGGCACTGTTCCAGTTGCTGAATTTCTAGTTCTGAGCAAAACAGATAGGGCCTCGACCTTTAAGGAACTTAGAGTCTGATGGAAGGGACAGGTGTTAAATTCACAATTACAACAATAAATATAAAAGTACACACCGTGATTGTACAGGAGACTGACAGACCAACAACTGGGCAGGAGTAGAGGGTTTGTGTGTGGGAAAGAAGAACCATGGAGGTTGGAAAAGAAGCACAGGGTGCTATGAAAGAGTATAACAGAGGCCTCAGTTAGGTTAGGAGGGGATCAGGAAAGGCCTCACAGAGGAAATAGCCTGAAAGATGAAGGAGCCTTAGCCAGGGAATGATTTGGGGACTGGTGGGGTCTGACTGAGCCCAGTAAGAAGTGGAGACAAGGGCATGCAAGGAGCTGGAAGGTAAAGAGGGGTAGATCCACAGGGTCTTCAGGAAGTGTGAACACTTCCATTTTAAGCCAAGTGCAGTGGGAATCCATTGATGGGTTTGGGGCAAGGTTGTAGGCTGATTTGGTTTCTACTTAGAGGAGATCACTCTAGCTGCAGAAGTGGAGGCCACAAATGGATGTGAGAAGACAGGTAGGAGGCTAATGGGGAGTGGGAGACTCTAGGTGAGAACTGTTGGTGCTGGACCTGGCAGGGCAGTTGAGATGGAGAGAAGTAGACAGATTGCAGACATACTGAGAAGGAGGAGCCAACAGGCTCTGGTTGTAGTGCAGGAGATATTACTGCAGGAGCAACTAAAATAGGTGGACAGTGATTTTGTTTTTGTAAGGGGAATACACTGGAGGGTCAGGTTTGAGGGGAAGGTCAGGAGATCCACTTTGGAAGTGTTAATGTTGAGGAGTTTGGGAGAGCAGCAAACAGAGCTGGCAAGGAGGCAGTTAAATATTAATGTCCTGGAGCCCAGAGGAGAGTCAAGGCTGCCTTCTCCGTGATGCCTGGCAGGGCTCTGCATCCACTAGACAGGCCCAATGCATGGCTGTTGACCTAAAGCAATCATGACCCTAAATGCTCACCTTAGTCTGCCACTTACCCTGGGGCTCCCAGGAACCCTCGTCTTTGGGAAGACTTAACAGTCACTGTCGCCACATTTTGGAAATGTTAAAGTCCAGTCACAAACACTCCAGAAAATTGCCTAGAGGGAACCAAAAGAGTTAAATGCATAGTAAGTATTAAAATTACTCTATTTATCCTTAAGCTTCCTCTCATCTTAAAGTTTGTATACTCAAGTCCCAATATAATAAAATCTGGATTAAGCTGTTGTAGAGCTTAATGGAGCCAAGTGCCTATGCCAAGTCTCAGTTAATACATTTTAAATGAAAACACACCAGCAAGATCTAGAACAAGGGTCAGGAATCATAAAATAAATACCACAAAAATAATTCTCCATTGTGAAATGACGGGTGTCATGCCCCTGGGAGTCTAAAATCTCTTCTGAATTAAACAATCTTTTCACTTGGAGACAATTAGCAAACTGTTGGCAGGCTCTGCTCTTACCTTGCGCGAGGGAAAGAGAAAGAAATTCAGAAAGTGAAGCCAGAAACTTGTCTACCTTTGTTTCCAAGCTTGGCTCTAAACACTGTCAAAATGTTATTGCTCTGGTTCGAGGAAAGAGACTGACAGACCAACAACTGGGCAGGAGTAGAGGTTAGTGCCTGGGAGAGAAGAACCAAGTTGTGCAAACATTTAGAGCCTTCTAGAAGCTGAATGAACTTCTATCTCTGGGGATACCTTTGTTTTCTGGGGGTCAGGGGTGGTGTAGTAAACTAATACTGTTTCCCATCCATCCCTCTAACACCAGTCTCATCTTGAATCCTGCCAGAGAACCTCGTGCTCCTCTTAGGGAAGTAACTGAACTACATTCTTTGCTCTGGTGACAGTGAAGGATGGGTCTCATCACCTGCGGGGGCTTGTTTTGCCAGTGCCTGCAGTCTTTTTCAAACCTCTACAGGCACTTTGTGTTCCTAGCTAATACTGGAGCAGTGCCCACTCCTGAAATGCTGAGCCGTAGGCCTTCTTTTCAGCTGCAGAGAGCTCTGTGCCCCCACAGAGAATGCCCTTCAGTCAGGCAAAGGCAGGGGCGAGACGCCATGTTTAAATTCAGACCTGCCTCAGAGTCTGTCCTCCTTGGGAGGCCTTGAGATCTGCATGTTTCTCAAAGGGACACATCCCAGCAGGAGGATTTCCTGTTGGTGCCACTATACTGGGTCTCGCTGAGTTTTAGCCTCTATGCTCAGCCTGTCATGCCAGTGCCCGCACATGGTAACTAAAATGCCCCTTTCACATTTCCAAACACTCCCCTAGAAGAGGTGGTACCTGGTAATAACCACTATCAGGGGAAATCCCAGAACAGAAGGAGTCAGGGACCCAGGGCTGTGTCTTTCTTCTACCTCAGTCACACCCAGGTCTGGGACAATCAACAGGAACCAATGCACCACTGTGTTACCAGCCTCTAAGCTGCCTCCTGCAAGCCTCTAAGCTGCCTGCCTCCCATGTCGCCCACCCTACCCAGCTCAGTCTCAGGTGGGCTGAGAGGGGCCAGCCGTGTTGCCATCTTCCCCACCTCTCATGGCTTCAGTGACAGCACATGTCGTGGCTTCTTCTCCTCACATGATAATCGGAGACACCTCTTCCTTTACAGTAGGACCCAGAAAGAGCCATTATTAACAAATGCCCCAATGGGCTTTTACATTTCTTGAGTGTGAGGATATGAGGGTGAATGAATAGTTTAATTATGTGAGCAGGGGCCTAGGAGTGGGTGCTGACATGACTGGTAGCTCCGTTGTTCTCAACAGACATATTGCTGCCACCTGACCAAAGCTAGAGTAAACACAGCCACACATCTGAACTGAATTTTGACAAGACCCTGTTTCCAGACTCTTCTTTGTCGAAAGCAGCTGTATCTACCACAAAATGGAGGGTTTGTCCTTGAAAAACTTAATAATGTCGAAGAGACAAGGGATGGCCAACTTGTGAATGGTATAAACACAGTGTCTCAAAACCACAGGTGATCCCAGGTGGTCAAGATGAAGGAAGAAAGAGGTCACTTTTCTGAGGGTTCACGCAACTAAGCATGTGTGAAATTCAGAGTTAACTGACAGAAGCACATGAGTGGCCCAGCATGGGTGATTCCCAACCTCACGGTGGGGCAAATGGACCACAGCAAAGGTCTCCAGGCCAAAACATGAGTATCATTTACCCTAATTAAATCTACTCTGCAGGGGGCCTGAGGCATGGCTATCATGCCTTGTGAGAACCTTTGGACAGCCAAGCAACTTGTAGCCACTATGTCTGGCTCAGAGAAAATAAACAGCAATCAACATCTTGGCCTAGATTATAAATTTAAATTTTTAGGGAAGTTATTTTCCAAGGTTGGATCAGTGTTTCACTTCATTATTACATATATATATATATATATATATAAAATCTTCATGCACATTGCTACTACTGGCTTCTGGCCAGGTCTACTCTGCCAAGAGTAGAAAAACTATGAGAAAAGCTTTTTTTTTTAACATTTCTAAACTGACTAGAAACAGAAGGTGCAAGGAATCTAGACAGCGGTTGGCAAGAGGAGAAAAAAAGGGGAGATGTATGATTTGGAGGCCAGAGTAGAGAGACATTGCAGAGGAAGAATATCTAGCACTCAAAAATGAATCTTACTGGGATGGGGATGAAAGATGGAAAAAGAACCACAAAAGGAAAACCCACAGTTCAAATCCGGATTCTGGAAGAATGCTGGAAGCCTCAGTAGATTTGGGGAGTCCATATCAGTTTGGTGCTTTCAGTGATTCCATCCAAGCTCATGATCAAGTTCAAAGGAACACCATGGACGGGGCTTATATCCAGAATTCTACCAGCTCAGAGTTTTCTCAAGGGCCTGCTTCCCACCTTCCAAACTCTTTACTCTTTTTTAATCTCACAGAATTTCATTTTGCTGTTTTTCTACCTAGAATCTCCTACCTGTCTCACCTCTGTGAATGGATGACACCCTCAGGTAGCCTGGCCATCTCTGATTTTCATCATCTCAAAACCCATTTTCTATTATCCACTCTCCACCCCATCACCTACATTGCAGCCCACTCCACGCTCTGCAGTTTTGACAAGTGAAACTCAACTTTTCATCTGGACAAAGGCTAGAATGTGCCACACAGAAGGCTAACTCAAGGTTCCAGTTGTCTGTGTCAAAAGGGAACAAAAGGAAGAACAAGGAGTCAGGAAGGGAACTTGGGGAGAATACAAGCTTGTTTTTGTACATGATAAGTACAAACTGGAAGTTGAATCTGGAGCTCAAGAGCTAAGAGAAGGAATACATTTTGGGAGTCAGCATAAAGGTAAAAGATGAATCCATGAAGGTGCTTTGTGTGAGCAATTTCCATGGCCACCTACAAATTCATCTACATTTAGACTCGTCCTTATATTGTTGCCCCTCATATCTGTATTCAAGATGAATCCCCCATCTACAGTAATAAGTCCATTCTTTCCCACCTCCTTGGGAACATTGTTCCAACAAGTAACTCCTTTCCTGTATCTTCAACTGTCTTTTACCACCAGCTCTTAATATTCAGCCTACAAACATGTCCAAATCTCTCTTATCTTTAAAATAACAACAAATTAATTAAGAAAAAAGAAAAAAATTCCCTCCTCTGGCCCTGATTCTCTCCAGCCACTGCCTTGCTTTCATGTTTTTTGCTTTCCCAAGAAGAAAAGAGATTTGCCTGGAAGAGGAATAGATACTCACTGCCTTTACTTCCTCATTTCCCATCAATTGTTCACTTGCTAAAGTCACCAGTAATCTCCATGTCTCCAAATCCAATGGATTTATTTCAATCCTTATCTTATTGGACACCTCTAGATATAACATTGTTGTTCCTTGAAATTCTCTGTTCCCTTTATCTCCATGGCTCCTCTTTCCCGGTTCTCCTTATTCTTCTTTGATCTCTTCTCATTGGCCTTCTTTGAAGAGCTCTTCCTCTACTACCACTACGTTGGTATTCTCCCAAGTTTTAATCTTGGGCCATATTTTCTGTCCTTTTGCATGTTCTCTGTGGGCAATCTCTGTGATAGACTTCTAATTTAGTTCCATTATCACTAGAGAACACATTCCGTATTATTTCATGTCTTTTAAATTATTGAGACTTGTTTTATGCTTTAGCATATGAACTTAATGAATGTCCATATGAAAATTAAAAGAATGAGTGTTCTGTTTTCATCATGGGGAGCTTTCTATAAATGTCAATTATATCACATTGTTCATATATTGTTCTAGTCTTACATATGCCTGTTGATTTTCCTCTCCTATCAATTAGAGAAAAGAGTGTTGATATCTTCAACTATAATTGTGAATTTGTCCATTTATCCTTTCAGTTATGTTAGTTTTTGCTTCATGTATTTTGAAGCTCTGTTATTGATGAATATACATTTAAAATTGTTTTGTATTCCTTATAAATTGATCACTTTTTCTTTATGAACTCTCCTTTTTCATCCCTGTAATAGTCCTTGTTCTGAGTCTACTTTGTCTAAAACTAATATGGACAATTCTGCTTTCTTTGGATTAGTGTTAATAGAGTATATATTTTATATCCTTTAACTTTTAATCTATCTGTGTCTTCATATAGTTTTTTGCAGGCATCGTATAATGGGGTCTTGCTATCCAATCTGACAATCTGCCTTTTAATTGGGATGTTTAGACCATTTGTATCTAATTTAATTATCCATATGGTAGTATTCCAGTATACCATCTTTCTATTTGTTTTCTATATGTCCTCTCTATTCTTCACTCCCCTTTCCCCTATTTTACTTCCTTCTTTTGAATTAATTGAGAATTCTTTATGATTCATTTTATCTCCACTACTGGTGAGCAACTAAGAAGTAAAATCTGGTGAGTGTGGTGTCATGAAAGTCAACGTAAAAGAATATTTCAAAAAAAATTGAAGTTATCAACACTATGTTAAATGCCTCTGAGACCTTGAATAAATATAGACATAAAAATGACCGTGGGGTCTTGCAACATAGAGGTCAATCTGGTGGCCTCAGTAGAAACAACCTCAGTGAGCTGGTGGGGTTATAAACCCAGTCTAACTGGGATGAGGAGAGAATAAAAGATGAGGACGAGAAACAGGTACCATGAGCAACTCAAGAAGTTTTGCTATGAAAGGGAGGAAAGAGAATGTGATGGTGATTCCTAAAGTATATGACATCAACAGGAATTATTTGTTAAGAAGGGAAATATTAGAACACATTTGAGTGCTGGTGAAAATGATTCTGTAAAGAGAAGAAGACTGATAGATTGATGTTAGAGGAGCTACAGGGAGCAAGTACCTTATCAGAAGAAGAAAAGGTAGGTTCTAGAACACACGTAGAGGGGGTAAATTTTGGTAGGAAAAGAGTCATATTGTCATTTGTGGGGAAAAAAAGCAGCAAATATGTGGGGCAAACATAAGATTGGCTGGTGATTTCTTTTTATGGAAAGAGGAAGGACTTTCTATATTACCCCATGTTCTAGAAGATGTGTAAGTAGAGATTATTAGCAGACGATGTCCATATGTAAAAAGTGCTATAACAAAAGGAGTTCTAGATCACAACATATGGACATAGAGGTTAGTTCCAGATGAAGAATCAGAGAGATCTTTTTAGAAGTGGTATTATTTGAGCCTGGTTTTGAAAAATGGGTAGAATGTAAATAGTTGTTCATTTGTTGGCAAATATCTACGGAAACATTATAACCACTTATGAGCTATGCCATAAGCCAGACAGGGTCACTGCCCTCAGAAACTGCTAGACAAAACTGGGAAGAGGTTCCCAGGCAGAGGAAAGAATAGGAGTAAAAGGAAAATAATTGATGAGAAATAAGGGAAATGGGCAAGTGATAACCAAAGTGTGGAAGAACATAGGTGGAAGACTAAGGAGTTACTGAAGATTTTTGAGCTGTGAAGCACTACTAATCAGAGTTATCTGTTATGGGGAGGCCAGAAAGCCAGGTAGCAGAGGGCAGGGTCCCACATTCATAAACAGTCTTAAATTGAAACTTTTGACATTATCTCCAAATGAGCTCATATACCCAGTCATAGCAATACATTGATAGAAATGAGAGAAGATGATGTTCATTCAGCAGATTTTAAACTTATGTCCTAATATTGGTCTACATAACCTATAATATCTATGAAATCCCACTTTTTTTAAACCCTATCATTTTTGTGGGTGGCACAATTATATTCAACTTGGATTTTCATGTTAAAAACATTGATTTGTTAAATGGAAATATTTAAAATATTCTACCATTTGAGGAACTTGGAAACTGTGTGTGTGTGTGTGTGTGTGTGTGTGTGTGTGTGATATATAGCAGAATTCTTAAAAGAATGGAAGTGATAAAGATGCAACTACTGAGAGGTTCTGCTTGGAATCACAGCATCATTACCTTTCATCAACTGAAAATAGCTTTCTTCTTTCTGTAGTCTTTTATGATATGCTAAGAAGCATCAGCTGATCAAGCAGATGGTAAATTATTACAGTTCTTTTATTAATGTCAACTCTGGTCTCATCATATTAGCAATGGTCACATATTGCAACTCATTCTGCCTTTGCAGGCACTCTGTACCAATTAATAGAATTTAATTCCAGTCCATTGACATTTTAAAAAGGGTTTCAAAGTAAACAATTTGATACAATTTAATTACAATGCTTTGAAATTCAGCTAAGATTAATGGAGTTAAAGAAGAACATACATAAAATTCTTGACAGACACAAAGTGATTACTAAATGAAACTATCATGAGAATACAAAAGATACTTATTTGAATTTCAATTAGCACTGAGAAATGAAACCTGTATGCAAACAAAATTAGAACACACATTAAGCAATGCTGAGGGTAGAAACTGATGTCTCCAGAACACATGAATCCATATCTTTCACTGTCTGCCTTCTCCACAGACCCAGGCTAAAACATGGATAGAGTCATTAAGTATCTACACAGCATTATATGAAAAAAATTACAAAAGTACAAATATTTACTGATCAAGAAAATCCTCTTGCTATTCTTCTATTAAAAATTTATAACTTTGGTTAAATATTACTCTGTTTTTTCTTCTTTGTTAGAATCCAAATACTTTTGGGCAGGAATTTGCCTGACCCTGAAGAGCCACATTCAAATCTAGGTGAGAACAAAACATATCACTCAGGGCTCCTGGACTTGCAGCTGCATATAGTAACTATGCGGATTTTAACTTGACTGCCTTTGGGAAGAGAAGACATATAAATTTCATTAGGAAAGGCTAGGTTTCTAGCTATAAATGTGGGAAGATGGATGTGTGCATGTGTGCTGTAGGACTAAGAAGTGGAATACTGTGGGCATCTGTTGTTTTGTCTGTCCTGCACCCCATTTCCTTTGTGGGACCTTCTTCTCTTCCATACCAGTCATATGATTATGGACAGAGAGACAATCCCAGCAACCCAACACCATCTCTCAGCACAGAACAGGGCAACCAACACAGTCCCTGATGATCAAAGTACCAAATTATTCTAACTACAAGGGCTGGTGCAAGTGTAATTCCTTCTTTGGTATTTTTCAATTGAAGCTGGGATAAAATCATTTTAGAAGACAGAAGATCCCAGGATGAAATGCAGAATGTAGAGGAATAAGGTACAGTAACTTTGGAAGTGAGTGGAGTCTGTAAGACTGAAGGTTAAGGAACTGTACATAAGCCCAGAACTGTACTCTAGCTGATAAAGTCGTTTCCCATGAGGGTACAGTTAACAACTTTGAAATCATTATATATGCATACTGAAACTGAACAATTAAGTAAATGGATAGCAGATGGTAAAAGCTAGGTTTCTTAATGTTAGAGTGGGAGGTTACAGACAGGAAAGGGAAAGAGGCTAGAATGATCTATGTAGTAATAGATTAGAGTCGGAGACATCAGTATGAACACATATTTGGCTTAATATAGATACAAGTAGTTACATATAAAAATATTTAAGATATGTGTAAATACACAAGTTAGTATACCACACATACATATATCCTTACTCTGTCAGTTGAGGGGGCCTAGATTCAATGACCACTTAGTTGCAACGAGCACACCTACCACCTAGATCTTGGTTTCTAATAGCATTCTCCAATAAAAGGAACCAGGCCTCCTTAGAGAACTGGCTGCTTCTAGGACTGGAGCAAGAAAGATACCTACAAAATAATCCTGGGACATCTTGTAGGGCCAAAAAAGTAAGAAAGTGCTCAAGACAAAAGCAAGAACAAAAACCCCACATTTCTATGTCAAAGGGACACAGGAACTAACCGAAAGAGCTCTCAATGGCCAAAGGTGGAACAATTTGAGCAACAAAATTAGAAAGTAGTATTGGATGATAACCCAATGTATAAAATAAATATCAGTGAGATCATACTAATATAAATAAGTGCCCAGATCAATACACGGGGGAGAATGAGTAAATCTCTTGTGCAGAAGAATTCCAAATAATTTCCGTAGGGTGGAGTACACCTCAAGAAGGCAAACAGTTCTCCACTCCTTAAGTGTGGGCTGTACATAATGACTTCCTTCCAAAGAGTGCAAAATGGAAAGGGGAGAAAAAGAGTAACTTTACAATGTGCAAATATGAAAAAAACACTGCCTCAACCATGTGGTCAAGGTTAAAATCAGCAGTGATAAATCATGTTGATAGTCTGTACATCTGACATGATGTAATGAGAATGGTATTTTACTTCTGTGGTCTTCCTCCCCAAATACAATAACCTTAGTCTAATCATGAGAACAACATCAGACAAATGTCAGCTGAGGAACAGGCTACAAGATACCTGACCAGTACTTCTTAAAACTGTGAAAGTCATCACAAAGAAAATCTGAGAAACTCTCACAACCAAGGGGAGCCTAAGAATTCACAATAATTAAATGCAATGTGGCATCCAGGATAGAATCCTGGGACAGAAAAGAGATATTAGAGAAAAACTAAGGAAATCTGAACAAAGGGTTGACTTTAATTAAAAATAATGCCTTAATATCTGTTCATTAATTGTGACAAATGTATCATACTAATGTTAATTAGTGAACATGTAAAATATTAATAAGAGGGAATGTGGGGCACATAGAAATTCTAGGCTATCTTCACAACAATTCCACAAATCTCAAATTATTCTAAAATTAAAAGTTTATTTTAAAAAATAACCCAATATCAGCAGAGCCATCTTTCTCTGGTGTGGCATCTCCCTGGTGTGGGAAGAGGGGAGGAGAGGTCTGAGCCCTCCCCAGCTGGCCATGACTGACCTGACTACTCCCCATTCTTCTTGGCCTCTGTTGTTTCTAGACTTCCTGTTCAAGGTCCCCCAGATCTGTTCCTTGGATCCACCTGGGTTCCCCTTCTTCCACCATTCTTTGGCACAAGACCCAGCTGGGACTCCCCTTGTCCTTCACATCATTTTCTCCAGGTGTCCCAGGCATGACGTTCATGGTTAATGTGAGCCCTCACTCAATGCCAGTAAATACTTAGAAATATTGTGTTGTGACACACCCACCTCTGCTCCGCTCTGCTTCTGCCCATTTTAGTAGGAGGAGCTATTTTTCTACATAAGACACTGCGAGGGATTTACCAAGAAAGAAGACCTAAAGTTTTCTCAGACTCTGAAGACCTAGAACATTCTCAGGCTCTAAAGTTCCAACATGCCCCTGCCCTTCCCCCAAGGCAATGCACAAGGATCCTTTCTCATAAACAGCTGCAAATCATGCGTTTGGCCCATAAAATTTGTTCTGGCTCTAGCCTCATGCCCTAGAGTTTCCCTCTCCCTATTTCCTAGCTCTACTGCCATCACTTCTCTCTGTAACCTAAAGCATCAACTTAGTACTACAAAGACTCCAGTTAGATAGGATCTTCAACAGGGCTACAGCCATGGGTTTGCATCAGCTGCTGCTGTGTGCAAGTTGTTGCACCAGTATGCATCTGTCAAGAGGGATGTGTAGAAATCAGAAAAAAAAAATGGAAATTTCGTAAACTTTATTCTGGAAAAATAGCCAAGACATCTGGAAAAGCACCAAGGAAAGGATGCATAAAGGAAAAGGGATTCAATAGGATATATTTTGTTTCCTGTGGCTGCTGTAATAATTTACCATAAACTTGGTGACTTAAAACAACTGAAGTTTATTTTCTCATGATTCTGGAGGGCAGATTTCTGAAATCAAGGTGTCAGCAGGGCTGCGCTCCCTGCAGAGGCTCTAGGGGAGGAGACTTCCTTGCCTCTCCCATCTTCCAAAGGCTGCAGGCATTCCTTGGCTTGTGGCCACATCACTCCAACCTCTGCCACCATCTTCACATGGCTATACCCCCTTCTCTGTGTCTCTGTCTTATCATTTTCTGTCTCTTATAAGAGCATTTGTCATTAGATTTAAGACCCATCTGGGTAATCCAGGATGATCTTATCTCAAGCTGCCTGACTTTACTTAGTTATATTAATAAAGACTCTTTTTCCAAATAAGGTCACATTCAAAGAATCCAGGACATTCACATATATTTTGGGGGACCACCATTCAAACCACTTATATTAGTCTGTCCTCATGCTCCTAATAAAGACATACCCAAGACTGGGTAATTTGTAAAGAAAGAGGTTTAATGGACTCACAGTTTCACATGGCTGGGGAGGCCTCAGTCATTGCGGAAGGCGAAGGAGGAGCAAAGTCACATCTGACATGGCAGCAGGCAAGAAAGCATGTGCAGGGAAACTGCCCTTTTATAGAACCATCAGATCTCCTGAGACTTATTCACTATCATGAGAACATGATAGTGGTGGGGAAAAACCCACCCCCATGACTCAATTACCTCCCACCAGGTCCCTCCTACAACACGTAGGGATTATGGGAGCTACAGCTCAAGATGAGATTTGGGGGGGTGCACAGCCAAACCACATCACCACTCCATGGAACTTCAAAGAAAAGAGTTAAGATAACTGCCCGTCTTAAGCATGAAAAAAAAAAACAAACACCCCCAAGTGTGGTTGTTTGATGGTGAATGGATATTTTGACACATTGGGCACAAGAAGGGGCATGATACATTTGTGCTTCATTGGATTTCAACCTTGTTCACTGGAAAAAAAATGCAGAAGCCCGGGCTTCACTCCAGACCAACTGAATACAAATCTCTAGAGGATGGGGCCTGGATATCAATATTTTTCAAAGCTTCCCCCGTGATTCTAATGTGTAGCTAGGGCTACAAACCACTGGGCCAGGTGAGACAGGAAGAGTTATAGACCCCATTGTTTTTGTTGCAAAGCTCCTAACCCACCCTGGGAGCAAGTGGAAGAGAGCCCTGTCCCCCCTTTAAACCCACTGCCCAAGCAGGCATTTCTCAGTATTCAGCCGCTAGAGATGTGTCCTAGGGACCTGCCTCTCCAGAACTGGGTGGAGTTGACTTTCTCAGCTTCTCTTTTGCCAGTATCTGTGTGGCCTCCCAGACCCATGTGCACACACATGCACACACACACACATTGTTCTTTTACCATAAGTGATTCCTCCCTCTTTCTGTATTTGAGATCCTCCTCCCCAAATGGGGATATTCCAGCCAGTGCTAGGAATCCCTACTAAGAACAGCATCATTTTCCTGAAAGTTCTGCCCCCAATGGAAACCACATCTTTACCTCATCAAACTGTTTCTTTTCTAATTAGTGTGTACATGAAGTGCTAGATCCAATGAGAAAGACACGAGTCAGCTCATTAGAGTTCTCAGGTTTATATTGAAAGGAAAATTAGATCTGCATTTATCTAAAGCAAATACATACTCTCGGTCAGATAATGAAAAATGCACCAAATGGCTTTTTAAATGGAGCACAAATATGCTTTGATTGTTCTTTTTGTTTATGTTTTGTTTTGTTTTGTTTTTGAGACGGAGTCTCGCTCTGTCACCCAGGCTGGAGTGCAGTGGCACAATCTCAGCTCACTGCAACCTCCACCTCCCAAGTTCAAGCGATTCTCCTGCCTCAGACTCCTGAGTAGCTGGGACTACAGGCGCCCGCCAAAAAGCCCAGCTAATTTTTTATATTTTCAGTAGAGACAGGGTTTCACCGTGTTAGCCAGGATGGTCTCAATCTCTTTACTTCGTGATCCGCCTGCCTCGGCCTCCCAAAGTGCTGAGATCACAGGTGGGAGCCACCACGCCTGGCCGCTTTGATTGTTTTTAATGACACTCTCTTTTACGCGAGTGACATCAAAGGAAGCACCAGTTAACCAGAAGTGAAGCCAAACTGGCTTGCCTTTGAAAGGGAACAAGTAACTCACTATCCTGTAATCACCACTTAGTTAGGTCCATTGACATTTTGGCTCAAAGTGACTCCTCAGGCTTCATGCCAATTAGTCTGAAAACTGCAGGAAAACCTGAAAGAGCAATGCCCAGGCACTAAGAATGGGGAAAAGATGACTGGATGCTTCTCAAGGTTGTCATTCTGACTTAGCAAAAAGGAAAAGGGAAGACAAAGTAAGAAACACCCCCAGTTAATGCTGATCTTGGGTTGGTAAAAGAACAGGAAGAAGAGGAAAGGCCATATCAGAGTTCCACTGGGTGATGATGTGAGAACATAACATTCCCAGAGAAAAGCATCAAATAAAGAACGTTATACTCTTCTCTCTGGATCACTGCATACCAAAAGGCAATAAAAGGATAAATAGTCAATTTATAAAAGAAAATTCACAAATACTAAACCATGATGTGATGGTCATTAGTTCTACCTTCCTGGTTTTTCTGTATCTTCTCTTGGTCCCATGATAGAATCAAAGGTCCCTTGCACTTGAAGTAGGATATGGCCATGTAACTTGCTTTGGCCAATGAAATGGCAGGAGTAACATGTGTAACTTCCAGCCAGACTGTTTAATAACCTATACGTAATTTGCTACTCTCCCTTGTCTACTGCCTCAGTGACCAGCAGCGTTTCAGACGGTGGCTGCCCCACCGTCTGGCCCCTAGAATGAGGACAGGAACAGCTCAACTCACAGTGGGAATCTAGCATGAGAAAGAAATGAACTTTTGTCATTTTAAGTCACTACAATTTTTTTTTCTTTTTTTTTAGACAGAGTCTTGCTCTGTTGCCCAGGTTGGAGTGCATTGGCACGATCTCCGCTCACTGCAACCTCCACCTCCCCGGTTCAAGCAATTCTCCTGCCTCAGCCTCCCGAGGAGCTGGGACTACAGGCATGTACCACCACACCTGGCTAATTTTTGTATTTTTAGTAGAAATGAGGTTTCACTATGTTGGCCAGGCTGATCTCAAACTCCTGACCTCAGGTGATCCTCCTGCCTCAGCCTCCCAAAGTGCTGGGATCACAGGCGTGAGCCACCATGCCTGGCCATCACTACAACTTTTGAGATGTCATTACCACATCTTAATCCAATGTAACTAGATTTGTTTATATGACATGAAAGAAAATGTTCAACTTCATAAAATTCAAGTACCTATGAAACTAGCAAAAAGGAATTAAATGATCAAGAAACCAATGCTAGGAATGCTGGGTATAAAAAAAAAACCTTGTTGATAGTTATTTGATTTGATAATTTCTGGAGTGTGATCTGGTATTATCTAAAAAGAGTAAAAAAAAAAATTCACATCCTTTAGCCCAAATCCCCTCCTATGAATTTATTTTGTGGAAATAATTCAAAAGAATTGTTGAAAGTTAATTATACAGAATGGTTTACAGAAACTCTTCATAATGGTCAAAACTGAAAACATCAAAATGCCCATCAATTAGGCAAGATTAAGTAAACTGTTGCAATTAAATTATTTAATACTGGAGTGACTAAAACCTATGCAACAGTGCATATGACATAAATTCAGTGAAAAAAGTAGCCCACCTCTGCACACTAATTATAACCATAGAAAGGTTTAGCTCCTGCAGAGGAAGTACATCTTTTCACTTGAATACAAGCCCATGTGGGGAGAAATTTTCTGGATCTTGTGCTCCACCATTCTGAGTATCTGGAATAATACTTGGGACATGGAAAACATTCTGTTATATATTTGTTGAGTTGCTGAATTAATTAACCAAGTAATTACTCTTCATAAAAATTAATCTTCATAAAAACCCTGAAAATCAAACACAATGTTATTATCCTCAATTTATAACTAGAAACAAAATGTGGTTTTCAGAGGGGGTTTTGTTTTTGTGTGTGTGCATATTTTTCAATGACATCATTTCAGAATTTTTAAAGAACCCCCTCTGAGGGGAGCCTAACTCCTCAGCTCTCCTTCTCCAGATGGTCTCTCCTGAGAAGTGTTTCTTCTGTGGTACCCAAGAGGCAGGGTGAGGCTCAGAGGTACACAGAGGCTTAGAAGCCAGGCAGGGGCAGCAGGGTGCTATGCTGGGGCTCTCTTTCTTTTGTCTGAGTTTAGGTCCTGGCTCCAGCAGTTCTTTCAACTCCTCTGAGCTCAAACATAAGTATGCCTTGGAAGAGACCTTGAACGTAAAAGAACTTGTAAACAATACAGAGAGTTACACCAGCATTGGAGACCCAGTTTCCTCATCTACCTGCATCCTAGGGCAATTATAAGAATTCAAAGGAGAATGTACATGGAAGTGCTGTGTATAATTTAGAGTTTTCGGTCAAGATTTATTTTTTGGTGAGGGAATCAGGGTACCTGGATGGCAAGAGCATGAGGTAAAACTTATTGGGTGGCTGTGGCTCCCACAAGCCTGAATGATCTGTCTCCTCATCCAAGTTCAGAATGGAGTAGGGAGACAGGGGCTTCAATGGCCAGGCCAGTTTTCTACACCCTGGTGGTTGGTCCAAACTCACTTTCCTTTCTGCCACCCTCAGACATCAAGCAAAACATACACATTCAGTGCACACCCAGGAACCACCAGAGGGGCTGGTGAAAACCTGCAGATTGGCCAAGGCTTAGTCCATCCGAGCACCTCAGGTGACACCTAAAGGAGGAGATGGGTCCCAGCTGCTCCTTGCATTCGTTATCTATTGCAGTGTAACCAATCATCCCAAAGCTTAGCAGCTGAACACAACAAACGTTTACCATGCCACAATTGCTGCCAGTTAGGAATCCAGACACAGCTTTGCTGAGTGCCTCTGGCTCAAGGTCACTCATGAGGTTGCAGTCAAGCTGTCAGCCAGGGCTGCAGTTTCATCTGAAGGCTTGACTGGGGTCGGACAGATTCATCTTCAAGCTCACTCATTCAGTTTTTGGCAGATCTCACTCACTTACTGTGTGGGTCTCTCCACAGGGCTACCTTACAGCATGCTGGCTGGATTCCCCAAGGACGAGTGAGCCAGTAGAAAATGAGTACCCAAGATGGAAGGTACTGTCTTTCCTCAACCTCCCAAGTAGCTGGGACTACAGGCGCATGCCACCATGCCCAGCTAATTTTTGTATTTTTAGTGGAGACGGGGTTTCACCATGTTGGCCAGGACAGTCTTGATCTCTTGACCTCATAGTCTGCCCACTTCAGCCTCCCAAAGTGCTGGGATTATAGGCGTGAGCCACCATGCCCGGCCAGCACTGTCTTTTTATAAGTCCATCTTGGCAGTAGCGTTCCATCATTTCTGCCCCATTCCATGTGTTAGAAGCAAGTCGCTAAGTCCAGCTGACATTGGAGGAGAAGGATTTACACAAGGACATAAATACCAAGACCTGGGGATCACTAGGGGCCATTTTGGAGGCTGCCTACCACTCTACTTCTCCCCAACATTCACTTGGTAAATGAAGCAGTGCTGTTACCTCACCCAGAGGCCACACCACCTACCAGGGCTCAACAACACACTACAGATCCAGTCCTGTGACCTGAATGCCCCACATTGGCTTAGAAGTTGGCAAAATCATATCAGATCTACACCCAAGAAGAATCACCTAGGAATCTGCATTCCAGGCACATCCCACCTCTAACACTCACTCACTTACAACAGAATGACGAATTTGTTAAGAGAACATAAAGAATAGTGGTTAAGAGTGTGCATTTGGGCACCAGACTACCTGTATTTGAATCTGACTTTGCTGTTTCATTATTGTGTGACCTTAGCCAAGTTACTTAACCTCTTCTCTCAGCCTTGGTTTCCTCATCTGTAAATGGGAACTTATTTCATAGGATTGTGCTGAGGATCGAAGAAAACAATAGGTAATGCATTTAGAACAGTGTCTGGCACATAGAAAACTCTCAATACATGTCCATATTCTGTTCGTGCTGTTTGTTGTTGGAAATTAAAACAGAAAATCTATCCTGAAAAGGGGATAGGGGCTGATTATTTGCCCAAAACTCCCTCTCGGTAGTCATGAACTTCTGAATATGGTGTTCAAATATTTTTCAAAACAAAAAAGATTTTTTCCAAAGAAGGCCAAGTTCCATTCACTGCATGTTAATGCTCAGCCATCACGGCTTTGCTTAGGCCATCACAGGCCATGGAAGTGCAGGGACACAACAGTTTGTTTTGTGTGTGTCTCTCTTAATCTGCAAAACAGATGCAGCTTGGTCAGGCTTTCCTCCAAGCCATCTTCAGCAGGAATGATGCTCCACCACTCTGGCACATGGTTCTGCATTTCCAGTGGATGGGATCCCCATAAATCAAGCAACTGATTCCAACCCCAAAATCCACAGCACAGGGGTTCTTGGCAGAAAGCTCCTATTTTGTTAGCTCATGACTTTTTGACTAATTGTTGAATCCTGTAAGATCCACATTGTATGAAGTAAGATTGGGTATGACTTAAGAAAGGATTATTTTAAATACGATTTTTTCATTCACCCTGAGCATGTGTCTCATCCCTTGGTGAGTTCAAAAGCAAGAAGAGCAGGTTATGGTGAATTCTTCATGGTGGACTCCAAGCCAAAGTAGGACACCAAAACCCAGAGTGGTTAGACAAGAAGCATAGATAGTCTCACAACCCTCTGCCTGCCTGGACTCCCGACAGAAAGCACCAAGAGCCTGGGAACCACCTCAGCCTGGCCCCTCACCCCTCAGAGGTAGTAAGCCTGACACCCAGCTCCCCTGCAGCTACAAGTCACAGGGGCAACATGGCACCCAAAGTTTTGCCTCTTCATCTTTCAAGAAGCATGTTCATGTCACTGGTTCTCATTCTCTCTGGGGACCACTCTTTCTATGTGTTCCCTGCTTCCCAGATTTGGATGTCTGCAAAATAGCTGGACACCTAAAAAAAAATCAGCACTGGCTAAGTGAGCTTGGCAAAGTCACATCACCTCCCTGAATTCCAGTTTTCTTCTCTGTCAAATGAGGAAAGATGAGCAGCAGCTGA
Organism: Homo sapiens; assembly: GCF_000001405.40. Taxonomy (NCBI): domain Eukaryota; kingdom Metazoa; phylum Chordata; class Mammalia; order Primates; family Hominidae; genus Homo; species Homo sapiens. The sequence continues at coordinate 34,245,728 of NC_000021.9, read as the reverse complement.
CCTCCGTGGACTCCTTCGGCTCCATGTTTTCTGATTCTATACATGGACGATGGTAAGTTAAAAGCAAAAGCTCCCTGAATCCCACTGATAATTCAAGAGCATAATATCCTTGCAGGAAAACTGGGGCCAGGCCTCAAATCCTGTTTGAATTCATCCTCCCTTCCTCCTCCCACAAGATGAGACAGAGTCCTTGAGCCACTTTCTCCAGCACTGGGAAGAATGAGCCTGGAGAGTGGTTAGAAGCCTGCAGCAGCAGGGGAGGCTGCTTGTCACCAAAAAATAAATGAGTAAATAAACTAAAACCATGTGTGTATGGGTGTGTGTGCACACAGGTGTGTGAGTGTGCATGTAGCCAAATCCACCTTTTCAACAATTGTTGACGCTAAGGATAAAAGGTCTTTACTTGGGAACAGAAAAGAAAATTACTGTAAAGGACATTTTTGGGACATTGGTTAAATATGAACTTAGACTGCATATTACAGATTAGTACTGTGTTAGTGTTGAAATTTCTGAATGTAATAACTGTGTTGTGATTATGAAAATGAGTGTTCTTCATCTTAATGTTTAGAGAATGAAGGATCATGGTGTCTGCAACTTATTGTCAAATGGTTCAGTAAATGATAGTAATAAGTTTCCATATGGAAAGAGCTAGAGACTCATGTGGCAATGTTAACCACTGGTAAGTGTAGGTCAGGAGCAGGCAGATGTCCATTGCACTATTCTTGCAACTTTTCTGCAGGCTTGAAAATTTTCAAAATAAAAAGTTTAAAGTAAAATGAAATCAGAAATGTAAAAGCAAAATGTCCAGGGATTTTTAAAACATCTTCATTTGGGATTAAAGGCGGCAGATGCAGACAAGTAAGAGCCTCTGGCTCTAATTAAGTTCACCAACTCTCTTGGGATTCAGTGCGTCATGACAAGGGCCAAAAAGCTGACACTGTCAGCCCCGCACAGCTGAGTTTCACTAGAAAGGACCCAGTGAAGGGACCTGATCTGCCCTCCTGTAGCTCATGGTCAGCAGGGAGAGAAAGACAGGCCATGGGCCTTACCCGCAGTGATTAAAGGCCACCCAAATGCAGTAGGTCACCAAGATGAGTGGCCCCTCATCCCCGGAGGTGAAGGGGCTTGCTTCCCAGGGGCGTCCAATCTGACTTCCTCAAGTTCCAAACAGAGCTGCCACTAGGGCAAATCTCCTTCCTGTCTTTCCAGTAAGCATCAACATTTTTTCCTTTCTTAACCTCTGGATTCGGTCATTGGTAAGGACGAGGTCAGCCTTGGGATTCCCCAAAGCTGAGATGGACTGGGATGCCCCAGGAGGCAGGAACACTGGCCCCTTGGCCACCTGTGCCACATGGCCCAAGTCAACACCTCTGCTGACCACACCAGATCTCCAAGGATGTCAAGGAGATCCAAGACTTTGGTCCTGTTACAAGGAATTAGACAACCACAGGTACTTAGAACACCATTGCTTGCTCTCAAATCATTGTAATTGTTCTCATAAGGAAACATCATTACAGTCTGCAGAAGAGTGGGACTCTGCTGCCACACTGCATAGGAAGAGGGTGTCCCTGGTCATCTTGGATAGGGTCATGAGAGCTGCTCACAGAAAGAGGACATGAAGGATAAAGCACTCCTTGCCTGGCTCTTTCCAAACATTTTGTTCCTTCTACCAAAGTGGCAGCACTAGTTAGCCCCTAAGGCTCTAGAATCTTCTGCCCCATCTGCAGTTGCTTTATTTTCTTCTTCACTTCCCCCAGTTTTCAGGTTTCCTGTGAATTCCCTTTGGTCTAAAATACCCAAGAAAGAGTCAAGCCTGACCTCCACTTCCCAATCTTTGCTTCTTGTCCGGAGGTGGCCTGACACCTGGAAGCACCAAGGTGGCCTCTGAAGACTCCCAAAATCCCAGCCCCTCTCTCCTTGGCAAGAGAGGACCAAGTGGTTTCCCCAGGAGACCACAAGAGGGAGACAGCTTTCTCCACCAAACTTGGCAGCAGGAATGCCTATGTACCCAACCATGTGCCCAGCACAAGTGCTTGGTAAAGAGATAAATAACTTCAGAAAGCATAAAGGAGGAAAGCCAGCAGTCATGGGACCTAGTCATGGCCCCCAGAAAAATCACTCCCACTGTATCCTCTCCCATTTTCTGACTACATATAAATTCCCAACATAAATCAGCACTTTGGGTTTATTACTGGATCCATCCCAGATTTCAGACTCGTACCTCTCCCATTTTGAGATCCAAAATGTCCTTTATTGGACCCCATTACTGGCCTTCTTTTTGCCTTCCTCCTCTCCCTTCCTTGTCTGCACAGTAGTGTCCCACTGACGTGCTAAGCTGTGGCAGCCAGTGACCCAGCTGGCACCTAGCACTTCCCTGACCTGGTCCTACCCTCATGCTGGGACCACACACCTCTTTTCCTTGCCTCTATCCAGCTTGTCTGAGCTGGAGCCTCAACACCCACCCCCAGCTCATTTCACTGGTGAGCCCCAATCCCCACCCTCGCCCTATCCCTATCCTTGAAGGAAAAGTGTGTCCTTGACCACATGGGTGCCTCCTGCTGGCTATGGGAGTGAGAGGATGCAGGGCACACTTCTTCCCCAGGCCTTTGCTGCATGTACTCTGCACACAGGACTCACCATCGTTTAACACACTCCACCTTCCACCTGCCCCAGAGGATGGTCATAAGGCTTACAGGAGAAAATGTTCTTAAAAGCACCTTGAACTGTGGAAAAATATTAATAGAGGTTTGCTCATATTAATTTTTATAATTGATCTTAGCCAAAAGGCTGAGAAGCAATTAATATTATTATCAAATGGACTTTCTTTTTTAGGGCAGAGTTAGGTTCACAGCAAACTTGAGTGGAAGGTGCTAAGAATTCCTGTCTATCCCCTGCCCCAACACAGGCACAGACTCCCCTACTACCGACATCCCACACCAGAGTGGGACGTTTGCTACAAACAATGAAGCTACACTGACACATCACTATCACCCAAAGTCCAGGTTTACATCAGGGTTCCCTCTTGATGTCGTACATTCTGAGAGTTTGAACAAATGCATGACATGAATCCACTATTGTACTACCATACAAAATAGTTCCACTGCCCTAAAAATCCTCTGTGCTCCACCTATTCGTCCTTCCTTTCCCAGCCAACCTCTGGCAACCACTCATCTTTTTACTGTTTTCACAGTTTTGCCTTTTCCAGAATGTCATATAGTTGGAATCATACGTAGAGTCATGCATTTATTAACGACAGACAAACATTGTGAGAAATCAGCCATTAGGTGATGTTTTAGTTGTGTGAACATCGTAAAGTGTACTTACACAAACCTAGAGGCGTAAGCTACAACACACCTGGGCTATACCGTACATAGCCTATTGCTCCTAGGCTACAAACCTGTACAACATATTACAGTAGGGAATACTGCAGGCAATTGTAACACAATGGGATTTGTGTATCTAAACATAGAAAGGGTACAGTAAATATACAGTATTATAGTCCTATGGGATAGCCATTATGTATGCGGTCCATCATCAGCCGAAACATTGCTATCCAGTGCATAACTGTATATAGCATTTTCAGATTGGTTTCTTTCACGTAGTACCATGCATTTTAGGTTCCTCCATGTCTTTTCATGGTTTGGTAGCTAATTTCTTCTTAGTACTGAGTAATATTTCATTGCCAGGATGTATAGTTTGTTTATCCATTCACCTACTGAAGAGCATCTTGGTTGCTTCCAAGTCTCAGCAATTATGAATAAAACTGCTATAAACATCTGTGTGCAGGTTTTCGCATGGACATAAGTTTTCAGTTTATTTAGGTAAATACCACAGAGCATGATAGCTGGATCATGGATCATGTGGTGAGAGGTCGTGCTCTCATTAATTCCATTTTCAACCAAAGGCTCCATTTTCCTCAGCTCCCAGCACCATAAGGGACTTTAAAAGCCCAGTGCTGGGGTCGCTGCCCTCAGTATCTACAATTGCTTCACATTTTTTTTTGAGATGGAGTCTTGCTCTGTCGCCCAGACTAAAGTGCAGTGGGGTAATCTCGGCTCACTGCAACCTCCACCTCCCAGGTTCAAGCGATTCTCCTGCCTCAGCTTCCCGAGTAGCTGGGACTACAGGCGTGCACCACCACACCTGGCTAATTTTTTGTATTTTCAGTAGAGACGGGGTTTCACTGTGTTAGCCAGGATGGTCTCGATCTCCTGACCTTGAGATCCGCCTGCCTTGGCCTCCCAAAGTGCTGGGATTACAGGCGTGAGCCACCATGCCTGGCCTACAATTGCTTGACTTTTTAAAAGCTTTTCATTTGGGATAATTATAGATTCATATGCAGTTGTAAGAAATATTTCAGGAAGACCCCTTCCCCCAGCTTCTCCCAACAACAGCACCCTCTTGCACAACTATAGTACAATGTCACCCCCAGGAAATTGACACTAGTATGGATGGACCACATTCTGTTTAACCATTCACTCACCACAGGACATTGAGGTTGTTTCCAGGTTCTGGCTATTACAAGTAGAGCTGCTTGGAATATTTTTGTAAAGGTGTTTTTGTGTGTGAACGTAGGGTTTCATTTCTCTGGGATAAATGTTCAAGGGTGCAAATGCTGGGTCATATGGCAAGCACATGTTCAGTTCTGTAAGAAACTACCAAACTATTCCAGAGGGGCTGTACCATTTACATCCCTGTCAGCAATGTGTGAGTGATCCAGTTTCTCCATATCATTGCCTGAACCAGGTGTTATCACTAGCCATTCAGATAGGTGTGCAGTGATATCTCATTGTGGTTTAAATTTGCAATTCCCTAATGGCTAACGGTGTTGGATACCTTTTCGTGTGCTTCTGCATATTCTCTTCAATGAAAAGTTTTGTTCCTGTCTTTCCCCAATTTTCTAATTGGATTTTGGGGGCTTTTTACTGCTGAGTTTTGAGAATTCTTTATACAGTCTATACAAGTATTTTGTCCAATATGTGGTGATATGGTTTGGATGTTTGTCCCCTCCAAATCTTATGTTGAAATGTGATCCATGGGGCATGGCAGCTCACACCTGTAAGCTTTTGCAAAGATTCCCCAGTGATTCTAATGTGCAGCCAGGGCTAAGAACCACTGGGCCAGGTGAGACAGGAAGAGTTGTAGACCCCATTGTTGGGAGCTTCTCAACAAAAACTTTGGGAAGCCAAGGTGGGCGGATCACCTGAGGTTAGGAGTTCAAGACCAGCCTGGCCAACATGGTGAAACCCCGTCTTTACTAAAAAAAAATACAAAAAATTAGCTGGATGTAGTGGCACGCACCTGTAATCCCAGCTACTCGGGAGGCTGAGGCAGGAGAATTGCTTGAACCCAGGAGGCAGAGGTTGCAGTGAGCTGAGAATGCACCACTGCACTTCAGCCTGGGTAACAGAGCGAGACTGTCTCAAAAAAAAAAAAAAAAAGAAAGGAAAGGAAAAGAAAGGAAAGGAGAGGAGAGGGGAGGGGAGGGGAGGGGAGGGAATCCCCAGAGTTAAAGATGGGGCCTGGTGGGATCATTTGGGTCATGGAGGCAGATCCCTCATGAATGGCTTGGTGCCCTCCCCATTGTAATGAGTGAGTTCTCATTCTATTGGTTCCAGCAAGCATTGATTGTTTAAAAGAGTCTAGTACCTCCTCCTCTCTCTCTCTCTCTTGCTCCTACTCTTGCCATATGACACGCCTACTCCCCCTTTGCCTTCTGCCATGATTGGAAGCTTCCTGAGGCCTCTCAGAAGTCAATGCCATCACTGTGCTTCTTGTACAGTCTGCAGAACCACGAGCCAAAGTAAATATCTTTTCTGTGCAAATTACCCATCCTCAGGTATTCCTTTATAGCTATGCAAAACAGACTAACATATGTGGTTTGCAAATATTTTCTCTCAGGAGGTAACTTGTCTTTTCATTCTCTTCATGGGGTCTTTCTCAGAGCAAATATTTTTAAATTTTTTTTAATTTTAAGGAGGTAAAATTTATCAATTTTTTCTTTTATGGATCATGCTTTTGGTATCAAGTCAAGGAACATATCATTGATCACTACGTCCCCATAACTTCCTCTTACATTTTCCTAAAATTTTGTATTTTACACTTAAGTTCATGACATATTTGGAGTTAATTTTTGTCTCATGTGTGAGGTTTAGGTCGAGATTCATTTTTTTGCAGAGGAGTATAAATTGCTCCAGCATGATTGTTGAAAAGGCCATTTTTCTCCCTCTCAGTAACTTTTGCATCTTTGTCAAAACTCGGCCAGTTGCGGTGGCTCACGCCTGTAATCCCAGCTACTCAGGAGGCTGAGACAAGAATCGCTTGAACCCAGTGGGGCAGAGGTTGCAATGAGCTGAGATCATGCCACTGCATGGCAGCCTGGGCGACAGTGAGACTCTGAAATAAATTTTTTTTTTTTTTTTTTTTTTGAGACAGAGTCTCACCTGTTGCCCAGGCTGGAATGCCGTGGCGCTATCTCGGCTCACTGCAACCTCCACCTCTAGGGTTCAAATGATTCTCCTGCCTCAGCCTCCCCAGTAGCTGGGATTACAGGTGCATGCCACCGCACCTGGCTAATTTTTTGTATCTTTAGTAGAGACGGGGTTTCACCATGTCGGTCAGGCTGATCTTGAACTCCTGACCTTGTGATCCGCCGACCTCGGCCTCCCAAAGTGCTGGGATTACAGGCATGAGCCACCAGCAGATAAAAAAAGTCAATTTGACATATTTGTGTGGGTCTTCCCTTAACTTTTTCTCATCTGTTTTCCCTTACAGAAACTCCTCTGCCTGACAGAATGGCAGTGGTTGTGCCTGTCTGAAGTCTCAGAGACTCGGGATAGATAGATAGTCACTGATTCAAGCAGCCTGGGCCAAAATTCTCACCCAGTTGCAAAGCAACAGGTCTGTGGCAAATGGCATTCTAACTTAAGCAAAGCAAGAGCTGAAGATGGTTTGGGGAAGGGAAAGTGTCAATCATCCCTTAATTAGATCTTCTAAAAGTGGAAACCAGCAGTATAGGTCACTTTCCAAGAAAGTGGCAAAATGTGAATAAGTTTCCCTGCCCTAAAACACTGAGTGATTCTGAAGTCCTGAGGGTCAAGAGGAGGACAGTGTCACTAGGGTGTAACCAGATGGGTGCGAGACAATCCATTCCCAACCAGCAGCGAGGGCGAGGGTTGGGGATCATCTTTTTACTGAGTGTCTCGCAGTGTCTTGCAGTCTCAGTGTGGTATTTCTTTTCAGACATGCTTATTCTTTATTTTTTGTTTAATTATAATTTTTATTTTTGGTTCAGGGGTACATGCGCAATTTGTTATATAGGCAAATCGTGTGCACAGGGGTTAGTGGACAGATTATTTCATTACTTAGGTAATAAGCATGGTACCCAATGGGTATTTTTTCTGATCCTCTCCCTCCTCCCACCCTCCAGCCTCAAGTAGGTCCCAGTGTCTATTGTTCCCCTCTCTGTGTCCATGTGTTCTCATTGTTTACCTCCCACTTATAGGTGAGAACATGCCATACTGGGTTTTTTGTTGCTGCATTAGTTTGCTTAGGATAATGGCCTCCAGCTCCATCCATGTTGCTGCAAAGGACATGATCTCATCTTTTTATGGCTGTGCAATATTCCATGGTGTATATGTACCGCATTTTCTTTATCCAGTCTACCACTGATGGGCATTTAGGTTGATTCCATGTCTTTGCTATTGTGAATAGTGCTGCAATGAACATACACATGCATGTGTCTTTATGATAGAATGATTTACGTTCCTTTGGGTGTATACTCAGTAATGGGATGGCCAGTCAAATGGTAATTCTGTTTCAAGTTCTTTGAAGAATCATCACACCACTTTCCACAGTGGTTGAACTAATTTACACTCCCAATAGCAATGTATAAGCATTTCCTTTTCTCCACAACCTCGCCAGCATCTGTTATTTTTTGACTTTTTAATAATAGCCATTCTGACTGGTGTGAGATGGTATCTCATTATGGTTTTCATTTGCATTTCTCTAATGATCAGCGATATTGAGCTTTCTCTCACATGCTTGTGGACCGCATGTATCTCTTCTTTTGAAAAGTGTTTGTTCATGTCTTTTGCCCACTTTTTAATGGGGCTGTTTGTTTTTTGCTTGTAAATTTGTTTGAGTTCCTTTTAGATGCTGGTTATTAGGCTTTTATCAGATGCATAGTTTGCAAATATTTTCTCCCTTTCTGTAGGTTGTCTGTTTACTCTGTTGATAGTTTCTTTTGCTGTGCAGAAGCTCTTTAGTTTAATTGGGCCTTGTTTGTCAATTTTTGATTTTGTTGCAATTACTTTTGGTGTCTTTGTCATGAAATCTTCACCAGTTCTTATGTCCAGAATGACATTTCCTAGATTATCTTCCAGGGCTTTTACAGTTTTAGGTTTAACAATTAAGTCTTTAATCCATCTTGAGTTGATTTTTGTATATGGTGTAAGGAAGGGGTCCAGTTTCAACCTTCTGCGTATGATTAGCCAGTTCTCCCAGTACCATTTATTGAATAGGGAAGACTATTTCCATTGCTTGTTTCTGTCAGCTTTGTCAAAGATCAGATGGTTGTAGATGTGTGGCCTTATTTCTGGGCTCTCTGTTCTGTTCCATTGGTCTATGTGACTGTTTTTGTACCAGTGCCATGCTGTTTAGGTTACTATAGCCTCGTAATATAGTTTGAAGTTGGGTAACATGATGCATCCAGCTTTGTTCTTTTTGCTTAGGATTCTTGGCTATTCTCTTTTTTGTTTCATATGAATTTTTAAATTGTTTTTTCTTATTCTGTGAAGAATGTCATTAGTAGTTTGATAGGAGCACAAACGGCCTTTTTTTTTTTTTTCCAGACAGAGTCTCATTTTGTTGCCCAGGCTGGAGTGCAGTGGCGCAATCTTGGCTCACTGCAACCTCCACCTCCTGAGTTCAAATGATTTTCCTGCCTCAGCCTCCCAAGTAGCTTGGACTATAGGCGCCCACCACCATGCCCAGCTAATCTTTTGTATTTTTAGTAGAGATGGGGTTTCACCATGTTTGACAGGATGGTCTCTATCTCCTGACCTCATGATCCACCTGCCTCAGCCTCCCAAAGTGCTGGGATTACAGGTGTGAGCCACCGTGCCTGGCCCAGATAGGCTTTTAAACTTTTTTTCTGGTTCTTCTGGAAGTGTCAGGATAGAGCGCCCTCTTAAGAACCTCATCTGTAGCTGGAGAAGCCCAGTAGATTTGGTTCTGAGCTGAACCCAAAGCTCCTCTCTTCTGTTGCCCCAGCCTCTCCTTCATCCTACCCATTTCACCCTAAAGCTCCACATCATAACCCTTTTTACCCTAAAGCTCCACAGGGTGGGGAAGGTGGAGGGAGGGCAAACATTATAACCAGAAGCCTTGGAATGTGAGTTCATTTCATTCCAGGTCTGCATTAGAGAGGACATGCCCATCAGCACAGAGCAGTACCCCTGCACAGCAGGCAAAAGCTAAAAATCACAGTTTAATATCTTTGTTTTTAATGCCAGAATGTCAAAAATTAAGACAAATTTCTCCAAAAGCAAAATATTGGTTCTCCACAATCCCCTACTCAGGCCAAATCTCCAAACCACCTTAAAGAAATCCAGGGCTTTTCTCTGAGTGCCTCCGCATCTCCTAGAAACAAAGGCTGTTCAAGACCATGCACCTGAAGCAGATTCACAAGCTTCTTCCTGCCTTTTCCTGGACCCAGAGCAGCAGAATACCTGGCAACCAGTGTTCTTGGGGCAAAAGCTTCTAGAACATCACAGAGCAAAAATAATACATAACAAAGCCATCAGCCCTTTCGATCCCCATCCTCCCCAAGTTGTGTTCAACAGAACATCCCAGGGTGAGCTCTTGTCACAAAGCAATCTCTTCTTGCTATTCACAAGCTAGGAGGGCAATCATAACTAGATTGCCACAAACATACCACAGTTAATAAGTGACATAAATAACCATATAAATGTCAAGCTGTGAATCTGAAACTTGACAGGACATTTCAAATCCAACACAGCTTGGCACCAAAGATCATTCTCTGAATTCACACATAATCTGCTTTGTGCAGCTCTTTTGAGAAAGAGCTATTGACCCAGTAAGCATGTTATTCTCTACCGGAGATTATAGTCATTCCAAGTCAATTAACTGCATTCCAGAGACAACAGGAGGAACTTAAAATACAAGATTTGAAGGTTTGGAAGTGAGACAGAAGACAGGAAGGGGTCTTGTAAATTGCGGTTATTAATACGTTGACGTTGTCCTGGAGCTCTGAACAGCAGAAAACATCAAGCCATTTGTTTTTGTTTTTGTTTTTAAATCCATGTTGTTGCTAGAATTTTCACATGACCAAGTTAGTGGAGGCTGCCCAGGCTGATTGTAGGGCCTTTGTTACACTGGATGGCACCAACTTGGAGACTGAGTCCCCTTCACATGTGAAGCCATTCCTGGTTACAGAGTACACGTCTCTGATTCTCCAAGACTTCACCTTCTTGCTTTATATTTTAAATGGAGGTAAAATTTATACAACTTAAAATTAGCCATTTTAAAGTGTCCAATTCAGTGGCATTTTGTTCATTCACAATGTTGCACAACTACCACCTCTATCTAGTTCCAAACCATCTTCAGCACCCGAAAGAAAACTCTGTCCCATTAAGCAGTCAATCCCCATTCTCCCCTCCTCCCAGCCCCTGACAATCACAGATTGGCTCTCTGTCTCTGGATTGAGCTATTCTGAACATTTCGTATAATGAAATCATATCACACGTGACCTTTTGTGTCTGGCTTCCCTCACTTAGCATAATGATTTCAAGGTTCATCCATGTTGTAACATGTATCCGCATCTCATGCCTTGTTATGGCTGAATAATATTCCACTATACGGATTATCCCACATGCTGCTTATCCCTCCACTGGTGGACATTTGGATTGCTTCACGTTTTGGCTATTGTGAATACTGCTGTTATGAATATTCATATACAATTTCTTATTTGAATATATTTTCAATTATTTGGGGTATATACTTAGGAGTGGAATAGCTGAGTCATATGATAATTTCGTGGCTAACTTTTTGAAGAATTGTAAAACTGTTTCTCCCCCTTCTTGTTTACAGTTATGTCTTCACTTAAAAACTATGTCTTGAGCTGGTCACGGTGGTTCATGTCTGTAATCCCATTACTTTGGGAGGACAAGGCAGGTGGATCACCTGAGCCCAAGAGTTCACGACCAGCCTGGACAACATGAAGAAAACCTGTTTCTACAAAAAATTCAAAAATTAGCCAGGCAGGGTGGTGTGCACCTGTAGTCCCAGCTACTTGAAAGGCTGAGGTGAGATGTTCACCTGAGCCCTGGAGGTTGAGGCTGCAGTGAGCCGTGATCACACCACTGCACCAGCCTGGGTGATAGAGTGAGACCCTATCTGGAAAAAAAAAGTTGTGTGGTACACACAACTTTAGTATTATTTCTGAGGTTCAGAGCAAGGGAGAAGATGGAGAGGAGGCTAGCCAGTGGCTCACTTGGCTATCCTGACACCAGAAGTTTCCCGTTAAATCAATCTTCTGAAGATCTCAGGTGGAGTTCCTACGGTCCTCGTCTACTCCACACTGGTGTTAGTCCATTTTCACACGGCTATAAAGAAATACCCAAAACTGGGTAATTTATAAAGGAAAGAGGCTTAATTGATTCACAGTTCTGCATGGCTGAGGAGGCCTCAGGAAACTTATAATCATGTCAGAAGGGGAAGCAGTCACATCTATAAGGTGGAAGGCAAGAGAGAGCATGTGAAGGAGGAACTGCGAAACACTTAACACCTTCAGATCTCGTAAGAACTCACTCACTATCACAAGAACAGCACGAGGAGACCCACCCCCAAGATCCAATCACCTCCCACCAGGTCCCTCCCTTGACACGTGGGGACTATGGGGATTACAATTTGAGATGAGATTTGGGTGGGGACACAGAGCCAAACCATATCAACATCCCACATCCCCCTGCTCCTAGTGAGAACTAGGGGTGAGTGATCATAAGGGGAGGAGGAGGGCCAGAACTGATAAGGCAGTGGCCTCCATAGGAGAGTACATACACCCCGTGGGAGCAACAGACCACTCTCTGTGGGGATGCCAAAGGAAGCCATTAGAACCTCTATTTCTGTTTATTTTATCTAGAAAGTAGAAAAAAGTGAGCTTCACAGAGTGTTATAGGTTGAACGTCATTCCCCTAAAAAGCATATAATGGAATCCCAACCCCCAGTACCTCAGAGTGTGACCTAACTTGGAGGTAAAGTCTTCACAGAGATGATCAAATGAGATCAGTAGGGTGAGGCCTAATTCAATATAACTGATATCCTTATAAAAAGGAGAAATTTGGACCACACACACGTGCACACACACACACAGAGTTAGACCATGGAAGATGAAGGCAGAGGTGGGGGTGCCGTGTCCACAAGTACCATAGATTGCCAGCAACCCCCAGAAGCCAGGGCAGTGGGACCTGGAACAGATCCTCCCTCCCAGCCTCAGGAGGAACCCACCCAGTGGACACCCATGATCTCAGACTTCTGGTCTCCAGAACTAGGAGAGAATATGTTTCTGTTGTTTACACCACCTAGTTTGTGGTACTTTGATAGAACAATCCTTGTGAGCTAATATACTATATTTTATATGAAGGTGCTCATGGGTCCCCTCACTTAGTCCCTCACATGCAGGACTTGAAGCCTCTTAGGGAGTAGAACAGCCACACCTCAGAGGGACAGACAAGCCCTGGTCAGAGTGACCAGAGCAATCTACCTGCAGGCAGGTAAGTGGATTTATAGATTAGACCATCTATAGTAATGCAATCAATTCTCATGCAATGAATGGGTGGATTTAGTAGATTACTATTTTAAAAGTTGATTGGGGATTATACTGACCTGGCCACCACACAGGAAGCAAAAAGAAAAGGTGGTGCTAACTTCTCTCCTCACACTGAGACAGGGAAAGCTCCTCTGAGGCCATGCAAGGCATTTCGGGAGGCCAAGGTGGGGGGATTGTTTGGGCCCAGAAGTTCGAGACCAGCCTGGGCAACATGGTGAGACCCTGTCTCTGCAAAAATAAAAATAAAAATTAGCCGGCATGGTGGCACACACCTGCGGTCCCAGCTACTCAGGAGGCTGAGGTGGGAGGATCGCTTGAACCCAGGTTGAGGCTGCAGTGAGCTGTGGAATGCTGCAGTGAGGCTGCAGTGAGCTGCAGTGAGCTGTGGAATGCCACTGCATTCCAGCCTGGGTGACAGAGCCAGATCCTGTCTCAAATAAATAAATACATAAAAATGCATGGAGCTATTCAGATCTGACAAGAAGCCAGTCAAAAGAAGATAGAAATTCACAAGAAGACTACTTCGAATGCATATCTATAACCCTTATTGTTAACGATGAACCTTAAATCTAAATGTATATTATGCCTTCAGGTACTAACGAATGGTAATACAAAGCTGTCACAATTAGTGGCACTCAAAATATTGTTTATTTCATCTTGTTCATCCTTTTAGTTTCAATTGTATGTATGTCTTATAATTTACATAATATATAGTTGATAAGTAAACCTATGTGCCCCCCAACATTTTTGTTTTTTTGAGACAGTGTCTCGCTCTGTCGCCCAGGCTGGAGTGTAGTGGCACGATCTCGGCTCACTGCAAGCTCCGCCTCCTGGGTTCACGCCATTCTCCTGCCTCAGCCTCCCGAGTACCTGGGACAACAGGTGCCCACCACCATGCCCAGCTAATTTTTTGTATTTTCAGTGGAGATGGGGTTTCACCATGTTAACCAGGATAGTCTCAATCTCCTGACCTCGGATCCACCCGCCTCAGCCTGCCAAAGTGCTGGGATTACAGGCGTGAGCCACCACGCCCGGCCCTGCCCCCCAACATTTTACTAAATGTGTCACATAACGAGATAGGTTTGGAGACCACTGATTTAGGGCATGGGCTGCAGATAGATAAGTGACATTAGCCACCCAAAGACAGGGGGTGCTGGAGTCCTTATATCTGATCTTCAGACAGAGACAGATGCTGTTGAGCATCAGAGACATTCTGGACAAGAAAATGCCTCCAGGGATGAAGTGATGTGATCATGAGGTCTGAGAAAAAACTTCTGAGGCAGAGGAACCAACGCTAACATTTACAGAAGGTGCTGGGAGAGCTGCCTGATATGCCAGGTGACATGCAGCAGCCCAGAGCTGGAGAGGAATGTGCCTCGTGAACAGGTGCGCGACACAGCAGTGTGGACCCTGGAGGAAGGAGCTACTTCTCAGCTTTGCAAGGGCACGAAGATTTCTACCAGGAAAAGCATGCACCAGAATGGTGTCCCCTACCTGTTGCAGTGAAAGGGAACTCAGATGTTGGAAATGAACAAGCGAAGGTGACTTTTTAATGTGTTTGAAGGTTGATGAGGAGTGGACATTCTTCTAGCAAGTGCTGCCTCACAGGCTCTGGCAAGTCTCAGCAAGAGATGAACCTGGAAGTGCAAGACTTTAAGCATCCAGGGTCGGGGTGGAGCAGAGGATGGGGATAGTCAACTCTCTTCCAGAATCTAGACTCTGATCATCTTCCTTTTCTTCTCCATCTTCCTAATTGAAGCCCCTCCACCCTCCTCTGATGCAAAAGAAGAATTAAGTGGGAAAGAGCCAACCAAGCAAAGAGTTTAAAGAGTTCCAAATGAAGAGGTTAGGGGCAGGTCCTCAGGCAAGGAAGGCAGATGGAAGGGGCTTCAGGGAGGATGGAGAAATTCATAGAACTTGCAAGTAGTTGGGGACAAAATGATGAAACCCTGGAAAACTCAGGAGGTGTGCACAGTAAACCCCACACACTCATTCTCGAGCAAAGGATGAATTGGCTGGATGGGAAGTGCAACCCCCAAGTTCTTTTGACACTGTCCATTTAGGGATGTGACTCTGGGGTCCGAGGTCAAGAGGAGGTGGAACCTTCTTCATGGCACTCCGTGTAGATTTGCTCAGCACCCATCCTTTCCAATGGTGGTTTAAGCAATCTTCAGTAGTGAGGACGGGAGCCAAAGGGTATCACATTGCCAGTCACTCAACCAACCCACTAATAAGACAGGCTTTCCTGACCATTTTATCCCTGGCAGTCAAAATAGGGGAGTCAGACTTCTTCAAAGCAGTCAGGTTCTGTTGATCCAAAAAAAAAATCTAAAAAAGTTTTCATTTTTTATTGTGTTAAAATAGACATAAATAAAATTTACCACCTTAGTCTTTTTTTGTTTTGTTTTCTGTTTTTTGAGACAGAGTCTCACTTTGTCACCCAGGCTGGAGTGCAGTGGCGTGATCTTGGCTCACTGCAACCTCCATCTTCCACATTCAAGCAATTCTCATGCCTCGGCCTCCCGAGTAGCTTGGACTACAGGTGTGCACCATGATGTCCAGCTAATTTTTGTATTTTCAGTGGAGGCAGGGTTTCACCATGTTGGCCAGGCTGGTCTCGAACTCCTGGCCTCAAGCAAGCAATCCATCTGCCTCGGCCTCCCAAAGTGCTGGGATTACAGGTGTGAGCCACCATGCCTGGCCTCATCTTAGTTATTTTTAATTGTACAGTTCAGTGGTGTTAAGTACAGTCATGCACTGTATAGTGGTGTTTTGGTCGACAACAGACCACATATAAGACAGTGGTATTGTCATATACAGTATTTTTATCATATACAGTATTTTTACAGTATTATAATCTTATTTGTTTAGATACACAAATACTTATCATTGTGTTACAGTTGCCTCCAGTATTCAATACAGTGACATGCCATAGAGGGTTGTAGCTTAGGAGCAATAGGCTTTACCGTTACAGCCTGGGTGTGTAGTAGGCTATGCTAACTCGGTTAGAGTAAGTACGCTTTATGATGTTCGCACAACAAAATCACCTAATGGCACGTTTCTCAGAACATATCACTGTCATTAAGTGACATATGACTGTACATTCATTATGTTGTGCAACTATCACCACCATCCACATCCAGAACTTTGTAGAAACCAAACTCTATATCCATTGAAGAATCAGTACCTCATATAAGCGCATTCATACAGTTATTTGTCTTTTTGTGCCTGGCTTATTTCACTTGGCATAATGTTCTCAAAGTTCATCCATGTGGTAGCATATGTGAGAATTTCCTTCCTTCTTAAGGCTGAATAACATCCCATTGTATGCATATGCTATATTTGGCTCATTCCATTCATCTACGTGAATAGCCATTCACGGCTATAAACGTGGGCATACAGATATCTCTTTGAGACTCTGTTTTCAATTCTTTTGGGTATATACCCAGAAGTAGAATTGCTGGATGCTGTGGTAATTCCATTTTTAATTTTTTAAGGACCTGTCTTACCATTTTCCACAGTGGCTGCACCATTTACATTCCCACCAGCAGTGCACCAGGGTTGCCTCTACATGCTGGTCTACACTTATTCTTTCCTCCCTCCCTCCCTCTCTCCTTCCCTTCCTCCCTTCCTTCCTCCCTCCCTTCTTTCCTTCCTCCCTCCCTCCCTTCCTTCCTTCCTCCCTCCCTCCCTTCCTCCCTTCTTTCCTTCCTTCGTTCTTTTTTTGACAGTGGCCATCCTAATGGGTGTGAGGTGGTATCTCACTGTGGCTTTGTTTTGCATTTTTCTAATGATTAGTGTTGTTGAGCATCTTTTCATGTGCATATTGGCCATTTGCATATTGAGAATGTATAATGTTAGTATATTTCTATGGAGAGCAGGACATCCCAAGTGGCCTGGAGCGCATGTCTACTGCCTCAATGTGCTCTGCGCTCTCCCGGTGAGGCTCCTGATTCTGCTGTTAGTCTGTGTGATGGTTAATACTAAGTGTAGCTTGATTGGATTGAAGGATGCAAGTCTTGATCCTGGGTGTGTCTGTGAGGGTGTTGCCAAAAAAGATTAACATTTGAGTCAGTGGGCTGGGGAAGGCAGGCACACCCTTAATCTTGTGGGTACCATCTAATCAGCTGCCAGTGAATATAAAGCAGGCAGAAAAATGTGAAAAGGCCAGACTGGCCTAGCCTCCGAGCCTGCATCTTTCTCCAGGGCTGGATGCTTCCTGCTCTTGAACATTAGACTCCAAGTTCTTCCGTTTTGGGACTTGGACTGACTCTCCTCGCTCCTCAAGCTTGCAGACAGCCTATTGTGGGACCTTGTGACAGTGTAAGTTAATACTTAATAAACTCCTAGATAGATAGATAGATAGATAGATAGATAGATAGATAGATAGATAGATATCGCCTATTAGTTCTGTCCCTCTGGAGAACCCTGACTAATACAGTTTAGGAAACCCAAGTATGAACCTTCCACCATGTGGCTGTCTGCTGGGGACACTCAGTACCAACTCAGGCTTAACGTTGGAGTGGAACCACAGATGCCCTTGAAACAGATTAAGCTGGACCACAAAAGGCTGGAGGCCAGCAAGCAGGAGGCCAGACTCCCTTGAGGCCAAGCTGGATAAAATGCACCCTTATTCCCCAGCTGCTCCTAGCTTCGATTTGGCATGGTGTGCTGGAGCAGACACCCTTCGCCATCCTCTCCTGTTGCTCAGCTATGTTTGAGTTTGGGAGAGCGACAATGGTGCTTGCTGCTCTCCTGACCAAACTACAAGCTACAAGCTCAGGAGATGAAATTTCCCTCAGGCAGCTTCCCGTCTGCTCTTAGGGAGTCATCCTTCCTGGAGGAGCCTCGGGGTTCTCAGAGGCACCTTGTCCGGCCTTGTCCCTTCATAGCAGGACCTGGATCAGGCAGCTCGCAGAGGTGGAGCAACATGACTGTGCACCTGGTTGCTTCTCCAGGCCCAGTCCCATCTGGGTTGATTTTGAAAGAAATATTTACACTAAAGGGCTTAAGCAGAGGGAAGATTTCACTGCCTCTTATCTCTCATAGTTTAGAAAAACAACCAACATTTCATGAACGCGTGACCCTGTGGTGCCTGTGTTTACGGCTCACTTCTCTGGGGAGTCTTCTCTTCTCAGAGCCCTGTCCTGGCTTCCTTTGCACCGCTCACTTCCTCTTGGACTCCCAGGGAAAAATAGGATTCCCATGGACATGCCACATCCCTGATAAGGTTCCCTGAACATTCCAAGTTATCCACACTTGAGACTGACATTGCTCTATGCCCCATCTATGTAACGGCAGCTCCCAGTTCTTGTCCTCCAGCCAAAACATCATGAGTCACTCAGCTCCAAGGAGACCTGGAGACCCTCCCAAACACACAACTCCTATATGCAGCACAACCAGCCCAAAGCCATGTGACCAGGCTGCTCACACTCATGCCCAGCCCTGCAAAGGCCCTGCTCTCCTATCCGTCGCCCCAGCCCACCTTTGTACACATGCACTCCCCAGAAGACCTCAAGGCAAAGGATCTCCAGCTCCACACCCCACCCACCACTGGGTCTTCCTTTCAGGCTGAAGCAGACTTCTCTTATGCCAAAGCACTTATCCTTCTCCAAGGAACCAAGTGGAAACCTAGAGTGGGAATTCCATACCCATCCATCCTCTCCCATCATACCCTCTCCCATCTTCCTCCTGACTCAATCTGCCATCCCCCTCTCCCTCCTGCCTCCGATGCTGCTCTCCAAATTCTTGCTCCATGATCGCAAACTCTCTACCTTTGCATCTCAGCCATCTCATCGAATGTTCCCTCCGACTCTTGGCTTAACTTAGTGATTCCCAGCCCTGGCTTCACATCAGAATCCCCTGAGGAAATGTTTAAAAAGATACTTCTGCCCAGAAAGGGCTGGCTACCTAATTTCTGAAGCCAAGCACAAGACAAATATGCAGGCTTTCTTATTCAACAAACATTAAGGATTTTCAAGATGGCAGCAGCAGAGCATTAAAACAAGCACAGGGCCCATCTGAGTTCCACTGTCCAGGTCCAAGGCCATGGAGCAGCCCTGTGCCCAGGTACTTGCCCTAAACCTTCAGATTTAATTAGCCTGGGTAAGGCCCTGGAATCTGCATTTTAAAAGCTCACCAGGAGATGCTGAGGAGACCCAGCTGCCCCAGGCTGACCAAGAGATACTGCGTCTGTTGCAGCCCTCTCAAATGGAAACTTTTGGAACCAGAAGTTGGGCTCCTGTCTTCCTGGCTCCATAGAGTCACTTCCAGACTTTTTCTCTGTGTGGTCTGGAAATTACAGTCCTGCAAATTAGCTGCTCAACTAGATCTAAGGTCAATCTTGGATTTTCACTGCCCTTGTCTAGGACATTTCTGGACTTCTCTTAGCACCTTTCCTCATCCAACCAATATTTAGCAAACAGTTCACAACTTTCTCCACCCCCATTCATGTTGCTGCCTCAGCATCCCTGTGTAAGGCCCAGCCAAGGTCCTGGCCCCTCGGCCCCTTGTTCGCCCCATGATCAGTGACCACCTCTCTTCTTCCACCTCAGCACCCATTCCCATGCTCACTGCTGGGATCTGGCCAAGACTCAGAGCTCCTTCACTCCTAAATCTCAAACCCAAGTTCCCCACTCTCTGACCACAGCATCCTGTCCTAACCTCTCTCTCATCCCCACTGAGGCCTTCAGTCCAGTGACCACCCCCCCAGATATTCCTTATCTATTACTTTTACTCGCTTCACCTTCCATTTTATCCTGCTAACATTCAATAGTCCAATCTTGTAATTACTCTCCTCCAAATACAGATGCTCTTAGACTTATGGTGGGGTTACATCCTGATAAGCTCATCCTAAGTTGATGATATCGTAAGTCAGAAATGCATTTAATACACCTAACCAGCTAAACATGCTAGGTTAGCTGAGCCTACCTTCAATGCACTCAAAACACATTAGCCTACAGTTGAACAACATCATCTCACACAAAGCCTATTTTATAATAAAGTGATGGGTATCTTGTATGTTATTGAATACTGTACTGAAAGTGAAAAACAGAATAGCTGTATGGGGGCTGGAAGTACAGTTTCTACTGAATGTATATCACTTTTGCACCATTGCAAAGTCAAAAAAATCATAAGTGGAACAAGTCAGAGACTGTCTGTACTAGACATTCCCTTCCTCTCTGTCCTTACGTCTCACCTATCTAGCAAAATTCAAGCCTTGGGTGGATGTCATCATCCACTTTCTCTACACCTGCTATTGGCCAGCAGATCACTGCTGGAGGGACATCCCAGAACTGCACAGCCACCCATCTTGGCTATGCCCTCAGGACTGCCTGGTAATTGGAACCACAAAGGGCTCCTTCGGTCAATACAGGCTCTTCTTTGCACAATTTATACTTCAAACCTTCTCCAATCTCACCACGTCTGAAACCACTCCTTCCTTCCTTCACATTCAGCAAATGACCTTGTCATCTACTGTACTGAGAAAAGAGAACAAACTGTCTCACCAAATCTACAAACAGATGTCCCTGAGTTTGCACCCACCTCTCCCTCCTCCTGCTGAGAGGGCCAGCTCCTTCACAGATGCCCTCTGTGCCCTGTGCCTGTTGCTTTCTCGAGGGCCTGGTGCTACCAGCTATCCTCTCTAGCTTGTTCCTTCCATCTCCTCCATCAGCATTTAAATCCCCTAGCTGCAGGTGGGCACAGTGGCTCATACCTGTAATCCCAGCACTTTCGAAGATTGAAGTGGGCAGATCACCTGAGGTCAGGAGTTCGAGACCAGCCTGGCCAATATGGCAAAATCCCATCTCTACTGAAAATAGAAAAATTAGCCTGTCATGGCGGTGCACACCTGTAATCCCAGCTACTCGGGAGGCTGAGGCAGGAGAATCACTTGAACCCGGGAGGCAGAGGTTTCAGTGAGCCGAGATCATGCCATTGCACTCCAGCCTGGGCAACAGAGCAAGACTGTCTTAAATAAATAAATAAATAAATAAATAAAAATTACCATGGCTGCAATCTTTGAAAAAGGAAAGGGAAAAAGAAAAGAAAAAGAAAAGGGAGAGGGGAGAGGAGGGAAGGAGAGACCAGAAGACCCTCCTCTTCCTCCAGCTCCTATCCTCTCTTACTGTCTTTTTTTTTTTTTTTTTGGCAGGGTCTTGCGCTATTGCCCAGGTGGGAGTACAGTGGTGCGATCACAGCTTACTGCAGCTTCAACCTCCTGGGCTCAGATGATCCTCATGCCTCAAGTTCCCAAGTATCTGAGATTACAGGTGCATGCCACCATGCCTGGCTGATTTTTGTTTTTTGTATCTTTGATATAGACGGGGTCTCACCATGTTGCCCAGGCTAGTCTTGAATTCCTAGGCTCAAGTGATCCAACCACCTAGGCCTCCCAATGTGCTGGCATTACAGGCATGAGACATTGCACCTGGCCTCTCTTACTCTTGCCTTTGTGGCCACACTCCTTGTGTCTCCCTCATCTGCCACTGACCCCAGACCCCATTCCCACAGACTTTCACTACACCACTTTAAGGAAACAATTCTTAATAAGGTCTCCAATCATCTCCGTTTTAAACAGAATGGCTACATGTGGGGCCTCATCTTACTGGACCTCTCAGTGTCACAGAAACAGGCTGACCACTCCCTTATTTCACAAATACTTTCTCCCCTTGGCTCCTTCACACCGTTTTCTCTTCCTATTTCTCTAGCTTCACTCCTCGGTCTCTTTATGGGTTCTTCCTCCATGCCGTAAATATTATATGGTGGAGCTCTTGAGGCTCCATGCTAGGCACTGTTCTTTTCGCCCTCTACTCTCTATTCCTGGTTGATCTCAACTACTGCCATTTCTGCAAATATCATCTAAGTGCAGACTCATTTTTCTCTCCAAAGACATGAAATATCAATGGCTATTTCCCTCTCCCATTCCATAAGCATCCTGGGCTGATAGTAGACTCTAGGCTCCCCATGTCTTGCTGCTCTGCCGCCCCTGGGATATTGCATTCATCTGCACAGTCACGATAACTCACCACCATGTCTGTACTACAGCCTTTGGGAAGAGGAAAAGTGGCAGGGAACAGACAGACCCTTGCCCTTTGAGGACACACCCCAGAAGTTGTATACATCACTTCTGCCAACATCTCATTGGCCAGAACTTGGGCCAATGAGCTCCAAGGGACACCTGGGAACTGTAAGCTTTATTCTGGATGGTCACATGCCCCTTTAAACTCCTCTTAGAATGAAAAAAGGGGAAGGCAAATATGGAGAGAAAACTACAAGAATCGGCCACAGGGCTCAGCAAAATGTACCAACTTCCTCTTTTGTCAAATAAAAACCTTTTTTCTAAACCTATCATGTGTTGCCATTATTTCATGAAAGGATACTTTTAACGCCAAAATTGGGGAAGACATACTCTCAAAATAGAGAACAGTCTTTTAAGTGAAATGAATTTAGATGTATGGAAGAAAGCACTGTCTCATTCTTGTTTTCCTCACTTCCCTTGAAACTAGCACAGCCGCCAAGCCTTGGTCTCCTGACCTGAACTGGGAGCCATGTTTGAGGAGCGGCTGTTAAGAGTGTTGCCAATGTCATCTTCAGCTCCCTAAGCCAATCTGATTTACGGGGTGACTACGAGAGCTCCCAGTGTTATTGACTCCCAGGCTCCACCTGGTACTAATATAGAAATCCATGCCTCCATCCCCTCAGGTCCCTTCCCATTTCCAAATGCCCAGGGCTGACCAGGTCCCGTGCAGTTGGGACGCACTGCTGTGGCTGCCCTCCCCATCCCACTTTGGGCCTTTACGTGACATCAGGGGTCTCCAGAAAGTTCGACCACAGGGTGCTGCTGCCTCCCAAGACTATTCCAGACAGAAGAGTCTCCCCAGCAGAGATGATGATGTCTCTTTGTGGCCAACCTTGAAGGGTCACACCTTTGTCACTAGCATTTCTTCTTCCTGCTTCACATACTTCCATGGAGGATGTGTCCTCAGGAGACCACCCCTGAGACTCCCTGAGAAACACTGGGTAGTGCCCCCTCTTTCATTGGCCGTATCAATCAAGGGAGGACTCAGCGTCTTGTCACTTTCAGGTGAGTTTCTCCCGAGACGGACACCTTTGGCCCTGTCTTTGCACTGAGAGTCATCCTCACCCCCACCCTCAGACCTCTCCCCATTTCTCTAGGAGGCCTGGGGAACTTCTGAAAAAAGAACCGCTGGCCTGCCCCACATCCCAGAGTCCTCACTGCAGCCACACAAATTAGGCCGTGGACTAGAAGGAGCTAAAGAGCTAGGAACTCTTCTCCCCCAGCTCCAGGAAGTGGAGAAGGTCTGCTTTGCACCCCCTGTCTGCTCCTCCACTTACAAGGTATATTCTGGGGGGTTCACAAGCTCTCGTCTGTGTTACTGGAAAGGGAGCTTTGGACAAGCTGGTTTTCTGACCTACTTTTCTTGTGTTCGACCTTTGAAAAACGAAATGTTTCTCTCACCCACGGAGCTCTTCACCGCATCTTCACAAATCCTAAAACTTAAGGTTTGTTTTCAAGTATCTTCTCCACGTTTTTTTTTTAATTAGACATTCCTAGATTTGAGTCCTAGAGTTTTGGTACAGGATGGAGCTTAGAGATCATCAGATCCGATGGCTTCATTTTATGGCTGAGAAAACTGAGGTCCAAAGATGTTCAATGGCCACCCGAGGTCACACGGTAGCCAGCCCCGGCGTCCACGTCATGTGAAGACTCCACAGGTACCTTGCAGGGGCCTGGCCGCGGGGGATGAGACGTTGGACCCTGGCAAGCCCGAGGCAGCCTCCCCTTTCCTGCCGCCGCTGAGTCTCTGCCCTCCACGCCAAATGGAGTTAAGAAACAGAGACAGACTGCACAGGAAATTCTCACGGGAGGACTTTTCAAGATCCGTTAAGAAAATGTTCTCTTGTTTACAGCTGAGTGCATCCTAGATGCAATGCCAACAGCATTCACTCTGTTTTGTTTATTTTAACCAAGAAGGGAAATTAGTGGCAAAAGAATATTTTGATAATGAATGGAAAGTTAGTCATGACATTTTTGAGGGGGAATACGCAAATAAACTTTAAAAAAATGAGAGCTGTCTCAACAGACAACAGAGGGGATTCATGGATCTCTGCCAATTTCAAGAGATATTTGGGGTGTCTAGAGTTTTCTGTTTCTTCCATGCACATAGCATAAGCCTTTGGGGTTGGGGAGGTGTGTGTGTGTGTGTGTGTGTTCTTCTAAAGCAATCCTAGTTAATGGAAAGATTTTCAAATATTTGGAAAGGGATCTCAGAACTTTACAGAACGCGACCGTATCTATTTCAAAACAACCTGGGAGTATTTGGTGTCCACTTTGGCCTGGTAAATTTCCACTGCGGGCAGCACTGCACAATTTTTTCATTCCAACTCAACTCGCTTCAAGTGGCGTGATTTGATTAAGCATTTCTTCACTTTTAATGGCATGCCAAGGCTCCAGGGCATCATTTTTTGGGTGGCCCCAAGTGGGCTGGGGTGGGGGCGGGAAGACATTCGAATCTATAAAGGTTTGTTTCTGACCTTGTCCTCCAATGTAAGTCTACCTGGTGCCTGGCAAGACTTCCCATGTTAGAAACAGGCCTGACTTTGCTGATCGTGATTTTTCTATGGTGAGAGGCAAGAAGCATCCAGTGGGGAGTCAGTACCTGAGGAGCTCAATGAAAGGTGCAGGGGACAAGTCTCACATAGCACTTGGCTGAAGTCCCTGCACCACCCAGGAAGTTCTATCTCTGGGCTGCCCACTGGCAAACTCTATTACCACAGTATTTTAGAAAAAGTTTCACTTAACAATATCAAAAGATCTTGACCTTTGAGCATAGTCTTTTCCTCTGTAAAACCAGATAATAATATGACTTCACTGCTGAGGTTGAGGGGGTGTTAGAAATATTATAGTCCTGGAACATGGTGAAACTCCACAAATGGTATTTATAGATGGTGCCTTTGATTGTCATGGTATCCATTATCACCATCCTCCTTCTTCGAAGAACCCCCATTTTGTTCAGATATCTGCTCCACTCTCATACAGCTGTGTGCCCAGGGCAGGGCCTCAGGGAAGAAGAGCCTGAAAGGGCCCAAGATTCCTCTATTCCCAGTAGCCAGTGATTTTCTCAAGATAAGCCTAAGGCACAGTGATGACCATTACAATGTGAATAGAACCTGCAGTGGGGGTACAGTGAGGACTGGGAATGTCTTCTCTTCTGAGAAGAAGCCACAGGAAGAGTGTCCTTCACTCCTCAGGATGTTATTTCTCAAGCTGATGCTGTCATCTTGAAGCCAGCTACAAGGATGGGGCCAATACCAAGCATGACAGAGCAGAGAGAAGGAAAGAGACCACACTATCAAAGTGAAGTAGCTATTAAATGACTCCAAAGCCCATTATTTCTGAGCTTCTCAGTAGCCCCCAAAAGCAGTATCCCAGGCCACTTAAAGTTCCCAGACAGGGAGACGTTGCAAGCCAAACATGCTCCATGTGACCAGTCTTCTCCAAATCTTCTCTGGCTGGAAATACTCTTTGCCTCCCAAGTAGTGAGTGAGCTGCCTCTTCACTCCCCGACACCGGTGAGCCCTCCCTTTACCCCACAGCAGTGAGTCGTCCTTCCCCCAAACAGGAGGCTGAAGGGAAGATGAGTGCAGGGAGGGTGGTCTTTCAAAAGAGTGAGAGCTGAAAGGAAGGGGAAACTTCAGCCAAGGAGAAAGGACTGGCTCACTACAGGAGAGCCACGAGGACATTTCAACTCGAAGATTTGCAAAACAGCAACGGATCTGTGTGTTTTAGATTCTGCTCCGGGGCGTACAAAGAAGCCATGGGGCTTCATGGGGCTTTGGCAATATTGCCACTCCACCTACTGGGAGGCTTTGGCTACAAATAACAGAAACCCCTGCTTGAACCAGCATCATCAATAAGATAATGCATTCTCTTATATAATACAAATGCTCTGTAGGGGAGTTTTGGAGACAGTTGAATAAGTGGTTTAAGAATGTCAACAATTATCCAGTTCTTTCCATCTCTGCTTTTGGTGTGGGCTTCATTCTCCATCTGGTATCAAGACCACGGTGGGAATTCTAAGCATTTCATTAATGATCTCCACCAAGAAAACAAGTGGCTCTGCATTCTGAGCCACTCAAGTACTACTGACTACAGATGGATGGGCTTTGAGGGAGGACAAAATCCAAGCTCCCAATACCCAAAGTGACATTTAGATCTAAAGAGACATTTTATAGGCTATGAAAAGACAGTCTGCTTGCCCTGAATTCACCAACAACAAAAAGGAGGCTCCATATCATAGTGGCCTCCTTGAAATTGCGAAACAATATACTTCACACCCCAGGGAGTTTCAATTCAGCCTCTATCCCAAATCACTAGGCAAGTGGCCACATTTGAGGGGGATCCAATAGCAAGAAGCTTTAGAAGCAATCCAGGCAGCAGTAAAGGAAGCTTTACCCAAAGCCCCTATCTCCTTCAGATTCTATAAAATCTCAGTTGTCCATTAACACACTTCCCTAATGGGGTTGGACAAAGAGACTCCACCAGTATTTCTAAACCTCTTAGGACTTGAGGGCATCCTCCACCTAGTAAAATGCAATGCCGAACTTGTAGCTGACTCACAGGTGAGAAGTAAAAAGATAAAACTTGACTGTATATCAAATACCTTTTCAAAAAGAACTACCAAGGAATGGCCAAAAAACTGAGGAGAATATTTGCAACATTTATGACAGAGGCTTGATATCCTTATTTTATCAGGAACTCTTACAGATCAGTCTTTAAAATATGAACACACATATAAAGTGTACACAATTCACAGCACATAAAAAACATTAAAATGCTACCACTTGTGAGTAACAAAAAAAGGAAAGCTTAAAAAATAGACGCATTTGTTTCTTTTTTTCTTTTTCTGGTTTGTTCACTTATTTGCTTCATCATAAAATGGTGACGAATACCACGCAGAGACGGGAGGTGGCACTGGGACTGTTACGTGCTGCTAATGGCACTAGAAATCCATGCAAACTTTCTAGAGGTCATTTTAGCAAAATAGAGCAAAAAGACTTTAAAATGTACATAAACTTTAAAGTCATGGTTCTATAGCCAAAAATGTATCCTGAGGAAAGAAATGAAGAATTACCTGAGGTGGTACTATACACTCAAAATTATTCAACCTAGTGTTATTTTTTATATTAAAAAGTTAGAAATTAGGGCAGGTGTGGTGACTCATACCTGTAATCCCAACACTTTGGGAGGCCGAGGCAGGCGGATCACCTGAGGTCAGGAGTTTGAGACCAGCCTGGCCAACATAGTGAAACCCCGTCTCTACTAAAAATACAAAAATTCACTGGTCATGGTGGTGGCACCTGTAATCGCAGCTACTCAGGAGGCTGAGGCAGGAGAATCACTTGAACCCAGGAGGCAGAGGTTGCAGCGAGCCGAGATCACACCACTGTACTCCAGCCTGGGCGACAGAGTGAGACTCCGTCTCAAAATAAATAAATAAATAAAATGCTAGAAATTACTAAAATGTCTAATAATATTTTCATTAGCTAAATGAATGATGATACATGCATTCCATAACATAATATGCAACAACACAGAAGAATGTTTTACCATAGGGACAATGGTAAGTTAAAAGAGTTACAAATCATTAAGATCAGTATAAATTTTGGTAACTATTTGCATGGTGTATCTTTCTAGCTTTACTTCCAAACTTTCTGTATCCTTATCATTAAAGCATATCTCTTGTAAGCAGCAAATAGTTGGTGCAATGTATGGTTTTAATTATATTTAAAAGTACACAAACTGGAATGCACACTTAGAGGGCAGTATGCACCAGTATGGACACAGAGGGTGCTAAAATATTAAAAACAGGGCTGGGTGCGGTGGTTCATGCCTGTAATCCCAGCACTTTGGGAGGCCAAGGTGGGCAGATCACCTGAGGTCAGTAGTTCGAGACCAGCCTGACCAACATGGAGAAACCCCATCTCTACTAAAAATATTAAATTAGCCAGGCATGGTGGCACATGCCTGTAATCCCAGTGACTCAGGAGGCTGAGGCAGAATTGCTTGAACCCGGGAGGCGGAGGTTGCAGTGAGCTGAGATCGGGCTATTGCACTCCAGCCTGGGCAACAAGAGTGAAACCCTGTCTCAAAAAAAATAAAATAAAATATTAAAAACATTTCATAATAAATGATAAATAGTCACTTCCCAAGCCACTCCCCAGTCCTCCTAACTCCCCCACAACCCAGGACTTCCCAGACCTTCCCATGGTCTAGAACCTAATGGGTCAACACCCAGTACAGCAAAAGCCAGCCTCCCAGACTCCTGTCCACCCCGTTGGTCGTGCCCATGCGGAACCAGCTGTTAAATATTCTATCATTCCTATGTGTAGGGTGTACACATATGCATATGCACCCAAAAGAAAAAAACAAAAGGCCATATTTTGCTGTACTGGGTGTTGACCTATTAGTTTCTGAACCATAAGAAGGTCTGGGAAGTCCTGGAGAGAGACTGGGTAGCTGGGGAATTAGGATAGTTGGGAAGTGGCTCAGAGAAATGACCAAACACAGTGTTCATCTCAGCATTGGAATTATTTTTATTAACTGTCTGGGGTATCAGTTACCCCACATACAAAGTAGTTTTATTTAATTAGCATTATTTAATTACCCACGTATCAGTAGCTTTATTAACTACTTTGTGTGTTTTCATATTTCCCCCTTTTTTAACAGTGAAAATGTCTTACTTATCAAAAAACAATAATACTTGTTAAGAAATAAAGAGTTTGGTGAATCCATGAATAGATTGCTTTTTCATCCACTGTCCCCTATGCCCCCCAACCAGCATCTGGCCCATCCCTAATCTCTATTTGGAATACCAAAGCCACTCAAGCAACCATATCCCTCAAAATCAAGCAGCATCTGATCTTGATATCAATAACCAGATTTTTGTTCTTGACAGCCAGTTCAGCTTCGGGAGGAAGCGTGTCAGACAGCAACATCCCTGCATGCTTTGAGGATGCCAGGCAGGCAGAAAGGACAAATCTGGAGGCTCCTTAGTCCTGCTCACTGGGTGGGTCTTCTACTGTTTCTGGGAGTGCAAATTGCTGCAGCTTTTTTTGGAAAGCACTTCAAACTTGTCCATCAAAAGCTCAAAGGCGCATACCTTCAGCCCAGCATTTAACCTACAAATCTGCTCACACACTTAACAAAAAGATGTCTGCACAAGTATGCTCCCTAAATTGTTTTTGTAAATAGCACACATATGGGAAAGAAACCCTACATCTATTAATGCACAGGAAATCCACTACAGCTGCTGAAAACACGAGGGAAGGCTACATGTGCTGATACGGAAAAATATCCAAAATGCATTGATGAATTTTTTTCAATCTGCAGAACATGTATACTATGATTTCATTTGGTTTTTTTTAAAAAAAGAAGAAATCTGTATCTACAAATATAACATTTCTGGAAAGGTTTGTGAGAAGCTGTTAGCAGTGAGGACTTATGGGAATAGGAGGGGGAGACTAGGGAGACTGCTTAGGGCTCTTTTTCTTTCCACTTTACAGCCTTTTGTAGTGTTTAAGCTTTTTGTCATGAGTAACAATAATTTTTAAAAATCTGCTTCCTGACGTTTTAGCCCAAGCCTAGGCAAAACAACAGCTACAGCCCAGTGAGCTAGCGAGTGGGTAATTTACGTGTCAGGGGATTTGCCCACGGAATGACTTCCATCCTAGCAGTCAAGGTCACCTCAGGGCAAGGCCTCTCAAACTTTCCACAGAAGTACCCCCGATGACAAAATAGAACAAACATGTAACCTCAGGGGATGAAGGCAATTGGCCCAAATCTCTGTCGCAAACAAAATTTCTTTAGTGTTCAGACTATCTTAAAAATTAAGGCAAATTTCAAATTTTTACTCAATAATAGAGTCATATTTAATTTATTGTAAAAAAAAATGTTCTCTTCAAATCTCACTTATGGATGTCTGGACATTATGTTGGTAAATCCCTCAATCCTGTTTCACACATTAAAATTCTGGATAAAACTTAACAAGAAAAAAATGTATTCATAGCCTCCAAGGCGTGAAAAGTGAAAGTGATGATAGGAGCTCAAGACGAGGGACGTATGGAAAAGTGGGACTTGACATAGGCTGGGAGGTGCAGATTTAATGCCCACATGAGAAACGAGCCTGGGCAGAATCTAGTGTGTGCACAGGAAGTGCTGTGCCAAAGAGCTAAAATTCATAGGATTTTAGGTTTCATAAACTGCTGCTTCTAACTTAAAATAAGAAACATGGATAAGAAAAATTCTACTCACCAGGATGAGAAGTCACAAGGAAGCTTGCCATCCACTTGCAACTTGGGGAAGAAAAAGAGAAAAATACTAGAAATCAGAATCCAGGCCAGGGCTGTTAGGATAGTGACTTACCACTACCTGCCTAGCACGATGGCCTCAAGCCACAAATCAATGTAAAAAGTAGTTCAGAACTCAAGAAATCCACAAGGACCACGTTAGAGAAAAATGCAAACCAATTCTGTAGAGGTGATCCCCAAACCCAGGGAATAGGGCCTTACCATAAAAATATGAGCCACACTAAAGATAAGCAGAAATAACAAACTATTTGAGGAAATGAATCACCATGAGGGAAAATCCACAGATCCAATAAATAGGAATAATTGCATATCAAGAACCAAAGATAATAGGACAATATGTTTAAATTTAACATGTTTTAATATGTTTAAATAGATAAAGGAAGAAATTTAATATGTTTAAATTGATAAAGGAAGATTTTTAATATGTTTAAACAAAGGCCGGGCACAGTGGCTCACGCCTGTAATCCCAGCACTATGGGAGGTGGAGGCAGGTGGATCATGAGGTCAGGAGTTCGAGACCAGCCTGGCCAACATAGTGAAACCCCGTCTCTACTAAAAATACAAAAATTAGCCATGCATGGTGGCAGACGCCTGTAATCCCAGCTACTCGGGAGGCTGAGGCAAGACAATCACTTGAATCCAGGAGGCAGAGGTTGCAGTGAGCCGAGATTGTGCCATTGCATTCCAGCCTGAGTGGCAGAGTGAGACTCCATCTCAAAAAAAAAAAAAAAAGTTTAAACAGATAAAGGGAGAAACGTAAACAGAATGAAAATAAAACAGGCATATTATCAAAGGACCAAACAGAAGTCTGAGAGAGAACACACATATATTTTCTATAAGAAAGTACAATTGAGGTACTGAATAGGATATCTGCCATAAATGAGGACAGTATTAGGAAACTGGAAGATGGCTGGATGCAGTGGCTCATACCTGCAATCTCAGCATTTTGTGAGGCCGAGGCAAGAGGATTGCTTATGGTCAAGAGTTTGAGACCAGCCTAGCCAATATGGCAAAACCCCATCTCTACTAAAAATACAAAAATTAACTGGGCTTGGTGGTATGTGCCTGTAATTCCAGCTATTAGGGAGGCTGAGACACAAGAATCACTTGAACCCAGGAGGCAGAGATTACAGTGAACTGAGATTGAGCCACTGCACTCCAGCCTGGGCAACTAAGCAAGACTCTCTCTCCAACAACAACAACAAAAAGAAACTGGAAGGTTAGACAAACTTACCCAACATGCCTCAAAAAATAAAGACATGGAAAATATGAGAGAGAAGAAACATGAACATTTAAATGAGAAGAACCAACATATGTCTAAGAGGAGGTCCAATACAGAAAAGAAGGAATTGGGCAATATTCAAAGAGGTAATGACTGAGAACTCTTGAATATTGAAGTAAGATATGAAGCCTCAGTTTAAAAAGTATACCAAAACATAAGAAGGATAATTCAAATAACTACATGCTGAAATACATCATAGGAAACTACAGAATACCACAGGCAAAGAGAGATAGACATTAAAGCTGAACAACGCAAGTGTGAAAACATTAACAAGGTTGAAGGAGAACTAAGTTACATAATAAATAAGGAAAAAAAAAAACAAGAGACCATATTGTCAAGTGACCACAAAACCTCAAAATTTTCGAAAAACAAAAATAGAACAAAAAAATTTCTTTAATGACAATGTAGAAATAACATCAGAAATTAAAAAAGCAAAAAGCAATTACTATGTGAATAATTTTAAGTACTCTTTTAAACAATTCTTGAGTCAAAGAAAAAAATGCAAACATTAACACAAAATAACAGAAGATGGTAATAAGGAAGACACTGCCATCAGTACCTATAGCCATACAGCTAAAGCAGTACTTGGTGAAAATGCAGAGCCTTATTTAACTGTATTAATAAGCATAAAAAAATTTAAAAAGTGAATGAAACAACATAATAAATAAGTCAGAAAAAAGCAACCACATGAACCGAAGGATAGGATGGCTGAATGAATAAGTTAACTATGAAAAAGTTAGAATAGGATGATTATAAACCAGAATGGGCATAGTGGCTCACGCCTGTAATCTCAGTACTTCAGGAGGCCAAGGCAGGTGGATCGCTTGAGGCCAGGAGTTTGCCACCAGCCGGGCTAACATAGCAAAACCCCATTTTTACTTAAAAAAATACAAAAAATTAGCCAGGCATGGTGGCATGCACCTGTAGTCACAGCTACTTGGAGGCTGAGGCACAAGAACTGCTTGAACTGGAGAGGCAGAGGTTGCAGTGAGATCATGCCACTGCACTCCAGCCTAGGCGACAGAGTGAAACTAAAAAAAAAAAAAAAAAAAGAAATTATAAAATAGAAGACTATAGACCTAACTGATAAATAATGCAACAGCTGTTTCATTGAAAAACAAAATAACAATGCAATATATAAACTTCTGGCTAACAAAATCAAGAAGAAGGAAGAAAGTAAATATATAAAATGAGATTAAATAAATTCAAACAACCAGAGAAATCATGGAAATTAAATAAATTATACAGAATTACTTTTTTCAACATAATAAAAATAAATCTTCAAATATATGGATAAAAAGGACAATGTCCCAGAATTGAGCTGTTCAATACAGTAGCCACTAGCCAAATGTGAAAATTGAACACTTAAAATGGAATTAGTATAAACTGAGATGTGTTGTAAGCACAAAATGCCACTAAATTTCGAAGATTTAATAAAGCAAAAAAGAGTTTTTCATTAAAAATTTCAATTGATTACATGTTGAAATTATAATATGTTAGATACATTTGGTTCAATAAAATATTATTTAAAATAATTTCATCTGCTTTTTAAAAACTTTTAAAATATGGCTACCAGAAAAATGTGAAATTATACAGATGGTCCTTAACTTACAATGGTGTGAAAGCAATACACATTCGGTAGATAAAATGCTTCAAGTATACCCATACAACCATCCTGTTTTTCACTTTCAGGAGAGTATTCAATAAATTACATAAAATATTTAACACTTTATTATAAAATAGCCTTTGTATTAGATGATTTTACACAACTGTAGGCTAATGTTAGTGTTCTGAGCAAGTTTAAGGTAGGCTGTGCTGTTATAATGTTCAGTAGGTCAGGTAATGTTAAACTCATTTTGACTTATGATATTTTCCATTTACAATGGCTTTATTATAAGTTGCCTCTGTTTATATAGGCAACTTATGTTGCCTCTGCCTATATATAGCTTTATATTTATATTGTATAATATAAATATGCACTGTACAACTTATATTGTACAATGCCGTAAAAGAAAATATAACTTGTTAAAACACACTAGAAGAATGAGAAGATCTAATAAACTAATACCCATAGAGAAACAAAGAAATTTTCCCAAAAGATTCTCCCTGCCACCCTCCGCCAATAAAAGCTCCAAACCAAGTTCATTTCTCATTAAAGAGCAGTAGGTCCAATGGTATTTAAACTGTGCCAGAGCATTTTTAAGAGAAAAATGTTCAAATGCTCTTTCTGAAATAACCGCAATAGAAAGCCTAACAACGACTGCACACAAAAATTCATAAATTAATTTCACTTATGGATACTGAAGCAACAAACAAACGAACCAACAACAACAAATACTAAATATAAAAGACTGATAAACAGGATACTTGGCCTTCTTGTACTCTACATACTTGTGGAATACCGTAGGTCAGAAAGATCAACAATCTGTAATAACAACCAGGTAAATGAGAAATAATCATACTCTAAAGACAGTAGAGAATCACGGAAACAACAAGGACTAGGTAAAGAAAAATTCCAGAAGAGGAAGAGCTCATCCTAGATGAGCTGAATGTGAGCTAATAATCAGCCTGCCTCAAACAGAGGAACTCTACATGGGAAGAGAAGCCAGCAAAGCTTTCAGCTAGTGCAATGGATTAGAAATTACAAGAGCCCAAAATACAAAGCAATTTTTTCCCATGAGACATTTGCTAAGTTCTGGGGTGTCCCGAGGGGAACAGGGTCAGAAAGGCAGAGTGAAATATTCTTCAGTCTTGTAGGTGTTTAGGAAACGAACTCTCATCAGAGGGAGAAGCCTGCAAAATACATGGCCAGTCTTCCCCTCAAGACATTTGCCAAATTTTAACTTTCTTGGGATGATCGTTTAGCTCAAAACCTCCAAAAGACAGGACTTTCCAGGCAAATCAGGGGTGAAAATCATCTACTAAAGTAGAATCCAGCCTCAAGCCCACCCAGTCCCTGATTGGATTGAAACAATCCTCTTTTCATCTTATCTGCCTAAAAGAAGGAAAAGGCAACCCTCAGTGGTAGAGATATCATCTGCAGACTTTATGATTCTGAAAAAATATGAAAAATGAGTCAGGCATGGTGGCTCATGCCTGTAATCCCAACACTCTGGGAGGCCAAGGTAGGTGGGCAGATCACCTGAGGTCAGGAGATTGAGACCAGCCTGGCCAACAGGGTAAAACCCCATCTCCACTAAAAATACAAAAACTAGCCGGGCATGGTGGCAGGCGCTTGTAGTCCCAGCTACTCAGGAGGCTGAGGCAGGAGAATTGCTTGAACCTGGGAAGCGGAGGTTGCAGTGTGTCGAGATAACGCCATTGCACTCAGCCTGGGTGACAAGAGCGAAACTCCATCTCAAAAATATATATATATATGAAAAATGTGTTAAAGAAAACAATTATAATCCATGAATGTAACAATTAGAATATACTCAAGTGGACATTCCACAACTAAAAATACAATGGCTGAAATTAAGAACTTGTTGGCTTTGAAAGAAAACTATACAAAGCAAAAGACAGGATTAGTAAACCAAAAAACAATATAAAACACAGAGAGAAAAATGAATGGAAATAACAAAATAAAACATAAGTGAAATTTGGGACACAGTCAAAAGATCTAATAAATGCCTAAATGGAGTCAAGAAAGAGAGAATAGAGAGGTAAGGGCACGGCAATATTTGAAGAGATAATAGCCAAGAACTTTCCAACACACTGATGAAAGATGTCAACCCATTGATCCAGAGTCTCAGTGATCCACAGGGAAGGTAAATAAAAAGAAAATCACACCAAGACATATCTGAGTTAAACAGCTGAAGACCAAAGATGAATAAGAAAACCTCAAAGGCAGCTAGAAAAAAAAAAGTAGCCCAGGCACAGTGGCATACGTCTGTAATCCCAGCCTTTGGGAAGCCAAGGTGGAAGGATTGCCTAAGCCCAGAATTCAAGACCAGCCTGGGCAACTGATACAGTTTGGCTGTGTCCCCACCCAAATCTCACCTTGAATTGTAATAATCCCCATATGTCAAGGGCAGGGCCAGGTGGAGATAATTGAATCATGGGGGCAGTTTCCCCCATACTATTTTCATGGTAGTGAATAAGTCTCATGAGATCTGATGATTTTATAAATGGGAGGTCTCCTGCACAACCCCTCTTGCCTGCTGCCATGTAAGATGTGCTTTTGCTCCTCATTCGGCTTCTGCCATGATTGTGAGGCCTCCCCAGCCATGTGGAAGTATGAGTCAATTAAACCTCTTTCCTTTATAAATTACCCAGTCTCTGGTATGTCTTTATTAGCAGCATGTGAACAGACCAATACAGCAACATAGAAAGACCCCACTTACACACACACAAAAAAACCCTTTTTTTAATGAGCCTGTGGTCCTGGCTACTCAGGAGTCTGAGGTGAGAAGACTGCTTGAGCCCAGGAGGTTGAGGCTGTAGTGAGCCATGATTACACCACTGCTCTCCAGCCTGGGTGACAGAGGAAGACCTTGTCTCAAAAAAAAAAAAAAGTATATTAACTTGAAGAGAGCAATAGTTAACACTGATGGTTGACTTTTTCAACAGAAAGCATGAAAGCCAGAAGACAATGGAATTATATCTTTAAAGTGTTAAAGTAAAATATCAAGTTAGGATGCTATATGTAGCTAAAGGTTCTTTAGATCTGAAGGCAAAATAAAAATAAATGCAGGGGGGGAAAAGCTGAGAAAACTCATCCTCAGTGGAGAAGCACTACATGAAATACTACAGAACAATTTTTTTCAAGCTGAAGAAAAATGTTTCCAGATAGAAGCACAGAACTTGAGGAAGGAACACACAGCACTGAAAAGAATAAACATGTAGGAAAAGATTTAAAAATATTTTCTGTCTGAAGCAAAAAAGATAATAATGTCTTATGAGCTTTATGACACATGTCAAGTTAAAATTATACAATACCCCAAGTACATCAGTCTGTTCTCGAACTGCTTTAAAGAAATACCAGAGACTGGGTAATTTATAAAGAAAAGAGGTTTAATTGGCTCATGGTTCTGCAGGCTGCATGGGAAGTGTGACAGCATCAGCTTCTGGGGAGACCGCAGGAAACTTACAGTCATGGCAGAAAGTGAAGGGGAAGCAGACACGTCTTACATGATCAAAGCAGGAGGAAGAGAGAGAGAGGGTGAAGGTATCACACACTTTTACACAACCAAATCTGGTGAGAACTCACTCACTATACAGTACCAAGGGGGGACAGTGCTAAACCATTCATGAGAACTCTGCCCTCATGATCCAATCACCTCCCACCAGGTCTCACCTTCAACACTGGGGATTACAATTCAACATGAGATTTGGGTGGGGTCACCATGTGTGGGAGGGAGTAATGGACTTAACCTGTCATAAGGTTATTGCATTATTATTAATTAAGAAGTAAAAGTAACTTAAGGTAGAAAGTAATAAGTCAAGCATACATAATGAAATCTTTAGGGCAATCACACAAAGTATAACTAAAAAGCTAATAGATAAGAACATAGAATAGAAAAATACACGATTAATCCTCAACCATGACTGATGCTTTATTCTTTCTTCCTTTCATTTTGTTGATTTATATTTTGAATGATGTTATTAGATGCATATAAGTTTCAATTCTTAGATATTCTTGTCAAATTGATCACTTTATTATAACAAAGCATCTCTTTTTCTCTCTAGTAATATTTCTTCCCCTAATGTACGGTTTTCTGATATTAACATAGCCACACAAAATTTGTTTGGGTCAATATTGCTTGGTACAACATTTTTCATTCTTTTATTTTCATCCTAACTTTGTCCTTCTATTTAGTATGTATTCACTGTAAACAGTATACACATGGGTCTCAACACTTTTCATTTAATCCAACAAGCTTTTCTTTTAATTGGAGTGTTTTGTATTTATATTTAGTTACTGGTATAAGTGCATTAAGTCCTACCATGTTGGTATTTATTTTCTATTTATTTCATCTTTTCTACTCCTTTGTTTCTCGTTTTCTGCCTTTTTCAGGATTGATCATGTATTTTTCTATTCTATTTTTCTCATCTATTAGCTTTTTATTATATTTTTTATATTCAAATTCTTATGTATATATTGCATACATAAACATATGCATGTATATGTATAAATTCATATATTTGTACACTACGTATCTCTATACTTTATGTAAACTAAAGATTTGTGCACTTTTATAAATAAAATGTTAGCAAATATATCAGCCAACAGAATTCATCAGCAAGTGAAACAATAATGTTCACCTTGACAAAATGGGCCTTATTCCAGGAATGGAAAGATGGTTCAGCGTGAAAAAATCCAATTCAAATAATAATAATTCTAAGGAGAAAATTATGTAATCACCTCTGTGTATGTGCAAACAGAACTCAACAAAATGTAAAAATCCATTCTCGATTTTCCATGGTCAATAACATAGGAACCCCTAAATATTGCGTGTGTGTGTGTGTGTGTGTGTGTGTGTGTGTGTGTGTGTGTGTCTTAAACTCAAAAACAAAAAGTATGCTTAATCAAGAAATACTAAAAGCTTTTACCCTTAAGTCAGGAATGAGACAAGCATTTTCTCACTATCATGTTGTTATTTAATTTTGTACTTGAGATATTAGCCAACACAATTAGAAAGAGAACAAAATCAAAAATATAAAAAATGGATAGAAGGAGGTAAAACTATCACTATTTGCAGGCGATTTGGCTTATGCTTTGAAAAAACAAGATAAATAAGTGAAAACAACTATGGAATCATGAAGAAAATTCAATAGGAGAGCAGGATATGTAAAATT
Organism: Homo sapiens; assembly: GCF_000001405.40. NCBI lineage: Eukaryota > Metazoa > Chordata > Mammalia > Primates > Hominidae > Homo > Homo sapiens. The sequence continues at coordinate 34,207,404 of NC_000021.9, read as the reverse complement.
AATAGAAATCAATAGCTTTTGTTTATATGTTAGAAACAAATTCAGTTAGACAATATAATGGGAGAAAAGACTTCATTTACGAAAGCACTAACAAAGATAAAATATTTAAAAATAAGTTTAAAAGAAACATGGAAACTGACATTAAGAAATCTTTTAAACACTCAGAACAACAACAAAAAGACTTGAAAAATAAAAATCCCCATCATGTTCTTAGGAAGACTTAGCTTCGTAGGGATGTCAATTTCCCTTAACTTATAAATGTTAACATATAACTGTTATCCCAGTAAAAGAAGTTTTTATCTATACAAAGTGATTCTAAATTTTACATGGAAAAATAAGAATAGACCAGCTATTTCTGATAAAATAAATGAGGAAGTTATACTATATATTAAAATATATTTAAAATCTTCAACAATTAAAACATAGTAGTGGCATATTACTTATTAGACGGACATATAGCACAGAATTGAAACCCTGGAAAACATCCAAATCATGCAATGATTTTGTTTAGGATTAAGATGGCACTCAACTACATGGGGAAAAGACAGATTATTCAATAAATGGTGTTGATAACCACCACTTTTGGATTTTGAATATGGGCTTCACATTTATAGTAGAATAAATTCTGACTGGGTCAAAGATTTAAATGTAAAAAGAAAAAACATAATACTAAAACAAAAATGGGAGCATGAGGAAGGCCTTGCTAACTACAACTCAAAATCTAGAAGCCACGAAATAAATGGTGAATAATTTCAACTGCATGAAAACCAAAAGCTTTTGCATGGCAAAAAGCAATTGAAAAAGAAAAAAAAAACACCCTAAGCAAAATCAGTAACAAATGACAAAATGAGGAAGATGTGTAACTCACATCACAAAGGATTAATTTCCCTAGTATATAATAAGCTTCTGCAAATTGATGAGTCAAAAGGCAAACAAACCAATAGAAAAGTGGGCATGGATATGGAGAGCTCACAATGAGAAACATACAAATTAAAACCATACTGGTTTTTTCAAATTTATCGAATGGCAAAAATCCAAAAGTTTAAAAGCCAAGTCTGTTGGTAAGCTTTGAAACATAGGCACTCTCTCTGATACATTGCTGCTGAGAGCATAAATTGGCATACCCCCTGTAAAGGCTAATTTGGCAACATCTGTCCACATTAGAGATGCATTTACCCTTTGACTCAGCAGTTTCACTTCTAGGAATTTACCTTATGCATAAACATAATTGTGTGCTGAACGAAGAATTGCAGTTGTCCACAGCAGCATTGTTTGAAAGCAAAATACTGCAGACAACTTAAATGTCCATTTCTAGGGGATTGTTTGGGCATATTTTAGACAGCAAGAAGCACTAGTAAAGAAAAATGAGGAAATGGTTTATGTACTATGATGAAAAGATCTCTAAGATGCACTGTCAACTGAAAACAGTGAGGTAAGGAACACTGTACTGTGTATTAGCAATCAAGTAGAAAAAGAGTTGGGAGTGGGGGAAGAACATATTCCATGTGCTTGTATGTGCAAAAATCCCACAAAACTCTAGAAGGATAAACAACAAATTAATAACAGTGGCTATGCCTTTAGGGTGGGGGATAAGAATTGGGCAGATGGGGGCCGGGCACAGTGGCTCATGCCTGAAATCCCAGCACTTTGGGAGGCTGAGGTGGGTGGATTACCTGAGGTCAGGAGTTCAAGACCAGCCTGGCCAGTATGGTGAAACCCCGTCTCTACCAAAAAGACAAAAATTAGGCGGGCATGGTGGCAGGTGCCTGTAATCCCAGCTACTTGGGAGGCTGAGGCAAGAGAATTGCTGGAACCTGGGAGGCAGAAGTTGCAGTGAGCCAGGATTATGCCACTGCACTCCAACCTGAGTGACAGACTGAGCCTCCGTCTCAAAAAAAAAAAAAGAAAGAAAGAAAAGAATTGAGCAGATGGGAAAGGACACTTTTCACTGTGTAATGTCTTATACTTGTTGATTTTTTTAACCATAAAATGCATTACTTATCCAAAAAGTTAAATAAATAAAACGTTCAGCTATGTGAAGGAAGCATAGGACAATATCCCTCTCTCTCCCTTTCCTTACCCCAGAGCAGCCTGGCTCCTGCAGAGCTGAGGAACTGAGCACGTGAGGTTGTCTTGGTTTCACAGAGCCTGGAGTGGGCATAGCTGAGTCCCTGAAGGTTACACGACTTGCTCAGGCCTGTCCAGTGAAGTCAAGGGCAGTTCCAGAGCTGGAAGCACAGGGCTGGGACGTGGCCTCTGGTCTCCTCCAGTGAGGAGGCAGGTGCCCAGGGGCAGGGTGCTTCTAGATGGCCCCCAAAGGAGCCCACCATTGCTACATTCTAGAGCAGCTGAAAGGGAGCCCAGGGCCGGCCAGCCAGCTCCGCAAAGGATTCTGGGTGATGAGGCATTGTGGGATTTTCTGAAATGACTTCATGTCATTTCTCTACCCCAGATCACCCTCCTCGCCTGGTGAGAGTTGAGAGGTCTCAAGCAGGATTCCAAAACCGAGAAGGGTCAGAGACTGGGAAAGGAAACTGGCCTCTCCAGCAGGAAGAAGCTGCCCCCAGGCCCTGGCCCCAGGATCTTGACTAGCCTATTAAAGACATGAGACTGAGGCCTGGACACTGGATTCCATTTTTTAATTTCCCTGGGGGAAACATTCCACACAGCAACCAGCAGGGTCATTTACTTCTTCAGGAGGCCTTTTATCACCCTGTGGCTGGAGGACCATCTGCAGCAGCCCCTGCTGTGCGCTGGCAACACTGAGCAGCATGTGCGCGGCTGCCAGGGGCTGCTGGCCACCTGGGCCTGGGTAGGAAAAGGACTTAATTAGCCACAAAGAGCTCCCTGAGTATGCAACTCAGAATCACTCAGTCTGTTCGCAAACAAGTAAAGCACCTACCATGATCCCAGCATAGTCCCGGTTGCCCCTGGGGTTCCCAAAACCCCAGCCTCCCTCATGCTTCTAGGCCCTCCACACAATGCAGCGAGTGACACGAATAGTCTTGCATTGGTCACTAACTGCCTTTTGCAGCTAAATTCTATTCACAGCAAGTCTGTGGCCTCCCCAAAGCTAAGGATCCCTGTTATATCTCCGGATATTCACAGAGCTCCCAGCGCAGCCGAGAACACACAGCCAGCCCTGCAATAAATGCTTGTTGGTTGCCTGCCAGGATCCAAGCTAAAAATGGAGTTGCCTTACGGCCAGGTAAGACCCAAGGCAGAGCTTCAGTCGTGCCCCCCCCCAGCTGTCAGGAACACTCACTGCAAAAGTCGGCCCTTCAGGTCACCTTCAAGGCCCTACAAACTCTATCCGGACCTGCCCCCCCATCAGCCTCTGACCCTGGCACTCATACCCCTCCAAGGACAGTGCCGGCCTTCCTGTTCCTCCAACAGGAAAGGCCACCGTCTCCCCTCAGACCCACTGCACTTGCTGGCTGCCCACTTCTAGAATGTTCTTCCCCTAGAAATCCATGGAGCTCACCCCCCCATCTCCCTGTCAGGTCTCTGCTCAAAGAGTATCTTCTCCATGAGGCCTCCTCATCACCCTATTCTAAAGCACTCTCACCCCGCATTTCCCCATCCCCCTTTCCTGCTTTCTTTTTCTCTATATCACTTACCACTGCCTAAACAGGAAAAAAAAAAAAAAGATTTTTCCTATTTATTTTATCACCGGTCTCCTCCAATCTAAGCTTTCTAAGAGCAGAGCTTTTTGTGTTTTGTTCAGCTGTGTATCCCTCCAGGCACAGAACAGGGCCTGGAGGGTTCAACAAGGCCCTCCAGGGCCTTGAGTAGGTGCTCAACAAATATTTACTGAATATATTAATATATGTATTGATTGATTAATTTAGCTGGGGCTCTTTCTTGAAGTTAATCGAATTAAAACAACATAGATTTTACATTGCTTGTGCACATGGATGAAAAACAGTTCCCTATACTTCTTTACTGTTTCATAGACGTAGTTTTATTTTATTTGGGTCTCACTAAAGACCTTACTCGATTAGATGGGGCAGAAATGGTTATGACCTTGATTTTACAGAGGCGAAAACTAAGACTCTGAAGGGTGAGATTTCCCCAGGACCTTCAACTGGTCACTAGCAGAACCGGGGCATCCAGGTTTCAGGTCCCATGTGCTGGGCTTTGTTTACTAAACCTCAGGGCTTTAGACTCAACCTCAGGGCTTCTCCGTGGATTCTTGCTGAAGCTTCCTACTTTGTTTCAAGAACCTGTATTTCCCCCTTTCTTTCTCTTCCCTCCTCCCAGATAGCTTGGGGCCCACAGTTCCCCACCCCTGCCCGATGCAGATGGCAGAAGAAACCATTGTAAGTCTCCTCGAGCTGAGCGCTGTGCACCAGGTCGCATTCTAAATTTTTGGACTGCGTTCACCAGGGTCTTTCACATTTGCAAGGAGCAGAAACAGGCCTGGATCCTCTGAAATAACAGGGAGGTATTGCCATAATTCACACAGAGTTAAGAAAGATAGGATTTCCTAACACAGACCAACCTCGCGGAAAAGCTGCGGCCCCAGCTCCGGGGACTGGAACGCAGGCTCGGGGCGCCTCCCCCTTCCCTGGCTGGCAAAGTCCTGTCCTCCATCTCGCCTCCATCCCCTCCTCCCCTGCGCTGGCAGAATGCGCAACGTGTCCCTTCTCGGTGGCCCTGGAATTTTCTGTGCGTCTCTGAATCATGGCACCGGTCTTGCTCCATTGGTTTTGACTGCTGGTCTTGGTCTCCTTCGTCCACCTTTGCGAACTCATCACCCTTTGCTCTCTAGGACCCACCGGCCACTTCTAAAAGGGCACCATAGTTCATAGGTGGATTGATCTAGAAAGGTGCCTCCTTCATTCTCCCCCACGATTTCTGGGTTGAAAGCCTGGTGGAGGCAGGGGGACAATTACAGGCAGGATTTATAACTTGGGTGGGCAAGCGTGGGGGTGGAGGACTGTGGCCTCTTTCTCTCTCTCTCTCTCTCACACACACACACACACACACACACACACACACACACACACACACGGAGGGAGGGAGAATGTCACCATTTGTCCCCCAGCTCCATTCCCCACTCCGCAATGATACAAGCATCGCCTGCTTTCTTTAATTTGCTTCAAGAGCTTTTGGTGCAGAGAGGTGGGAGAACAAGGGAGACCCCAACTTGTCGCACGGCGACTCGTGGCAAAACGCCTGGACCCCGGGGCGGTTTCGCTCAGCTCTTCCCCAGCTGGTGGCCACTCGGCGGCCGGGCTGCGGCATTCCGAGCGCGCGATCCCGCCAGGGCCGCCACCGAGGGCAGCGCCGAGAGCATGGAATTTTCCACCGCTCAGCCGAGTTTGCAGAATTGCGTCTCATTGGCCGAGCGGAGGTGTCTGTCCCCGCGTGGGTGCGGAGATGAGATTAGCCAGGAGCCCTCCTCAGTGGGCTTTGCAGGGCTCTGATTAATCAGGTCAGCGGGGCCAGGGAGGGGAGTAGAGGGCGGGTGGGAGCCTGTTTTCTAACCCAGCTCTGCTGCAGCCTTTGGACGTCCCCTCGCTGCACGGAAAGTGCGCCAGGGAGCTGGAAACAGTCGACAGCAAACCTTAGAATTTACCTCTTCATCGTAAAATCCCCCCAGAAACCACTGCAAAATAAGATTATCAAGCTAAACCCTGCCCCCTCCCTCACCTCCTCTTAATCTCCCTCATCCCCCAGTTAAGCCGGAACTAAAACCAGGACCTTACTCTCTCCTGTCCCTGACATTTAACCCCTTAAATTATCTTTCTGCAGTGACTTTCACAGATCCCAATCGCGACAGTGATTCAGGACCAAGTCAGTACTCCCCCACCCCCAGGGTCGAACAAGAAATGCAGAAGGTGGCAGGAAATTAGAACTAAGGGGAGTGGACCTTATTGTGCAGGCTGAAATGCCCACCTTCAAGTTAAAAGATGCAGCAAGACAAGACGCCTGGCTCAGCAGCGTGTTCAAATAGAGTGTTGGCTTAATGGAATTTATGTGTGAGCCAGTCGTGTTGATTTTTGATTTAAAATAGCCCCTTGTTTTATTTGCTCCTGGAGTGACTGCATTAGGAAGCTCCTTTCTGAAAGCTATGGTTAAATCTGCCACAAAGGCAGCCCTGGCCCTCACAAGATGTTTGATGAGTGAATGAACGCTGTTCCCGGCAGTCAGGGCCCTTGAATGAAGGTAGTATGAACTCCAGTTCCTCATCCTGGCTGGGTCATATACTTCTTCTTCCTCTTTTTTTTTTTTTTTTTTTTTTTGGGGGGGGATGGAGTCTTGTTCTGTTGCCCAGGCTGGAGTGCAGTGGCACCATCTCAGCTCACTGCAACCTCCACCTCCTGAGGTCAAGCGATTCTCATGCCTCAGCCTCCTGAGTAGCTGGGACTACAAGCCTTCACCACCATGCCTGGCTAATTTTTGTATTTTTGTAGAGATGATGTTTCACCATGTTGGCCAGGCTGATCTCGAATTCCTGACCTCAGGTGATCCACCTGCCTCGGCCTCTCAAAGTGCTGGGATGACAGGCATGAGCCACCACGCCAGGCCCGTCATATACTTCTCCTGTGACTTTAGACAACTTATAATTTTTTTTGAGCCTCAGACTCCTCACTTTTAAAAAGAGGCTAATAAATCCTCAAAAGGTAAATGGAGAATTACCCTATGAGCCAGCAATTCCACTCCTAGTCATATACCCAAAAGAATTAAGAACAAGTACCCAAAACGATACTTGTGCACAAATGTTCAAGGCAGAATTATTCACAAGAGCCAAAAGTGGAAACAATCCAAGTGTCCATCAACGAATGAAGAAAATGCAATATTACCCAACCATAAAAAAGGAAGGAAATTACGACACTTGCTACAACATGGATGAATCTGGAAAACATGCTAAGTGATAAAAACAGACACAAAAGGCCACACACAATATGTGATGAAATATTGTGATTCCATTTACGTGACATATCCAGAACACGTAAATCCACAGAGACAAAACACAGCTGGTGGTTGCCAGGGGCTGGGGGCAGGGAGAATAGGAAGTCACTGCTTAATGGGCATGGGGTTTCCTCTGGGGGTGATGAAAATGTTTTAGAACCAGATAGAGGAGCTGGCTGCATGACACTGTGAAGGTACTAAGTGCCACTGGATTGTGCATGCTTTAAAATGGTTACTTTTATGTTATGTGAATTTCATCTCGATAAAAAACTTTTTAACGGGGCTAATAATAAAAATACCTGCCCAGCCTGGCGTGGTGGCGTGCGCCTGTAATCCCAGCTACTGGGGAGGCTGAGGCAGGAGAATCACTTGAACCTGGGAGGCGGAGGTTGCAGTGAGCCGAGATGGCACCACTGCACTCCAGCCCGGGAGACAGAGCGACACTCTGTCTCAAAATAAATAAATAAATAAAATAAAGAAAAAACCTGCCCAAGGAGTAAATGTGATAATCTATGGAGCGATGTTTGAGCAACTTAAAAACCCTATTTCCTGATTCTCTCTGCCTTATTTCTAGAGTGGATCATTAGGGCATCACTTTTTCAAACATACAGCTAAAACTGAGGCAACCTGAGGCCCACCCAGCACCAACTGGAGCGTCAACCAGGAACAGAACCTTGTACTGTCCTGAGGTCCCTTGGCTAGGAAGCTGCAGCCATGTGGATCCATGTAAACAAGAGGCTTCCTGCTGTTAATCTAAACTCCAGGGCCAGAGCCCTGCACAGCAGTCAGTCCTACAGGCAGAAGAGCCTTGAGGCACCATGAAAACCACTTAAAACTTTTTTTTTTTTTTTTTTGGAGACAGGATCTTGCTGCGACCCCGCCAGTGCAGTGCAGTGCAGAGCTGCAATCACGGCTCACTAGGCTCAAGCAATCCTCCCACGTCAGCCTCCAGAGTAGCTAGGGCTACAGGTGTGCACCACCACCACACCTGCCTCCCCTGAAAACTGAATGGGAGGATTGGGCACTTCAACTAAACACAAAATACAACTTAAAGAAAAGCAATTCAATACAGGCTTCTCAGAGGGAAGAACCACAGAACTGGTGCTATGGTAGGCTGCTCATGCCAAGAGCCAGGCGCCTGGGCTGGAATCTGCCCCAGCTCTACCACCTTCCATATGGGGCACCTCGGCCAGGAGTCAATTTTCTTATCTAACAAATGGGGCTTACTGAAGCACCTACCACACAGGGCTGCAGTCAGGATTAGGCTCATAAACACATGGGCCAGAAAGAGAGTAAGTGCTTAACAAATGTTAGCTGGTGTTGTTGAGGAAAAGGTGATGGATGAAAAGAAACATTGGTTTTGCTCTTTGGGGCACCTGGTGGGGTGAGGAAGACTGGAGTCCCCTTAGAGCAGCTAACCAAGCTGGGCTGCAGCCTTTAGACGTCCCCTTGCTACACAGAAAGTGGCCCTGCTAACCCAGCTCAGCTTAGATCACTTAAAGGAGCAAGGGGCTGTGAAGTCATTTAAAGCAACATGAAGCACTGTAGGCAGGATGTGGGCAGGGGAAACTCAGGGTCAAACGACAGTGACAAAAAGGGAGAGAGAAGGTCAAAAGGGATATTCTAAAACTAAAGCAAGGAGCAGCTGGTAGGTATTGGGAGTGGGTCAGGAGTGGGGATGACTCGTATTTCAGGGGTCTCACCGGACACAGGAAGAGCCTTCTTTTGTTGTAACAGTGAAAAGGGAGCTCTGAAATGTTGTCCCCTGCCATGGGAGCACTTGGAAAGTCCAGTTCTCAAAGCAGAATTCACCACACAAGCAGCTCCTTCCGAGGAAAACCACGAATGCCGTAAACTCCACAGAGACAAGGACCCTCCGTGCAGGCGGCCCTTACCTGCTCGTCTAGTTCCCACCTGAATTGAAAACCTCATCATGAGCGTGCACCTTTCTGCAAATCAGCAAAGACCGACAGCCTTTTAGCAGCTAAAGAAAGGCCTGCAAGGTGCAGAAGTTAATAGGAATTAGGACATTGTGTGGTTTTCTGTGGTGAAACCCATACTCGTCCTTTGTCATATCAACCACCATCCTCATCATCCTACTACCCTCCCCGTGCCTGGAGCCTCCCAACCCACTACTGCCACAGTGTGAGAACCGAGGGGAGTCCCAGTTGGAAGGGCTGCGGTACAGCTCCCTGTGTGGTCAGCCTGTGTCCTGAAATCCAGTTCCCACCAGCCTCAGAGCAAGGAGCCCAGTGAACTAGCACTCCGGACAGTCCCAGAGGAAGGGAGACTTAGGCCTTGTTGAGATGCATCTTCAGACTGTCTTCAGTCTTCCATACACACATCTTATTAGCTGTTCACAGTAGGTAAATACTGGTATTCTATGAAGGACAATACAAAAAAGGAAAGGTGTCCTCTACTAGAAATACTTTGAAGCTATAGTTCTACGTGATTTTTCAATGTCTATAGTATTTCCTCCTCCTCTCAACACACACACATACACTGTCCTCTGCCCACTCCCACTTCCACCCCTCCAACACTGACACAGGGAAAATACTTTAAGTTGGATGGCAGGAAACTCGCAGTTAAATGGATTAAGATTCAGAGATCAGAGTCAGAACTGATTTCAGGTGCATCCCAATTTTTTTTTCCAGAGATGGGGTGACTTCATTTTTTCTGTTACCTGGGCTGGAGTGCAGTGGCACAGTCATAGCAGTCACTGAGTCCACTCCTGAGCTCAAGTGATCCTCCCACCTGAGCCTCTTGAATAGCTGGAACTACAGACACGTACCACCATGCTTGGCTAATCTTAAAAAATTTTTAGAGAAGTTGCGGGGGTGTCTCATTATGTTGCTTAGGCTGGTCTTGCTGAACTCCTGGCTTCAAGCAATTATCCCATATCAGCCTCTATTTTTAAAAAATACAAGTGATACATGTTTATTGTAGAAATTTTTAAAATTACAATTATGCAGGAAAAAAAAATAGGAAAAATTTAAGCATCCCAATCTTGCCATTCAGAAACTACTATTAAATTTTTAAGTTCCAATTTACATATACACATACACACACAGGATGGGGGAGGGGACCCCCGCCTCCCACAGCAGCTCGTTTGAAGGTGAAGGTGGAGAAAGTCTGGGAGGTTGAAGCTAGGTGCATGGATGCATAGAGCCAGACAGGACTAGCAACAAGGAAGAAAGCATGACTACTGGCATGGCCTCTGGTACCCAGGCTGTCCCTGAGCTACAGCTCAGCCCCATGAAATATTGTTTATCCTCCTGGTTCTTCGCAGAAAGTGGCATGGCCTGACCCCTTGCAGGACCGAGGCATATGCGGGACAGGTGGGAATGCTGGCCGGATGGTGTCCCCTTCCAGGGCACCAGCAGGGACTGGATTGTCCTCAGACACCTCAGTAGGCCATAGGAACCATGAAGCCAGGGAAAGAATTTGAGGGTTCATGCTCCTGACACATGGGAAACACCCCTAAGGCCCTTCAGGAATAACTAGAGAGACAGAGGAAGAAAGTGCTGCTGTTCTGCAAATGGAGTCCACCAACCAGGGGAATTTGAGTAATGACGATGAATGTAACTTCATTTTTCCCAAAGAGTGTTGAAGCCTGGGAAAATTAATATTTCTATATATATATATATTCTTAAACATAAAATCGGATCGTATCATAATTCAACTAGTAAGCTGTTTGCTTAAGATCTCATGAGCTTTTTTTCTCCCTGTAGATTAAGAGATAATTATATAATAATGCATTTCAAACTGTGTTCTATAGTTTTACCAAATTCTGGAGACCTGTGAAGGTATTTCAGGGCCCCTACAGAGGGGAGAGGACATTTTGCAGATGGAAGGAAGAGATGATAAGTCCCTACTCCCAAGTCAACCTAGAAGAGCATTACTTTATTTTATTTTTTATTTAAGTTACAAAAAAAAATTCTTGGAGAAACAAGCCCCAGTAACAAACAAATTTAGAAAATAAAATAAAATTCCCAAAGAGTTCTTCAAATCGTCAGATATTTGGTCAATATACAGAGTAGGATCCAGAGTTCACACGTTACATTTGGTTGACAAGTCTGTAGGTTTCTTTTTGTAAGTCACATTTTTTTTGTTGTTGTTATAGCCATTTTCAGGGACCTTAATGACTTTAATATCCTTTCTTTTTTTTTTTTCTTTTTTGAGACACAGTCTTGCTCTGTCACCAGGCTGTAGTGCAGTGCTGCAATCCCTGCTCTCTGCAACCTCCGCCTCTTGGGTTCAAGCTACTCTTATGCCTCAGCCTCCAGAGCAGCGGGACCACAGGTGCCTGCCACCACACCCAGCTTGTTTTTGCATTTTTAGTAGAGACCGGGTTTCACCATGTTGGCCAGGCTGGTCCGGAACTCCCAACCTCAAGTGATCCGCCTGCCTCAGCCTCCCAAAGTGGGAGAGCTCTACTTCTAAACAGTTCTGTACACTGGGATTCTAGAAAGACTGATTATGAAAAAGTGGAGGTGTCCTTTACTAGAAATAATTTGAAACCACAGTTCTGCATGATTTTTTAATGCTGTATAGCATTTCATTGTGTGGATAAATGACAATGTATTCGTCAAGCCCCTATTTTTGGATATATAGGTTGTGTGCAAGTAAGGAGTTGTGCTCACCTGCAAATATCAAACTCCTGAAAGACTGACTTGGACAAATTAGATTTTTTTAAATATATATAAAATAAAAAGTCTGGAAGGAGGCTGCATTGACATCGGTTGTTGGGTAATGGTCATCTCCAACAGGCCACTGGGACTCCAGAGCAGGACAAAGGGGGAGAGGGGTGCGGAATTATAGGTCAGAGGATGCTCGTAACTGAGTGGATTCCCCTGAGAAAGCGTTTTCCTGCCTGGTATCTCCCAGTGACTTCTGCTTACATCTCATTGGCCACCCTTACCTGCAAAGCGCCCAGAACATGTGGATTGCATTGCCCCCGTCCCGCCACAAACCTGGGGTTCTGTTAGTAAGGAAGAAGAAAAGATTAGAAAAACAAATAAACCTTTGTCATGAAAATCCTTTTCCCCATATCCTTGGAGCTACATCACAAGTTAATTTTTTCCTTAAGATCAAGTCACAGAAAGGAAATTGCTCCTCTAAAGAGCTGTTGGTCAAAGGATATGTAATTGCAATTACATAGGAGGAATAAGTTCAAGAGCTCTGTCCTGCAGCATGGGGATTACAGTTCGTGACAATATACTGTATTCTTGAAAAATGCAAAGAAAGTGGATATTAAGTGTTTTCACACACAAAAAAACCTCTGTGAGGTAACTGGCTAAATTTAACCATTCCACAATGTGCAAATACTTTAAAACATCATGTTGTACATGAAAAATACATACCATTTTATCTGTCAATTCTTAAAAAAGGCAGAGCATTTGTTCTCAGACTTCTCTAACAATTTGCCCTTTAGAAACATTATACTAAGAAACATTGTATTTATATTCCCACCAGCAGTGTCTAACAAAAAAAGTATCTATTTAACAAAAATATTGGGATAATCTTTCATTTTGGATCTTTGCTAATTTAATAAGGAAATTTTTTATCACTTTTTTCTTAATTGTTTAAAAATATTTCCAAAATATGTAATAGTCCTGATTCCATTCCTATCAGTGGGATGTGTATGCCCTGGAGTGGGGCTTCTTACATTTTCACAGGTACACAAATCACCTGGGATCTCATTAAAATGCAGGTTCTGATGCAGCAGGGTCTGGGATCTGCTAAGAATCCCATTTCTTACAAGTTCCCAGATGACGCAGGTGCTGCTGGCCCACAGACCACACTTTGGGTAGGGAGTTCCTAGACGCTCCATGGGTGCAATTTTGTTATAAGACAGAGTTATGTCTGATTGTTGAGTGAGAACTGCTCTCTTCCCTGAAGACAACCAACTTGCACACCTGAAGGTCAAACGAACAAACATCGTCAGAGTGGATTCAGGGTAAACCAAATCTCTTCTAATATGATACTGCAGAGTGAACAACTTAGCTCTGCACCATTCAACACAAGATTTCTGAGTGAGCTTGGAGGCCCTGCAAAAAGTGACGGCTGCCTTAAATGGGTTAAAGTTTGGGGAGGGGCCAAGAAAGCCCAGTACCTCCAAAGCGATGACCTAGACAGAGGTGAGAGCCTGGAGGAGCCCAGGAGGCAGAAACAATGATCCCTGATGGTGGGCACCTGGGGAAAGTGTCACGCTCTCAAGGCCTTATAGGACCCTCTGTTAAAATACTAATCTGGGTTCAGTTCTCTTTATTCTCACCCACATCAAATCCTGGCTAGTGGCCCAGCTTCACACTTCCTGACCTTAGGGATTTCAGCTGGCTGAAAAGATTCTTCCTGGCTTTGGTAAAAACTAAATTCCTGGATGAGATTATGCCAAAGGCCTGGGAGATGAGAGGAGAAGGGGAAGGAAGGGAGGAAGAATCCGGAGCCAGGCAACATCAGGAGCAGCTGTGGAGACTCAGAGGGTCTGGGGAACACCCAAAGTGGGAACCAAGGCACCCAACCCAAGCAACCTGACCAAGATGCCTGTCTGTATTAGTCCATTTTCACACTGCTGACACAGACATACTCGAGACTGGGTAATTTATAAAGAAAAAGAGGTTTAATGGACTCACAGTTCCACATGGCTGGGGAGGCCTCACAATTATGGCAGAAAGTGAAAGGCATGTCTTACATGGTGGCAGACAAGAGAGAACGAGAGCCAAGCAAAAGGGAAAACTCCTTATAAAACCGTCAGATCTTGTGAGACTTATTCACTACAAGAACAGTGTGGGGGAAACGTCCCCATGATTCAGTTATCTCCCACCAGGTCCCTCCCACAATAAGTGGGAATTATGGGAGCTGCAATTCAAGATATTTGGGTGGGGACACAGCCAAACCATACCACTGGACGCAGGCCATATCACATAGACACAGCCCAGCTGCAGGGTCTGAAGCACCTAGTACCAAGACGGTGTAGGGGTGAGAGACAGGGAGGGGATGTCTGTGGGAATTGTTTCGGTTCACGCTGTATACCTGGAAGTCCGATTTGTCTGATCTTAAGATAGCCATTCCAGTCTTCTATGCTTCTATGCTTGGGTTTGCAGAATACAGCACATCCTTTACCGTCTTGAGCCCATCCATGTCCCTATCTTTAAAGTGTGTCTCTTTGTAAACCTTTTTGTCATAATTAGACTGGGCCATGGGCTACAAAAATAATAATAATAATAATAATAATAATAATAATAATAATAATAACATTTATTTGGTAGAAGAGGGATGTGGTATTTACAGGGCAGAGAAAGTCCCCAAGAGTCATAAGATGAGTCATTAACATCACTGGCATCAACTAAATGTCTTCTTAATCAATGAGAAACCAGGATACAGGTGAGAAAGAATTAGAGCGCAGACTCGAAGTTGAGGTCATGGGGACAGCAGCTTCTGTGGCTCCTGGATACCCTGCGTGCCCAACCACAGGACTCATGTGAGAGTTTTTCAACCGGGAAGAGGGTTTGAGAGTGTGTGTTTGTGTCCACCTGCCAGGTGGGCTTAGCCCATGCACTGCCCGTTTCCCTAACAACAGGGCCACCAACCATGAAACCCCTCCCAGGGGCATGAACACTCTCCTGTGGCCTTTAGTCCACACCTACAAATGTCATGCACCACCCACAGTGAGAGACAGAGACCAAGAAATCCCCACAAACGTAGCTAAGAAATAGCTTTCATTTCCTGTGTTCAGTCGTTTTCAAACCAGATGCACCTACCTGGGAAGATTTTTAAGTGCCAATGCCTGGGTCACATCCCCAGGTGACTCTGCTTCTTTGATCTGATGGTGGGGTGAGGTATCTGTATTTTATTTACTTATTTTTATTTTTTTGAGACTGTCTCTCACTCTGTATTTTTTTGAGACTGACTCTCACTCTGTCACCCAGGCTGGAGTGCAATGGCACAGTCTTGGCTCACTGCAAACCCCACCTCCTGGGTTCAAGCGATTCTCCCACCTCAGCCTCCTGAGTAGCTGGGATTACAGGCACCTGCCATCATGCCTGGCTAATTTTGGTATTTTTGTGGAGGTGGGGTTTCACCATGTTGGCCAGGCTGGTTTCGAACTCCTGACCTCAGGTGATCCTCCCACCTCGGCCTCCCAAAGTGCTGGGATTACAGGCATGAGACACCATGCCCAGCTGGTATCTGTATTTTTTGAGGCAATTTCCACTTAAGTCAATATTTCTAAAGCCTGCCTAAGTATGCTGAATGTGCAAACAAACCCCTTTTGCATGCTGAGAATATCCCAGAGGGGACCCAAGTAGAAAGCCACCTGTTTCAAACAGTCAGGTCTATGTTATACTGTGGCATGGCCAATGGCACCAGGGCTGGCTGGCTGCTGAGGACAACTCATGGAGTGGAATGTGACCAGACAATGTCAGCACGCATCAAAGGTAGCAGCCCACTGGGGAATGGCATCTGACACTCCTGGTCCTGAGACTGCAGGAGGGAGAGACCCACAGCCAATGGGACACCCAATGGGAGTCCTGCTCTCCCCAGAGGAAATAATTAGCCCTGAATTGCCCCATTACTTGATATCTATCTCCAAGGTCAATGTGAATGAATAGGTCTCTTTGCTTGATTTCTTCCCCTAGAGCAAATGTTTCAATGATCTCCACACTCCTCCTTAATTCAGAGTCCATTGTCCAGCACATTTGAGCCCCTCCATGAAAACAAGCTCCTAGGTGAGTATAATGTAAATAAAACCATTGCCATCCAAAACGGTGTTTCTTGTTCAACCCTGCTTGCAAAAGCTTACTCAACCGGCAGAGACAAAAAGCAGTGCTTTTCGAAGTATGAAAACTACCCATTATCCCATTAGAGAGATGCCGGTTACAGAGATGCCGGTGGAAATCGGAAGCTTCTGGCTTCAGGCAGAACTAGTGAGTTTGAAGCTCACTTTTTAAATGAAAAAAGTAATGCTCTTTTCTTCTTTGGGACTCACAACAGCTAGTTCATAGTGTGAAGCCACAAAACTAGACCTTTTAAAAATGATCTTGTCCTAAGACTAGGAGGTTGGAAGAGACGAGAAGGTTTTCATTTAAAGAATGAGAGTTTTTTCTGGCCCTTTGGCCAAACTGAATCCCATCCACTTGTCCAATCCAAGATCCTCTTCCTGGATTCACTATCTCCAGATGGGAACTTGCTAGATTTCATTCATTAAAACCAAGGCTCCCCACTTGCAGGCACAAGTTCCCATCTGCTGCCACATCTTTGCAGTATCAGCTCAGCCTTTCCTCTTCTGGCACGAGTTCACAGGCTCCTGTAGAACCAGAGGTAGGTGTATGACAGGGGTTTTGTGCCTTGAGTGAAAAACTTACTTACCCAAGACAATAGTGCCATTCCACATCCATTTTCTGCAGACATTTCAATACAAAAATGATTGAGGTGGGAGGTGGGAGTACGGGGGAGGACTGGTGGATTATGCAGGGATCTTGTGGCTGCCAAAACCCAAAATATATTTCCCTGCTGCTTATAAACAGCAGTAAAAGGTCACAGCCACCTCCGTCTGAACTTCTGTCTGCTTGATAAGAGCAGTTGAAGATGTATAAACATTGCTTCTCCCATCTTCCACTCACTTTCAATGAAATACTACTTAAATACAATCAGGACGACACATCTTCAATATTTAACAGCTCGACTATGGCCCTGGCCTGCCAGAGTGGATATCGTGAAGACCAGAGCAGGTGGGGGAGAACCCTATTTCTTCTAAATCCTGAAGCGGGGGTGGCTTTGCAAAACAGAAAGACTTGCAAGTAAATAGACTGAGTCATCACCTAGGATAAGTGACAGCAGTCTTAACACATTGCATGGCCTTGGATTTTACATCAGCCAACAAAGATAATGAGATTTCTGCCTTCTCTTATACAGACATTCTACTGGCCAGATATCCTTGTCCCACTCAACATGCAATCGTTTGGGGGATAATTTTATCCTCGAGGATCCACTCTCTGGATTCGCTGTCTCCAGGTGGGAACGTGCTAGGTTTGCTAGCACTTTGCTACAATATTCTCTGTAGCTGGAACTTACAGTATGGAATGTGAGGAACAGAATAATAGTAGTAGCTCCTCTGCACACCCAGATACTCAGAGGCAGATTTTTCTGCATGAAGGGGGACTTGCTATCGTGATCCTGGACATTAAGGACATTTTAAAAGTAAGTTAGCACTGCCCTCCATGGCTGGCTGCTCTGTGGACACCCTGGGGAAGAAGCACTTACTTAAATGATTAGACCTGGATTCTGACCTTCGTCCTGAAGTGCGTGGTCTGTATGTATATGTGTGTGTGTGTGTGTGTGCACGCGCACGCATGCGAGCATGTGTGTGACTATGTGAGCATGTAACACATGCGTGTTCATTTGCTAGGTCTTGTTCTCCCTCATCTGTCAAATAGCAATGATATTACCTGACCCATCTACTTCACAGGATTGCCTGGTAGATCAAAAAAGAAATTGATGTATTAGGGTTTGTATTAGTCCATTCTCACACTGGTATAAAGAACCGCCTGAGACTGGGTAATTTATAAAGGACAGAGGTTTAATTGACTCACAGTTCTGCATGACTGGGGAGGCCTCAGGAAACTTACAATCATGGAGGAGGGCAAAGGGGAAGCAAGACACCTTCTTCACAAGGCCACAAGGCAGCAGGAAGGGGAAGTGCAGAGCAAAGGGGGAAGAGCCCCTTATAAAACCATCAGATCTTGTGAGAACTCTTTCACTATCGTGAGAAGAGCACAGGGGAAACTGCTCCCATGATGCAATTACCTCCACCTGATCCCTCCCCTGACACATGGGGATTATGGGGATTATGGGATTTACAATTCAAGATGAGATTTGAATGAGGACACAAAGCCTAACCGTATCAGGGTTCTTCCAGTGAGACAGGATGCGTATAGAGAGATATATTAGAAGGAATTGGCTCACAGAATTAGAGGCTGATAAGTCCCCAAATCTGCAGGGTGAGTCAGCAAGCAAGACCCAAGAGAA
This sequence comes from Homo sapiens, assembly GCF_000001405.40. Classification (NCBI taxonomy): domain Eukaryota; kingdom Metazoa; phylum Chordata; class Mammalia; order Primates; family Hominidae; genus Homo; species Homo sapiens. The sequence goes on along the minus strand of NC_000021.9, from coordinate 34,189,455 downwards.
CGGATGGTGCACTTACAGTCTGGGTCCAAAGGCCCAAGAACCAAGAGAGCTGATGGTATAAACTTCAATCTGAAGCCTGGCAGGTTGAAGATCTAGGAAGAGCTGATGTTTCTATTCAAGTCCAAAGGCAGGAAAAAGTTGACGTCCTAGTTTGAATGCAGTCAAGCAGACGAAATTTCCTCCTACTGAGGGAGGGTTGGCCTTTTTGTTCCATTCAGGCTTTCAATGGATTGGATGAGGCCTGGCCATATCATAGAGGGCCATCTGCTTTACTCAGTCTACCAATTTAAATGTTAATCTCACCCAAAACGCCCTCACAGAAACACCCAGAATAATGTTTGACCAAATATCTGGGTACCCCTGGGCCCAGTCAAGTTGACACATAAAATCAACCATCACAATGGAGTCAGAGGCAGCACTGAGTACTGGAAAAAACACCATTTCTGGAGGTCAACAGCCCAACGTCAAGTTCCAGCTCTCTTACTTCCTAGTTGTGTGATCCGCAGGTTACTCGAACTCTCTGAAGCTGCCTCAGTTGCCTCATCAGTAGAATAAGGATGACAGAAGAATCAGTGTCTGACACATAGCAGGCACCAAAGCGTTGGCTGTTTTGGATGCAAAAAGTACTTTTCAATGGTTCCATTTGCCCTTTGCATTTAATGTACATCACTATTTTAGACAAAAGGGGCTGCAAGACACAGAAAATACAAAGGAAGAAAAAAGGAGGCATTACTATCAACGAAGAAAAATAATGAACCAGCAAGTGATGTGGACCTTATTTATACAACCTTACCCTTAAGTTAGTAGACCAGGATCTGTGGGCCTTGGAGAGACATCAGAACTGCTAGACTGTGTGGCTCGGCTCCTCAATGTGAAACTCCTTTACTTTCCCGGGGACCCGCGGACGCATATTTGCCTTGGAACATAATGGTGGGGTGGCTGTGGCCCTTGCAGAGTGTGGGCATGTTTCACGTTATATGCATGCGTGCTGGAGGATGAAACCAAATCCATTTGGGACCTGACACTGTCATCCACCAAAAAAGCAAAATATTTTCCCATCTAGAATCAAAGTAGAAAACCACTCTCACAGTTGGTTTGGGTTTTAAAGGCACACTAGTGGTTGAAAAATGGTTTGTGGTCCAGACAAGACTTGAGCCAACCCAACACTTCATTACAGTGCTGGTTCCCCTTCCAAAGTCCTGCTGCAGCACGTGGGCGGTGTTAGCATCCCTCTGGCAGCTGAAATGGACCCAGAGAAGGGAATCATGGTTAGAGGAGACCTAGACGGTACAGCAAGAAATGCAGAGGCTGGGCTGGCCAGACGAGACTGCTGGGGGCCAGCGTAGAGCTCTCACAGAGTGTGAGATATTTGGGGTTTGGCAAACCCGAAGAAGCAGGTTGCCAAGTCCCACAGCTCCCTCTCCCCCTGGTGTATTTCAAAGGAAATTAAATCCACATGTTTCTGATTTGCTGACACTTCAGGCTCATCCAAAGGTGGTTTTGCAAGAGTGGCTTGGACATGAGGAGCCCAGAGAAACCCTAATTATTATTGTTATTTTTCATTTTGAAATGCAGACCTGTACACTTACATAATCCATGCCATGCCTACCAAATCAGACCCCAGTTTTGCCTTCCCAAAACTTTTTGTCCCGGGCCCACCGGCAACAGGTCATTGAAGTCAACTGGAGAAGAGAAACGATGACTTTAACATCCAACCTAGAAATCCGCCTTGAAAATAGCACCCAAGAAACGCCAACGCTGGCATTCAAAAGCAAAAGCACTGTATGGATTGGGTCTATGGATCTCATAATTTCCTTAGACTCTGGGCCAAGGGGCAAAAACTTAAATTCAAGATGGTAGGTCCTGGATGTGGGGTCTGAGGTGGAAGGATATGGAGCTCAGAACCTCAAGAGGAAGGAACCATCACAAAAGTGTTCTCTAGAATGTTCTCAATTGACCAGCCATATCTATGAATGAAACTCTGACAAGCTGCAACCAAAATTCGGCTTCAGGGACAGAGAATCTCATTATACACTTAGAAATAATTTAGCACTTTTGGATGTGACCTATGACCTCTCCACGCCTAGCCACATGCAAACAATTGACCAGAGAGGTCAGGGACCAAAGAGCTCCTGTCTTCTGACCCAGGAGTGAACATTGTCCATTCCTCCTATCCCTCTCCCATTTAAGGCTTTTCCATTCACTTCAAGGGGCCTCCTCTCCTGCCGTGAGTGAGTTCTCCCAACAGAAGCGGTGGCTTTGTCCTGGTGCATGGCAGTGTGCTCTACACGCTCGATAAACGAGCAATGAAGGCTGAGAAAACGAATTGGAAAACAACCTTCTCCAGTCTCTCCGCTCCCGGGTTGGAATTTTCAAGCTCCAGCCCTCCTGGTCCTCAGAACTTCACATTTGTTCTCCGTTTCTCCTGCCTTTTTAAAATCCAGGTAGCAGCCCAGCGTTGTGCCTTGCACCTATAATCTCAGCACTTTTGGGAGGCTGAGGTGGGTGGATCCCTTGAGCCCAGGAGTTTGAGACCAGCCTGGGCAACATGGCGAAACCCCGTCTCTACAAAAAATACAAAAATTAGCTGGGCACAGTGGTGTGTGCCTGTGGTTCCAGCTACCTGGGAGGCTGAGACAGGAGGATCGCTTGAGCCTACGGAGGTCAAGGCTACAGTGAGTCGTGACTGCATCATTGTACTCTAGCCTCTGGGCAACAGAATGAGATCCTGTCTCAAAAATAAGAAAACAAAATAAAATAAAATCCAGGTAGCCCTTTCTTCTCAGGTCTCAGCTGAGATGTCCCATCCTGGGAAGGCTGATGCTTTTCAGCCCAGCTTGGGAGGCCTGCCCCCCACCTATATTGAGCTTCCCTCCCTTCCAGGTGTGTGTACATAGATACATACTCGTGTTTAGCTAATGAAGTACAAGGTCACCTGCACAGGCTGCCTGCCCACCGGACTGCTGGCCCCTTGAGGCCAGGAACCAGGGCCATCTCTGTCACCCTCTTCCCAGAGCTTGGCACCGAGGAGGTGGGAAATTGGTACTGGTCCTCTAATCAGCTCTGCTCCCTAACCCTGCGACCAGCCTTCGCCATCAAGACGGCTCAGTTCTGTGAACCGTACAAACCATGAGTCATTAGAGCCTTATCAGATGCTTCGAGACTAGTGCCCACGTGAGTTAGTCTGCTGGGGCCGCCGTGACAAAGTGCCAAAGGCAGGGTGGCTTAAACAACAGACGTTTATTGCTGAACAGTTCTGGAGGCCAGAAGTCTGAGATCAAGGTGTTGGCAGGGTTTGTTCTGAGGGCTCTGGGGGAGAATCTGTTCCAGGCCCCTCCCTTAACTTCTGGGGGTCACTGGCAATCCTCAGGTTCCTTGGCTTATAGAAACATTGCCGCAGACTCTGCCTTCACCTTCATATGGTGCCCTCCCTGTGACTGTGTCCAAAATTCCCCCCTTTTAAAAGCCACCAGTCATCCTGGATGAGGGCTCACCCTTAATGGCCTCACCTTAACTGGATCATCTGCAAAGACCCCAATTCCAAATAAGGTCACGTTCACAGATACTGGGGGTCAGGACTTCAACATCTTTGTTGAGGGGGACAAAATTCAACCGGTAACTCCTCAACCTATAATACCACTCCTCCGGTAAAGAAAAAAATATTTTAAACCAACTTAAAATTCTCATTGAAATAAAGTAACCATTTAATTTATTGCCCAAACTGGAACATTTTTTGAGAATAAAAGAGAGTGCTATTGGTAATTTTGTAGGGAAAATGAGCCGCCCAGTCTGGGCCACATGGCCACCCTCTGTGGCTAAGCTCGTTTCTCAGCCCTTCCCATGCAAGGATGCGGTTTTACCTTCACTGCAAATCCCTCTTTGTTTGTGTTCCCCAGCAGGTCCAGTGTGTTTTATACACAGTCGCAGCGAAACCAAGGGATTAGCTGTATTCCGGCTGTAGTTAATTCACTGTTTCCAGCTAAATGCAAGCCCAATCTCAGCAATTAATGTGGCCAGATCAAATCAGGTTCTCTTTACACCTGTTCCCCTGCTTAATTAGGTTCTCATTTCCCAGGGGGACTCAAAGGCACTGAGAACCATTAGCTCAACCCTGGATTAGGAAGGCAGCATCAGGCCCACAGACATCACCGTCATGCACAGGCGATGTCCCCGAGACAGCTCCAGCCCTTACGTCTAGAAATGTGTCTTGACAACTGTGATGCCCCCAGCGTGGCCAAGGGAACGATCCCCTTTTTTGTTAGAGACTTCCTTTCATGTCGTCCCAAGGGAAGGACGTGTTCCCAGTGGTGCTCCTTTCTGAGGTAATTGTTGGACAGGAGTCAGCCAGTTAAGCCTGCCCACCTAATTAACGGGAGTCTGTTATGATTTATCAAAATAATGAGATAGGGAACAAAGACATTGCTTCACCCCCCACCCACCCGCCTGATATTTTGGCCTCTTTTCTTCCTTTTGGAAGATGACCCAATATTAATGAGAAATGAGTCACTTATTATTGGGGTGCAAATAGAGAGATAAATGACATCAGTAATTAAGTCTCAAGCCCTCTTTGGTATAATGGAGCCATTTGTCAGGCAATATTATTCAATTAATTAATTCCATTAGGGCTACCACACTTCTCCCAACCCAGCCATTCAACTGTCAGCTCTGATCATTTGTATGATACAAAAATAGAATGGTTAATAAATGCATCATGAAACCAAAAAGAAAGTATTTTCGCCATCACAAGAAAGCCAACTAGAAGTGCGTGATTTGTGAATGTGTGAAGTGCTCACAGCCAGCCGCAAACCTCTTCCCATCACGGACTGAAATGTATCTGGTTGTTTCTTAGTTCAAATCTCTAGGAAGAAAAAGGGAGTTGGTCCAGCTCATCTTCTTTTGCCCTATCAGTAACCAGGGAAAGGAAAGAAGTCGGGTGACATGAAATGGAACTGTGTAAGGGACAAGGGCAGGCAAATACAGTGGGAGGGAAGGTTTCCAGAACAGCAGCTCCCAGCTCACGTGCTCCACATAGGTCTGCTGTCTTTCCTGTCTTGCCAAGTACAGAGGAGAATCCTGACCTCGGTCTATGCCCATCCACCTCTCATTGCTCACAACTCATGTTAGTTTTGTCTCCGTTGAGGCTCGTATTAATTAATAAATACACCTGCATTCTCTCTGATTCCATTACTCTTTCTGTTCTCCTTTTCAACCCATGCCAGTTGGTCTCAGAATTCTTTACCTCCCTCCTAGTGGGACATTTGCCTTCAGAAAAAAGAAAGGTAACAATCCAGAACCACAGTTAAGGAAAGTCTGCCTAAATGAATGAGTATCATCATATTCTAGAGAAAGGCCAGAAACTCCTTATGAATCTTGACATATCCCAATTTACCTCTTAATTCGTCTCCAAATCAACCTTTTTCTTTGATCAGCAATATTAACATACATAAAATACCATCTCCGTGTTTCATTTCTTGTTCTGTTCTGCTTTGATTAGGTACTAATACTCCAGGAGCACTGGGATCTGCTCATTTTCATTGTGACGCAGCAGTATTTCAGCCAAGTTTGGAATTAAATATGCCTTTATGTGCTGGCATAAAAAGCTATCTACCATTCCTAGGAAAACAGCTTCTATTCCAAACAGCTGACTTCCAAAGTCCAGAACATAATCTATTTGTAAGCTGCGTGGCTGCCTACACAGTTCCAGCCCCTTTTCTCTCACCTCCCAGCTAATCAAGTAATCTTTTGTTTCCTGAGCCCATTCTGTGGAGAGGAGTGTAAATCAATCAACAGCGAAGGCCTCCAAAGCCTGCAAGCCAGGATGAGCAGGAACAGGCCAAGGGCAATGGTTCTCAAACTTCAGCCAGCATCAGAGTCGCCTGGAAGATCTATCGCAACAGACTGCCAAAGATCTGGGGTGCAACTCAAGAACTGGCATTTCTAACCTTCCTCCTAGTGGAAAATTTGCCTTCAGAAAAAGATGGCCCAATCCAGGGAAGAGCCACTGGCCTAGAGTATATGGGACAGAGGTACAGGGAGGTAACTAGATGTTCAGAATCCTCAGCAGCCAGCCACATAACCTAACTGGTCCAAAACCCACCCTCCCCTGGGATGGATCATGAAGGAGTAAACAGCCCTCCTTGGTCTCTTCTGCCTTAATCTGCAGGCAGAGATTACACCCTACCATGAGATGAACAATTGCCTTGGAATAGGTCAGCATCATGTGCCATTTTATAATTATATCTACAAATGATACGACAACTCACAAGATTTAGGGATTTCTGAATGTTTGTGAAAATATTTTGTTTTGTCTGCTGCTTCTTGTTGATGTCACACATACCCAAAGACATTCCACGGGTTTAACAAGTCTTGGGCATCTTGTGGAAGACTCAGATTCTCATCCATCTCAGAGATGGATGGGGAACTTGACGGTTTTAATTCTGTGCACCATGATTGCAAGGGTCATCTGGTCCAGCATTTCCCAAACTTCTCTTGAGTCCCATTCACAGAGATATGCAATCCAACCAATCCCTTTGCAATTGTGTTCATGTCTTCATGTTGGTGTGTCATTTTAGTGTCTTGGCCTGGGTTCCCCTCAGAAAGCATAGCCTGCAACAAGGGCTTTGTAAGGGAAGATTGGTTTGGAGAGTGATCTCAGCAGACAAGAGTCGGGGCCTGAGGGTGTGAAGCAGGGAAGAAGGTGGTGACCTGCTCCATCTTATCTTCTGGGAGGATCCTCTGAATTTGCAGCCTAGGGGAAGAAAAAAGGGAGTACTAATTTATAGACTCCCACCCCCTTTTGGCCAAGAATTTCCTCATAGAATGTTGACTCCCTTACACTTCCAGGTTGCACAAGCCTCAATACCAGGACACTGTGTCAGAGAGGCCCAGGGCAGAAATGGAGAGACGCAGTGCAGCTGAAACAAGGCACCTTCTGGTTACACCTGCGCAAAGCTGGCTGCTCCAGCAATGGCTGGTGTGGAAGATGGGTCAGAAGGTGAGAGATACACACAGAAGATATCTACTATAGTGTGTATGCAAAAGTAGAAACTGATAGTCAAAATATTTTCTATTTCGTCAACATAAATTTCATGTTAGCTACAATCTTTAATATCAATATATTTAAAATTTTAATCAAATGTGAAGATTAACACCAAGTTTCAAGAGTGTGTGGCTAAAACCCATAAACCTTACAATGTACCTACATGCCTCATTTCTAGAAACTTCTACCATTTCTGTGTCCACAAGAGCTAGGAAACAGTGACTACACAATAAATTTTATGATAACCATTTCAGGGCCACCAGATACAAGGAGGAAGTCAATAAAAGAGTTATTTTGTGTCAGCTGTTGGGTGCTCAGATTAAAATAAAAATTGAAATTAACCAGGAATTGGGGCATCAAAAATTGCTTTCATGACCTCATGTCTGAAATTCTTATATTTTGTGCTTAAAATATCAGCTAGCTGCTATTTGTAATCACTTCTTTACAACCATTTGTTCTCTATAAATGAAAACCAAAATTAGACATAACTGTCCCTGTCTTTTCTTTCTGTAACACTGGGTTTCTGAGGTCCAGGGGCAGACTTTGACGAGACAAAGGCCATCTTCAGATAAAGTGAAGATTATCATGAGGCAATTTACTGAATTATTAACATGAATTTCAACATCTGTGTTGCTAATGTTTCTAGCCTTTAACAAATGATCCATTTAGGATATGGGCCAAAGAACATATGGCTAAGAATAAAGGCCATTTGAAACCGCACAGGGGTTAGCATCGTTGGGGGCTCAGCACACAGTGAAATTGACTGAGGCCAAATCACGAGCATGCTCAGTTGAGCAGCCCCTACTGCCACGCATGCGTACATGGGACCCACTCAGGGGCTCTGGAATCGTTCTGAGATGAAGCAGGGAGGTATTTAAATATTTCGTAAAAAATGTTTTATCATTTGAAATTTTCAAAAATGTGCAAAAGTACAGAAACTAGTATAATGAGCCCTCAAATATCTCACCCAGCTCAAACAAGTATCATGGCTAATCTTCAATAATTTTTTAAAAAATTTAAACAGGCATCCGTTTTGCTCCCAAAGGCAGGAAACCAGGGAACATTTTCATGACCCTCTGAGGGTTTGTGACCTGCTGTCTCTGGTTCACTGACCTTATTCAATCCTCTCTTTATACAAGGGAATGCTATGCTTCTCCCATTCTCTGGCTATTTCTCATGCTCGCACCAAATTAAGTGGACTCTGTCTATGATTTCAGCAACGGTGACATATAATCCCAGTGTTAAAGGACGGAATTTTCCAATGCAGAAGCAGCAGAAAGTGAACAGAGGAAACATTGCCATGAGCAAAGGCTCCTCAACACAGTATCTCCGACTGTGCTACAAAGCCACCCAGCGTGTGGATGAAAAGTGAAAAAAAAAAATCTGACAATTGAGTGATTGTTCTCTCTCTACAAGCAATCCTACTATTTCTAACCCCTCCATGGGCTGCACAGGCAGCATGCAGACATTGCCTAGGTCTTCCTACAGGGGCCGGCGAGCCCGTTGTTTTCCAACAGACCAAGATCCGACACCAGGATTGCAGTCATCAGAACCTTTCCCTCCCCACCCCCACCCCCGCCCCACACCAAAACGAAGAGGGAGTTGAGCAGGGCAGCTACTCACCTTGTCTCATTTGTTCACAAAGAATCCAAAGCCAGCAACATCGATCAGCTTCTTGCTTTTTGTCCAACTACTTGCCTACAACTCTAGAAAAACAACAGAGGTCTGCCAAGAATCTGCAGTCCCTTCAATCTCAAAATAATGACTAGCCTATCCAGTGTTTCCATCCAAGGAATTGTTGGTTGCTACACAAGAAAACCCTTTGGGTGGTAAGAGTCAGGAGTCCAAGAAAGGCATGTGGTTATTTTTGCCCCTTTCTGGACCCCGTCTGCACTTTGGAAAGAAAGGGAAATCTATTTTTGACATTGGCTATTCAGCTTTCAAATAACATTAGCCGTTAAAGCATATCTAATTTAAATGCTGATTCAAAGTTTTGCTTAACATTAAGACGACTTTTTGGTCTCCTGCTTCCTACTGCCTCAAGCAGAAACACGGCTTCCCATTCGCATTCTGTTTTCTTGGCAAATATGAGCTAAAGTTTTGGAATAGGTTAAGGAATTAATGCCTCCATTTTCATATGACAACTTGCATCTTTTTAAAAATAATAATATACCAGAGTGATGAAGTGGAAAGTTTCATTTTTTTCTTTCAGATTACAGCACTTCTAAGACTGGCCACCTCATTCAATACAATTTGTCATTAAAGAAGGAATTATGTGGTCACGAGATATGAGAGGAAAATGAAACACAGCGGGGTGGGGGGAGGGAGAGCATTAGGATAAATAGCTAATGCATGTGGGGCTTAATACTTAGGTGATGGGTTGATAGGTGCAATAAACCACCATGACACACATTTACCTATGTAACAAATCTGCAAGCCCTGTACTTAAAATTCAGTTAAATTAAATTTTAAAAAAAGAAAAAGAAAATGAAACACAATGGGGTCGGGGGAAAGAATGGAAAGGACATGGTAGTTTTGGAATATTACAGTGGGCACAGGCATTGTTACACATCAACCTTGAGACTAAAAAGGCAGGGAACGAACATGAAGTTCACTGGGACTTTGCAAAAACTAGTAAGTATTGTAGTGTCACTGACAACAACACATCTGCATCCAGCCTCCAGAGTGGCTTCCCCTCGCCGCTCCTTGCTTGAAGAGAAAGCCAAGAATTTGCATTTCATTGTTTTAAAGAGAAAAAACAAACAAACTATACTTCTAATAGCCATGAAAGCATTTGCAATCCAGAGTTCAGCTTGTCTTTTAGTTAAAAAAAAAAACAGAAAGCCGCACTACTTTACCAAAATGATTCCTAACATGAAAGGATGGAGTTGTTTTGCCTTTAACTCATTTCAAAGGCAAAGAAAATTGCTCTTCTTCAAAGCCTTTGGTTGGAATTGTTCATCCAAAACAAAATAAAATTAGAAAAACAAAGCAGCTCGCCCTGCCCTCATCCCTGCTTAGCAACCACCCACCTTCTCCCAGCTGGAGGCTTTGGTGGACGCTTGGTTGTGCCACTACCTGATCTTCTAGCTGTCGATAGACATTTCTTACCCCTGAGAGATACCCTGACCTATCATTGAGGCCCCGAAGGACTTTAAGTAGGTGTTTAACTGGTGGTGTTGAGTGACTGCATTTAAGAATTATAAGACTTTAGTTGTACTATAGAATTAATCTCTTTTTATGAAAATAAGAGAGATGGGAGTGAAAGATAATAAAAGCCACAGTGGATGGTTAAGTATCAAACTTCATTAGACATGGAAATAGTAATAAAAATATTAAACTACAAGGAAACTTGAGTTAGAATCTCCATAGGGGGACGAACTGTACTAGTATGCTTGGGTCTGCCCATTATAGGAGTTCAAGGCTCATATCCCGTGAAACCCCTCAGTTCTGGGCAAACCTAGGGACAGGTGATCGCCCTGCAGGCTGCCAGTGACTCTTAGAGACAAAAATCCAAGTGTTGACTTAGTTGGAAATCAGAAGGCTCATCACAAATGCTCATGTACATCCTGTACCCGTCCCACTGTGAGGCTCCATCTCAGCCTCCTGTTTATTTCCTTCCTTGCACTTAAAATAACATGAACATTGTTCTGTTTATTCCCTTATTGTCTGTTCTCCTTACTCAGTGTGAGCTCCATGTGGGCAGGGGAGTCAGCCTGTTTCCCACTGAAGCCCTAGAACATTCCCCAGCAGACAAAGGATGTTCACGAAACATGTCATAAGTGCAGAAGAACTCTCCCTCCCAAATTACTGAATTGGACAGAATTACTGTATTCCACAGATTTTAAGAGGCACAGTTTTTCACAGGCTAACATTGCTGAGATCCAGATACATCTTAATCAGGAGTATCTTTCAAAAGCCATCGGCCATGTGCATCCACCCAGCTGTAGCTGTTCACATTGTTATCACTTTGATTGAGATCTGTGCATTTGTTAGCTTAACCTCAGAGTTTAACTACTGTGTAGGAATCTCCCCAAAGAAATTTCACTACGATTCAGCACTGAAATAACAAGCTATTTTGTAGTCAGAAAGGTACAGAAACCAAGCAGTAGGATGCAAAGGTGGTATTAGTGAACGACATTTATCACAGAAAGAATGATCAGGAGTCCATATTTTCTTGCAAAGAAACAATCAAGTGCACCAGAAACCTCGCAAAGGAAGATACCCACCAGTCGGACAAGCTGTGTTACTTTCTATTGCCGAGTTACTTGTTTCATTGCCAAATCTCTAGAAGAGATGAAGATTAACTTAAAAGGAATCTGATGTCATTGATTCATATGTCATTCAGGACTGTCATTAAAGGCATCTGTCACAGTGTGTTGGCAGTGTTTTTCCTCTCCTATTGGTATATAAAATAATGGCTGGTCTTACTATCAAGCCATTGTAGACCGGACTTGATGAAATAAGATATCATAGGCTTTCTCAATCTTTTTTTCAGGTCTGTGAAACAGACTGCCCAGAGACCATCAAGGAGATTGCTGGCACATGGCAGGGTCAGTAGTGTAGCAACTCATTCGGTCTCTACAACTTTCCCAGAACCTTCTGGTGACAGTACTCTAAGGGCCCCTACTCCTGGTGAGGGATGAGACAAAGGGCCTCTGGCTCTAATACCAACTATAGTTTTCGAGTCCCTATACATTTCCCATGTTGCCCCCTCATGCCAAGTACTCTGTTGAGCTAGTCCAGTCCTGCCCCTCACCCTGGACTCCCTGCAATGCTGAGTGATGCCCATTTGCAAGGCCTCATTATTATCTCAGCACCGCCCAAGTCCTGTCATATGTTAGTGTCTGATAAATCTCAAACACTAATTCCAACATGTACGTCATTGGCAGTTATCCACCATTTTTGGTTGACAGTAGCTGCATAATTCTGGAGAAGGGATTCGTGTATCTAATTGTTTTGCTTCTACAGGACAGAAGCAGGAGAAATGCTCAGAAATGGTGCAGGTAGACTCACACAAGACAAAACCTGGTCAGTAGCCCAAACAGAAGCGTACAGTTAGGAGAGTCATTAGAGAGAGTGCAGCCCACAATTATCAACAATGATCACGTGTTCGGTTAAACAAAATGTGTCCATTTTTCTTAAAGTTTTTAGAGGCTCTCAATGCATTGTTGGATGTTGAAACCATTTCATAGTTTGTTCATTCATTTATTTTGTTCACCGAATAACTGAGTGCCCAATCTATGCCAGTTTACTCTGCTAGGCATGGGACATAGAAGAATGAACAAAAAAGATACAATTCCTACAAGGCATATAGCATAGAGCAGGCTTTTTACTTGGGACACATAGACCCTCCCTCCAAGTGGTTCATAATTAGAACGCAGAGGTCTAAGGAATTTAGATGGGAAGAAATTACAGCATTGTCTTCACTAAACTCTCACTCCTAGAAATCATTGATTTCTTCTCTGTCACGTGTTTCACCTTTTTGAGAGTAAAGTATATCATTCAGTATGTAGAACTTTTGAGATTGGCTCCTTTTACTCAGCATAATGTCTTTGAGATTCATCCAAGTTGTTGGGTGTGTCAATAGTTCATTCCTTTTTATTGCTAAATTGAGTAGTATTCCATTGTAGAAACGCACCACAGTTTATTTACCCATTGACCCACTGAAAGACATTGGGTTGTTTTCTCTTATTAGTGATAATGAATACAGCTGCTATAAACATTCATGCATAGGTCTTTGCATGAATACAAGTTTTCAGTTCACTTGGGATTGCTGAGTCATATGTCAATTGTGTGTGTAGCTTTATAAGAAACTGCAAAGTAGGGCCAGCCACAATAGCTCACACCTGTAATCCCAGCACTTTGGAAGACTGAGGCAGGAGGACAGCTTGAGGCCAGGAGTTCAAGACCAGCCCAGGCAACCTGGACCCTGTCTCTCCAAAAAATACTAAAAATTAGCCAAGCATGGTGGTGCCCACCTGTAGTCCTAGCTACTCAGAAGGCTGAAGCAGGACGATCCTAGAGTAGCTGTGCAATTTTGCATTCCCATTGGCAGTGTATGAGAGATCCAGTTGCTTTGCATGATTGTGAGCACTTAGTATTGTCAGTATTTTTTATTTTTGCCATTCAATAGGTGTGTCTCACTCCATAGGTTATATCTCATCAGAGTTTTAGCTGGCATTTCCCTAATAGTCAATATTATTGACTATCTCTTTGTATACTTATGTATTAATGGATATTTGCTAATATTTTGTTGAGAATTTTTGCATATATGTTCATGAGGGATAGTGTTTTGTACTTTTTGTACCATCTGTCTGGTTCCAGTACCAGGGTAATGTTGGCCTTATAAAATGAGTTGAGAAGTGCTCCCTCCTCTTCTATTTTCTGGAAGAGATTGTGTACAGTTCATTTTATGTCTAGAAAATATTTGGTAGAATTTATCATATTTCTTGTTTAAATATTTGGTAGCATATGCTATATGGTGTGTGCTAGAATCTTGGCCTGAAGAATCCTTTTATAGAAGGTTTTAAAATACAAGCTCAATTTTTAAAATACTAATAGTGCTATTCAAGTTATCTACATGTCATCTTGGGTGAATTTTGGTAATTTGTGTCTTTTGCAGAATTCATCCGTTTTATCTAAATGGTCAAATTTATGAGCAGGGTGTGTAGTGATAACCCTTTTTTCATTCCTGATATCAGTAATTCATGTTCTATCTTTCCCTCTGCCAGTCTCACCAGAGGTTTATTGAACTCCTCATTATTTTTCTGTATTGTTTTTGAAATTGTTTTCATTTTTTAAATTTATGTACTTATTTTTATTACTTCCTTCCTTTGCTTATTTTGAGTTTATTTTGCTCTTCTTTTTCTAATTTCTTGTGGAAGCAGCTTAGATTACTGGTTTGATACTCTTCTCTTTTCTAATACAAATTCATCGTAATGATGAAATTTCCATCTAACCACTGCTTTAACTGCATCCCACAAATTTTGATATATTTTTATATTCATTCAGTTCAAAATATTTTCTAACTTCCCTGAGACTTCCTCTTTGACCTACAGATTATGTACAAGTGTGTTGTTTAATTTCTAAGGGTTTGTAAATTTTCTTATCATTCTGTTTTTCATACTTTGTATGATTTTGATTCTTTAAATGTGTGACAAATTTGTTTTATATCCCCAGATATGGTCTATCTTGGTGAAAGTTCCATGTGAAATTGAGAAAAATGTGTATTCTGCTGTTACTGAGTGGAGTATTCTATGTCAGTTAGAAACAATTGTTTATCATTTAGTTCCATTTTCTATACTATACACTTGCTGACTTTCTGTTTACTAAGTTCCATTGATCACTGAGAGAGGAATGTTGAAGTTTCCAACTATAATTATGAATTTGTGTATTTCTTATCTCAGTTCTGTGAGTTTTTCCTTCATGTACCTTCAAGCTTTGCTGTTTGATACATACAGATTTAGGATTGTTGTGTCCTCTTGATGAAATGTATTAGGTATTGCCCCTTTTTATCCCTGGTAATTTTCTTTGCTCTGAAGTCCACTTTGTCTGATATTACTATAGACACTCTACCTTCATTCTCATTAATAATATACATCTTTTGAATATATATTGCTTTACTTTTAGCCCACTTATGTCATTATACTTGAAGTGAGTACAACTGAAACACTTGTATTAATTATATACTTATAGACAGTATATAATTGAGTCATTTTTTGAAATCCATTCTAAAAATCTATCTTTTAATTAGTATGTTTGATCCATTTACATTTAATGTAATTACTGATGTTTTTATTTAAGCCTATCATTTTATTGTTTGTTTACTGTTTGTCTCTGTATTTTCAGTTTCTATGTTTTCCCTTTGTTTGCTTTCTTTTTGGTTAAACATTTGTTAGTTATCTATTTTACCTATTGCATTTTTGTTGACTATCCCTTTGTGTAATTTCTAAGTAGTTGCTCTAGGGATTAAAATATATATTCTTAACTTTTTACAGTCAGTGTATATTTTACCACTTCAAGTGATATATTACCACCATATATGGGTTTCTTTACCCATCCTCCTTTATGTTGTGGTTGTCTTATTTGTTATATCAACATACATTGAAAACCCCACTAGACGATGTTATAATTTTTGCTTTCTACCATCAAATATATTTTAAAGAACTCAAGAGAAGAAGAACAGTCTATTATGTTTGCCCAGTTATCTGTCATTTTTGTTGCTCTTCATATCTTCTTCTGGTGTCATTTCCCATCTGCCTGAAGAACTTCCTGTAACAATAGTGTGGTGACAACGAAGTCTTCATTTTTCTTCACCTGGGAATGTCTTTATTTTATCTTCATTCCTGAAGGATATTTTTACTGAATATAGAATTGTAGTTTGACAGTTCTTTTCTTCTAGCACTTAAAAAATGTTCTATTTCCTTCTGTAAAATCTGTTGCTATTTGAATTATGTTGCCCTATAAGTAATGTGCTGTTTTTCTCTGGCTTCTGGAAATATGTTTTCTTTAGTTTGCAGCAGTTAATAAGAATGTGTTTGGGCATGGATTTCTTTGGGTTTATTCTATTTGAGATTTCCTGGGATTCTTGACTCTGTAAGTTTCTGTTTTTCTCCAAATTTGAGAAACTTTCAGCCGTGTTGTTGTTGTTGTTGTTGTTGTTGTTGTTGTTGTTGTTTTTGAGATGGAGTCTCACTGTGTTGCCCAGGCTGGAGTGTAATGGCGCGATCTTTGCCCACTGTAACCACTGCCTCCCAGATCCAAGCAATTCTCCCTGCCTCAGCGTCCTGAGTAGCTGGGATTACAGGCGCCCGCCATGATGCCTGGCTAATTTTTGTATTTTTTAGTAGAGACGGGGTTTTGCCATGTTGGCCAGGCTGGTCTTGAACTCCTGACCTCAGGTGATCCACCCACCTCAGCTTCCCAAAGTGCTGGGATTACAGGTGTGAACCACCATGCCTGGCCTCAGCCATTATTTCTTTGAATTTTTTTAAGGTACCACATATTTTCTCATTTCTTTCTACGAATGCTATTACAACAGTGTTAGACTTTTGGTATTTCCAGGCGGGTTCATAAAGCTTGGTTCTCTTTTATTTTTCTATCTGTTTTCTCCATATTGTTCAGGTTTCATAATTTCTATTGATCTATATCGAAATTCACTCACTCTTCTTTGTTGTCTTCATTCTGCCATTGAGTCCATCCAGTGAGATTTTTATTTCAGTTATAGTATTTTTCATTTCTGAAATTCCCTTTTGGTTCTGCTTTATATCTTCTATCTCTTTTCTAAGACTTTTTTTTATTTATTTCAAGAATGTCTGCCCTTATATGTTCAAGTATTTTATAATAGCTGCTTTAAATTCTGTGTCATCTCAGCATTGGCGTGTTGATTGTCGTTTTCCATACTAGTTGAAATTTTACCAAGTCTTCATATGTGTTGAGTAATTATTGATTGTATCCTGGATATTTTGATGATTATAAGACTCTAGATCTTATCTAAATCCTATAGAGAATATTGTTTTGTTTTGCTTGTTTTTAAAGTAGGAAATCGATCTGGCTGAGTTCAGGTCACAAGTCCCACTGGTCTTCTATGGATTATGGTTCCAATATCAGTTCTGTTTTCCAATACTTCAGATCTATCCCTTTGTATATGTACATTATCCAGTGACCAGTCTGAGACCTGGGCAATGGTTTATTTTGTAGTTCAGTTCTCTTAGTCTGTCTATGTTATTTAGGGTAAGTTCTATTCGTGTATATCCCAGGGGTAAGTCTAGAAGTTCATAAACAACTTTATAGGGTTGCTTTTCCCAGCTCTTCCCACTTCCTAGTACTTTCCTGTTCCCAGGAGCTCAATTTTTTGGTCATCTGGCCAGAAAGCCGGGGCTTTACTTAGCCTGTTCTGCTATATACTTCCCACAACTGTATCTGTGTCCAGGGAAAAGCAGTAGGATAACAGAGTGGGGAAAAAAAGCATTAGGGATTTTCTTCACTCTCTTGGGACAGCAGCTCCTCTGATTCAGGAAAGATTCTCCTGCCTCAGAGTTTTGGGCTCCTGTGAGCTCTTGTGCCCCTACTACCACAGGAGTGCCTGGGCGCTGGGACACAAGAGAATGAAGAAAAGAAAAAGCAAAACAAAACAGGGGGTTTCTTCACTCCTTCTAAGTATTAGGAGACTTCCTTTCTGCTCCTTCAAGCCAGACTAGGGGGCTCCTCTGGGGCTCTCTGTCTGCACCAGTGCCCACTTCTGGGTTTTCAGACTGCACTGAATCCAGACCAGGTGATTCTGGAGGGGGGAAAAATGGTAACTCACCACCAGTTCAGCGGTACTTGAGTTCTGTCTTCTTTACCAATTTGCTGGCTACCCTTTGCTTTTCAGAGTCTTTAAGTAGCTATTCCATACATTCTTGTATGGGTTTTATAGCAACATTCACCGGGAGTCAGGGTGGAGTGTGCTTACTCCAACTTGCCCTGAACTAGAACCCAGTGTGTTTTATTTTATGCATTTAAAACATAACTCTGGCAAAAGATCCATAGACTTCATCAGCTGCCTAGGATGGTCCACGGCACAGAAAGAACCCTTAGCCAAAAGTAAGGAAGAGACATATCAACAATCACTTGCAAACAAGTACATGCTCAGGAGAAGGAGCAAGGATTTTTGGAAGCTCCTGAAGAGAGCTTGAAGAGGACCTAGGCTAGTTTGGGTTCAGGAAGGCTTCCCAGTGAGCAGGGGAGGAAAAGTGTTCTCAGCAGGCAAAAGCCATGTTTACAAGCCAGAAAACAACCAGAGCATAGAAAATGTGAGTCATGGTCTGGGCACGGTGGCTCACCCCTGTAATCCCAGCACTTTGGGAGGTTGAAGCGGGTGGAACACCTGAGGTCAGGAGTTCAAGACCAGCCTGGCCAACATGGTGAAACCCCGTTCCTACTAAAAATAAAAAAAATTAGCTGGGCATGATGGTATGTGCCTGTAATCCCAGCTACTTGGGAGGCTGAGGTACAAGAATCGCTTGAACCCAGGAGGCAGAGGTTGCAGTGAGCCAAGATCAAACCACTGTACTCTAGCCTGGGCGAGAGAGTGAGACTCCATCTCAAAAACAAAAAAAATAAAAAAGAAAGTGTGGGTCATTGCAAGAAGTTCAGAATAGCCAGAACGTGAATTTCTATGGGCTCTTGAGGCCATGTAAAGAAGAGAATCACATTGTTTTATTAGATAGCATTGGTGAACTATTACATTCAATGAAATTCTAAATGCACTGGAAGCTGTCATCTTGATGATATCCCTCATAGGACCCAATTCCAGACTTCCGTCTCAGTGCTATACATAGACTCTGCTATGTAGGCATTTAACATGTGAATAAGGAATCCATTCATTCTGCATGCTTGGCAAGAAACTGTTGTGGGTACATACACCATTGGATAGTTATTTTAAATTGCTATTTCAGAGATCAAAAATTCAATGAGGAGACAAAGCAAAATACAAAAATGAAGAATGCAAAAGAATGGAATAGCCAAAGGAAAAGATGTTTAATTCCATCTTTTTGTTATTATTATAAACTAGAAGAACACCTGCAAATAACTGACATAAAGCATTTCTCTGTGCTTTTGAAAAATTCAAATTTGTCAGAGCTTAAGGCAGAGCACAAGAATAAATACAATGAAATGGAGAAAACATGTTTAGAAATAAAAAAGAAACTAAATTCCCAAGAAGGTAAATCCAGCATGCTATAATACAATTCAAATCCCCATAGAGAAACACACACAGGCCTGTTGTGAAAAATTCAGTGGCCTTGCCACAGAGACTATCAGCTGAAACTGACCACAGGCATAGAGCTCATCTCTTCACCATGAAATAGAAGAAAAACTAAAGACCATGTATCCACACACTATAGAATTGCTTGCAAAAAATGACTGGCTAAGGATAAACTGAAAATAGGCAATAAGAGATAGTAATAGTTCTTAATTTAGCATAAGAAAAAATTTGGGCTGGGCACAGTGGCTCACGCCTGTAATCTCAACATTTTGGGAGGCCAAGGTAGATGGATATCTCGAGCCCAGGTGTTCAAGACCAGGACGGGCAACATATTGAAACCCTGTTTCTACAAAAAGTTTAAAAATTAGCTGGGTGTGGAGGGTGTGCTCTTGTAGTCTCAGCTACTCAGGAAGCCAAGGTGGGAGAATCGCTTGAGCCTGAGAGACAGAGGTTGCAGCGAGCTGAGATTATATCACTGCACTACAGCCTGGGCAACAGAGTGAGACCCTGTGTAAAAATAAATAAAAGAAAAAGAAAAAGTGTGATGCCATCCTAGGCATCACAATTTGCTTGAAAATCAAAATGGGGAAAGAGAATACATTTGGGAAAGCTTCAATCAGGCCCTCAACATTTACTGGGCACCTACTATAAGCCAGGCCTACATTAAGCTCTAGGAGTGTGTTATAGACTGAATTGTGTCTCCCCAAAATTCATTATGTTGAAGCCCTTATCCCTGGTACCTAAGAATGTGACTATATTTGGGGACAATGTCTCTAAAAAGGCAATTATGGTTAAATGAGGTCGTTATGGTGGGCCCTAATCCAATCTGATTGGTGTTTTATAAGAAGAAACTTGGCTGGGCACACTGGCTCACACCTGTAGTCCCAGCATTTTCAGAGGCCGAAGTGGGTGGACCACTTGAAGTCAGGAGTTTGAGACCAGCCTGGTCAACACAGTGAAACCTCACCTCTACAAAAAATACAAAAAAATTAACCAGGCATGGTGGCATGCACCTGTAGTCCCAGTTACTCGGGAGGCTGAGGCAGGGGAATCGCTTGAACCCGGGAGGTGGAGGTTGCAGATTATACCACTGCACTCCAGCCTGGGCAACAGAGCAAGACTCTGTCTCAAAAAAAAAAAAAAAAAAATTAGTTGGGCATGGTGGCGCACACCTATAGTCCCAGCTACTCGGGAGGCTGAGGCAGGGGAATCACTTGAACCCAGGAGGTGGAGTTAGCAGTGAGCCAAGATCACACCACTGCACACTGCACTCCAGCCTGGAGACATAACGAGACTCCATCTCAAAGATAAATAAATAAATAAATAAATAAATAAGAAAGCAGCCATCTGCAAGCCAGGGAGAGAGGCCTCAGGAGAAACCAAACCTGCCAACACCTTGATCTGGACTGTCAGTGCCCAGGACTGTGAGAAAATAAATGTCTGTTGTTTAAGCCCCCCAGTCTGTGTGTGGTATCCTGTTATGGCAGCCTGAGTGGACTAAAACAGGTGCAAAGGTGGATGGAACTCACAGGCTTGTGAGGAAGTTGACCCAGAGACAAACAGTGACAATAACCAGAACAGGCTGCAGGGTGATGAGCAAATGGGGGTCCTTTAAGCAGCAGAGAGAACTGAGTCCAACAAATAACCAAGAGGGTCAAAGGATAAACTCAACTTCAAAACCGTCTGTACTGCTACTGCCTCTAGAAGCTAAATTCATCCTGGGATCCATCAGATTGGAAATGCCATCTGGGGTCAGACTCAGAGTATGAAGCTGCACCCTTACCAAAGTAGCATCCCCAACAAGGGATTTGGGATCCTGTTGCCATCCAGATGTAAACCATCCCTGAACAATGAGCATGAAAAATGCAGAGTTCCATCCATCCTTCAGCCTTAACCCATCTCCTGATGGTACCCATAAACAATCTGATCTGAATGATCAAAGAGAAACTGTCTCAGAACATGGAGCAAAAATTCAGTGAAGTGAAAATCATAAATAAAAATATAAGAGACAGGAATACAGCTTCGAGAATATCAGCTACTGTGAGAATATTGACTATTGAGTATTGAATATCAGGCATTCCTGAAAAAAAGGCAGGGAAAGATAAGAAGAAACAAACTTAACAAACAAATAGAAGAAAATGCTCCTTAACTGAATAAAAACCAATTTGGGGACCAGAATGTAAACTATAAGTACCAAGCAAGTATAATAATAATAATTTGAAAAGCAAAAAAGAGAATCCCACTTGGGCATAATCTGGTGAAATTCCCAAAATCCAGCCACCAGAGAAAGAGAATGAAACACAAGAATTGTGTTACAGGCCAGGTGCGATGGCTCATGACTGTAATCCCAGCACTTCAGGAGGCAGAGGATCACCTGAGTCCAGGAGTTTGAGACCAGCCTGGGCAACATAGTGAGAACTCGTCTCTACCAAAAAATAAAAACAAATTAGTCAGGCATGGTAGCCGGTGTCTGTAGTCCTAGCTACTCAGGAGGCTGAGGTGGAAGGATCACCTGAGTCCAGGAGGTCAAGGCTGCAGTAAGCCATGATTGTGCCACTGCACTCCACCCTAAGCAACAGAGCAAGACCTTGTCTAAAAAAAAAAAAAAAAAAAAAAAAAAAAAAGGAATTCTATTACCTAACTGAGCTCAAAACCAAACAGAAAGCCCAGAAATAAAGGGATAACACAGATCAGTGAGCCATAGCTAAAGTCTCATAAACAGTCCAAGGCCCAGCAAAGTCAAATATAGGTTTAACCAGCTGAGCTGGGGTTCTGGGTCCACACAAGAAGAGCAGGCCAGACTGGGAACTGGAAGGAGCCACCAGCATAAAGATAGGAGTTACCCAGAGTGATTTTGCTCCTGAAACCGAACTAGAACTCTACCCACAGGCCCAGGAAGCTTGCCTCGGACCCAGCCTGTACCGTGGGGGTTAGCAAAAGAACTACCTGCAAGAACTACCCCCAAGTAATTACAATGAATGAATATATTATGGTTTCCTCCTGTCCCTGAATTCAGAACTGCCCCCACATTCATTATGGGGTGCAGATGCAAAACCGTGTCTGCCCAAATCTTTTATCTAATTACCAAGTAGAACTGTACCCACTGGAGATGGTGGCATGGCCTGTGCTCCCTGCTCCCACACTTGGAGGAATGTTTGTTGGAAAACATCGAAACCACACTGCAGCTGATTCTTGTCACCATTACCGCACCCTGCTGTGCTACCCGACGTCAAGTGCATTCTGCAGGAAGCAGCACCCCTCTGAAAATGCCACTGTGGCACCAGCTACATGGTGAGCCTTGCAGATTTCAGAAACTGTCAGAAGGCAGACTGTAAGATAGTGAGGAAGGCCAGGCTTTGGAGACACAAGAGCTGGGGGGGATTTTCAAAAAGCATTGTGCTTCTTCAAACCCCAGTTTCCTCATCTGAAAATGGGAGTGATCACAACTACTTTTTAAGGTTATCATGCAGTAGATAAAATAATAACTATAACAAACAAATGAGTATTATAATGATGATGACATTTTTGGTATAAATAGATTACTTGATTTGAAGTTTTAAAAATACCCCCAATGGTTTGTTTTTATTTTTAGTTTCAATATGTTGCTGGAATTCCTGATAAAATTTGTAATTTATAGACAAAAGCTCAGTGCTTTGGGATGAGAAGAGGGGTCACCTGATGATGAGACAGCCAGGTGGGAAGGGGTCCCTGGAGAAACTCCAACTAGCCTCCCCACTGAGGTGCAGCCTCAGGAAGTTCAAGACGTTTGCAGCAGGGAGAGCCTGAGCTTGGCCCCTCCTCTTCCTGCATGGAGCCTGGCATTTGAGCTGTGGGGGAGAAACACTCTAGCAGGGACCCTGGCCTAATAAGAGTCCCTGTTTCCCCCTTTGCTTCCTTTTCACTCAATAAAATCCTGTCTCACTCACCATTCAAATTGTCTGCGAGCCTGAATTTTCAAAGAACCCCACCTTTAGCTGAACTAAAGAAAAGTCCTGCAACATTTTTGGCGCCCAACATGGGGCTCGAGAAGCAGTGAGTGAAACGGGGACTCAAAACCTCTCATTGCTGCTTCTAAGCCTTTTCCACACCCCCATCCCCTCTTTCCCATCACTCCTGGGCCTTTTCATGGCCTTTTCCTTCCTTTTTCAGGACCCACCACAGAGCAGCATCTCCCCGCCCTGCCAGGGCTGGGAAGTATGGCCCAAGAGTCCTGCACAGCTGGCTGGCTGGTTCCCAGCCACATGCTGCTGCCGTAGCCTTCTCCATCCATGGTCAAGGTGTTTAACTCTATTGGACAGTAATTAAGCTTAAACTTCTCTTCCCGGTGGAGGAACCACTTGCATAAGAATAAGAAGTTCTTCCCCAGGCATTTTTAAACTGTTTTTTTTTCTTTCCCCTTATCTACCTGGTCAAAAAGTTAACCTTTAAAGTTTTTTTTTCTTTTAGAAGACACTTTACTAGTCCAGGCTCCCTGCAACTACAACTGTTTGTATTTTCTGTAAAGTTTTAATTGTGAAAAAGGATTTGTGGGGCTAGTCTTGGGCTGTGGTCAATCTGGTGTGCTTTGCTTGTCTGCATGGTTTATGTTGCAAGCTTCCATCTTGCTTTACACCCTGGGGGCATGGCTGGTAATTGCTTGGCAAGGCTTTGTTTAGCAACCCTGCCTGAGGGGAACAGCCCTCTCAGATTTGATACCTCCATGTTTTCTTAGCCCTGTCTCTTAAAGGTTCCCACCCAGCGACTGGGTTCTCTTTTGCCTGTACTGTGTGTGATGCCTGGAAAAAGAGTTCTAACTAATTTAGTCTAAAGAAAGACAAGCACTTGGATCTAATATTTTTTAAAGGGAAGTTAAAAGCTGTGGTACCTTTCAGTTCACGTGACTTTAATCATTAAGAAATAAAAACAGCCCTAAAGACTATTGGTAAAATGCAGGTCAGATGCAAGGTTTGCTAACTGTTTTGAGGTTACAAACTGCTTTTGGGGTTTTGAGAACTATTTGACTTGTCAGCTTCACAACTGGTAGGGACTGAGGACATGGAATTAGCTATGCCCTTAATTATGCTGGAGTCAAACCTTGGCTGCACTTAGCACACAATTAAAGCAAGTTACCAAGTTTTACCTTAAAGTTAAAAATTGCTAGGAGTTAATTGAAACTACTAGAAATAGATTTACAAGCAAGGTGTGTAAGAACAGTAAAATGTGGTTTTTTGGTGAAAAGTTATAAGAAGACATGGAAATGTAAACCTTTACCTAGGGTTTAAAGATTGTTTTGAGTTAAATTAGGAAGAAGCTGAAGGTTCGAAGAAGAAGTGGAAGAATTGTGGAAGTTAATCTTGCAGAAGAGGGTCTCTATGCAAACATATTAGCTAAATTCAAGAGTATTATACCTGTAAAAAGCAAAGATTCCTCTTCAAAAACTTTCCCCTCCATCTAATTAGGAATAAATAGTAACTTCTCTTAAAAACAAAATTTAGGCCGGGCACGGTGGCTCACGCCTGTAATCCCAGCACTTTGGGAGGCCAAGGCAGGTGGATCACGAGATCAGGAGATTGAGACCATCCTGGCTAACATGGTGAAACCCTGTCACTACTAAAAACATACAAAAAATTAGCCAGGCGTGGTGGCGGGTACCTGTAGTCCCAGCTACTCAGGAGGCTGAGGCAGGAGAATGGCATGAATCTGGGAGGCAGAGCTTGCAGTGGGCCAAGACTGCGCCACTGCACTCCAGGCTGGGTGACAGAGCAAGACTCCGTCTAAAAAAGAAAAAAAAAAAATCAAAATTTATTCAAAGACCTGTGCTAACATTCTTAAATAGCTGCTAGCCGTAATAAAAAAGTCAATATACTTCATATTCTTAGGTCCCACAGTTTAGCCTAAATATTTGCCTTGGCGTGCTTATACTGGTCCAAGCAAGCATTAGGTCATAGCCTGTTCCTCTTCTTTATTTAAAGGTGTTTTTACCTTTCTCAGCATTCCACAAGTTACTTCTTCCTTCCTTTATTCTCCTCTGTCTTTGCCTCTTTTAAAAAGTTCTAAGTTGCTGGCCAATCAGGACAAATACAAAACGTAAGGTCCCGTTCCTGCCAATGAAAACCAGACACAGCAGTAGGGTGGACGCGTCAGGTTATAAATGACCCTGTCTCCTTTGTTCGATATACTCTCATGGCAAAACTGCTGGCAAGTGTAACTTTTCTGCCAAAAATATAAAAATGGCCTTGCTGAGAAAATTAAATTTATGTTCAAGTGCTCTTTCTTTACGGCACCAGGGAACAAACATTTCAAACATATGGTTTTTCTGTAAATTGAGTATTGAAATAAAAACACAACAAGGAATTCTTAAAATACTAATCTGCTCTTTGGCAAAGTTTATAAAGGTTTATAAAAGCTTTTTGTTTCTTTAAATTTCTAAGTCATCACTTTGGCAAAATAAATAACTTATAGTAATCTGGAACTCTATTTCATAATAGCAAATGTTTTAAACCTCAAACATTTACTAGCCTTCCCAAAATCAAACTTCAGTTTCAAAATTGTCTTTCCTGACATCTTGCTTTTTGAATACTTCAGAGGGCCCCTGGAGTGTCCAGAAAAGAGAAGTAAACAGGATTATTTGACATGTTTAGGTACATGGGATTGCCAAAATGATGCTCAATCTTCTTTAGGTTATATCTTGGTGAATAATGCTAATATATGTTCCAAAATTGTACAGGATTTCTAAAATTCTAATGTCTGAGTATATGCTATCAACCATAATTAAGGTTTTTATGTTAAGTTATTGTAAACCACAGAGATAACCAAACTTCTTTGTCAATTGTGTTTCTAACTGTAACTACTCTGGACATTCTGCTGTTCATAGACAATTGTTGTCTTGTTTTAATCCTTTTCAAAAGATGGTTTATAACAGGGTATAAGACTCTGACAGGTGCTTTCAGATACAATTTCTGATTGTATTTGAGACAATCAGGTTTGATAACTTTGGAGACTGTGACACTGGAATAAAGGAAAATGTACAGGACTCACAAAAAGCAGAAATGTTCACAAATATCAAACAAAACTGGAGTTAACTAAATAAGCTGAGCTCACGAAGCTGAAGTAAACTTTTTGACTTTTTCTTGGAATATTGTTGATCCTTGTTTTGTTTTTCATAGTCAAGGAAACTTGTTTTGAACTATTATGGCCTTTAGTAATTGAGTAAGGTATACTCCTATGAACGAAAACGTGGAGCATGTTTGTTTCTCTCTGCCTGGTTCCTCTAGAATTTGGAAACTATCTATGAGTATTCTTATGGCAATATAGTTGTTTGCATCAGTGCAATAGGAATCCATTTTTCTTTTGCAACAGGACACAATTGGAGAAAGTGATTATTTTACCAAGGCTTTGACTGGAAGGGTATGCTTCCCTTTAAGGAGTCAATCTCGATTCGCAGAGCCGATAAAAGCCCCATGGGGGAAACTGACCTCATACGCTCGTCTGTGCAGTCCCTGTACAGGGTTCCTGACCTGTGGAATGTCACTTTCTAACAGGTCTAACAGGTCTAGGAGCTCCAAGTTTATCTTGGGACCTTAAGAGGAGAAAATCATCCAACTCACAGGTGTTTGAGGATACAAACCCATGGTTGGGCTCAGCTTTAGAAGGTCTTATCTGAGACTTCTTGTGGAACAAACTTCCATCAAAGCCAATCCAAAAGGCCTATGTAGAAATAATTATTCTTGCTGCACTTTATCCAAATAATCAAGCCAAGAATAAGACTAAAGTTTATTTTGCGAACCATTCAGTCCTATGATCATTTGTTTTTTTAACAAACATGAGGACTGGAGAGAGAGAAATCATGTTTCCAAGCTTATATTTGTCATTAAATTCTAAACTCGCTAGTTGTTTTTAAGTTTTTGCCTACATTTTAGACTAACCCTGCTTCTTCCTGTGAACCAACCAGCAATCTCCAGCTGCAGCTCAGAAAGAACAAGAGGGATGGGAAATGTAAAAATCTGGATCAATATTCTAGTTCTGAGCAGTTATCCTGCAAATCCTGCCAGGTGATGGGAATAAATAGGATGTCCATCACCCAGAGGCTTTTTGGGGGGAAAGTAAAACCAAGGTAGCTAACCAAAGCCAAGTGGCATGCAGCCAAATCCCAGAAAGCATAACTATAGCTACCGGTTATCTGGGTGTGTCACAAGACATCCTTTCTTCTCTCTTGTTGGAGGACTCAGTTCCACATCTTCACCTTAGCATTCAGCTTATGATAAGGAGTCCATGCAACCCCCCAGAGACATATTTTTATCCTAAACTCAATTCCAAGCTTTGGGTCAAAGCCCTATGAAAGAAAACTGGATCTAAGAGATCCAGATGCAGACAAAAACAGAAGTTAAAAGGCACCGCGCAGGTGAGGGTGGTTGATTCCTGCTGATTAAGCCAAGCCCAAGCTTCCTGTTTCATGGATAAAGGCCACCTTAATATCCATGGCATAAATGAGGTCCAGGGAACTCCAAGGCTACTGACAGCAGGTCGGAAAGAGACATAGGTGAGAGCAGATAGTTTCTATTCTCTAGGCCCTCCCTGCTTCATGGGTGCAAGTCGCTTTAGCACTCATGGCAGGACCTGCCAAGGTCACCGGGACTCGAGGAATGCAAGGATGGAAGAGGGAAAGAGGATGCTCTTCCCCTTCTCCCTCAAGTACCCCAGGTATCTGTTAGGAAGAGAAGGGAGCCAGGGATACCTGCTCCTCTCTTTCTAGATGAGTAGCCCTTCATCTTCAGTCTGTGCCCCTTTAGAATGCATCCTGAATCCCTGGGACTCCTTTGAAAAAATGCCTTCTCTTTTTCCTTTCTTTTCCTCTGTCCTCTCTTCACTGATAGGTAATTGTGTCTCTGTACTATGGGACCCTCCCCTCAGATGCATCCTCCAAACTGGAAAGAGTTAATTTCCCAAACCTTAAACTGGTTGGCTTAGGACTGGGTTCAGGGGAAGGAAACCCAGAAGCCCAACATGCCGGCAAAAGGGTAAAGTTTTTTTAACCAGTTAGTTAGGCTTTTGGCCTCCCTCTCCCTGTGCAAACTGGTAAAATGCCTCGGAATTTCTGAGTTGTCCTTACCCCTGCACTTGTTTCGTATTGACACATGTTTTCTAATAACCCCATTTGTCTGTTCTTGCCTTCAGGCCATCAAACTCCAAGCGGTCATGCAACCAGAACCTCTGACAATAGCCCCTTCTGCCAGGGACCCTTACGTAGGCCTCTGAGGGAGCTCTGATTGCCGTTTCCCCAAAATGGCACCCTCTGTCAGCAGGAAGCAGATCAGTCTTCGTTCTTATCCTAAATCTAACAGCAATTAGATGTACTTCTGTCTTTTTTTGAGATGGAGTCTCGCTCTGGCGCCCAGGCTGGAGTGCAACGGCACGGTCTCAGCTCACTGCAACCTCCGCCTCCCAGGGACAAGCAATTCGCCTGCCTCAGCCACCCAAGTAGCTGGGATTACAGGCACGCGCCACCACGCCCAGCTGATTTTTGTATGTTTAGTAGAGATGGGGTTTCACCATGTTGGCCAGGATGGTCTTGATCTCTTGACCTCGTGATCCACCTGCCTTGGCCTCCCAAAGTGCTGGGATTACAGGTGTGAGCCACCACGCCTGGTCATCTGCCTCCCTTTTTAAAAAATAAAAAAATAAAAATAAAAAAAACTATCTTACAGATTAGATACGGTTGCTTCTCTTTTATTTGTACAAATTGAAACAGAAGCAACAGGATGTCATCAAAGCCCTTCCCCTAAATTGTGGGGATTTCGGGCAAGGCACGTGCCCTCTCCTGTGATTCCATTTTCCTTACTAGAAATAACAATAGAGGCATTAGCCCCTTATTTAAATACCTACTCAGCCCAGCTCTGTGGTAAGAAAACACAGTAGAAAATGGTGGCCGGGTGTGGTGGCTCATGCCTGTAATCCCAGCACTTTGGGGGGTCGAGGTGGGCGGATCACCTGAGGTCAGGAGTTCGAGACCATCCTGACCAACATGGCGAAACCCCGTCTCTACTAAAAATATAAAAATTAGCCAGGCGTGGTGGCGGGCGCCTGTAGTCCCAGCTACTCGGGAGGCTGAAGCAGGAGAATTGCTTGAACCCAGGAGGCAGAGGTGGCAGTGAGCCGAGATCCCGCCACTGCGCTCCAGCCTGAGCGACAGAGCGAGACTCCATCTCAAAAAAATAAAAATAAAAATAAAGAAAAAGAAAATGGTAAGAAATGTGGATTCAGACCTAAGAACGAAAACTTTACAACATGTAACAAGGCTTCATATAAAATGCAACCAGATCTTTTGCAAGCCTGTTTGAGCAAGTAAGGGACACACTTCATTCCAAAGACCGAGGTTTTCCTTGTCCTCTTTCCAGAGCAAGAAAACAAAGACCAGGGTGATGAAGAAGTAACTGGGAGCCACAGTGGCTGTAACGAAAGCTAGACCAGAGCACCTGGAATTAAACGATGTTTTCAGTTGGTTTGAATAGAAAGGCAGATGCGCAAAATGAATACTGTACTCAGCTTCTTTTCGGAAGCCCAAGCGACCGTGCTCTGCGGCACATTGCGGCCTTGGAGAGAACCATCAGCAATGGAGGAAATGGACTTCGCGTGTGATGTGAGGGGTTGACCGTACTTTGAATCTTGTATCCGTATCTGTTGTGTTGACAGCGTTCACACGGAGAGTTCTTTCAAACGTAAAATGTAATTCTGTTGGTCACAGGCAAAAAATCATCATGCTACATCTTTTTTTTTTCGACAATCAACTAGGGGGGCAGGGCGGGGGAGTATTCTTTTATGTGTTTCTTCCCCTATGCAATTCAAAATGCAAGGCGGTAGAATAATAAAATTAAATGCGCAATAATGGAAAAAACCGATTCCACTATAAAAAAGCTCTATTGCTCCATCTGAGAGAGAAGAAAGGGAGCTGGATAGTGTGTGCCTCTTCTCTTTCAAAACCAAACTGTAATCAAAAGCAAACAGGCTCAAAAACACAACAGATAAAACTGGAATTTGCAGCTGTGATCGAGAGACACAGAGTGAAGCAGCCCCCACACAAAGCGCGCAGCACACGGCGTTTTGTTTTATTCAGGAGACGCCTCTGAGAAGCTCAGGCCCCTCGAGTGGGGGCCCCAAGCCCTCCGCAGTGCAGACCAGCAGGCAGCTGAGTTTTGGACAGATTGGCAGCCCCAGGGCGGGAGACAGGAGTGGAGTTAAACCATCTGCAGATCGTCGACCACCAGCAAGATAAGCCCCGCAGGCACAGAAGCTGCAGGCACCGCTGTTGCATTCTATGGCTTGGGCAGGTGGGTCAGCTGCCCCGAGCTTTCACCAGCGGCGGGCGGGTGAGGCAGGGGAGGCCACTTCCTCCCTTTTTTCTTCCCGAGGAAAGCCTAACAGGAGATGTCCCTGCCCTACAAGCGGGTGTCTGAGGTTGCCCTCCCTGTGCCTTTGGGCTTGGGCGGCGAAGGCTGCGACCTCACTCAGGCACCCAGACCCTCTGGTGATGTCACCAGATAATTTTCACGGTGGATGGATGGGTCTCTCACGGCCTTCTCCATTCATGCCTCTCATCCTAGAAATCGTTTGGCTTGGTCCAAAATATTGGCCCTGGCCTGGCGCGGTGCCTCACGCCTGTACTCCCAGCACTTTGGAAGGCCGAGGTGGGCGGGATGGCTTGATCCCAGGAGTTCAAGACCAACTTGGGCAACGTGGTGAAACCCCGTTTCTACAAAAAAATTTTAAAATCAGCCAGGCGTGATGGCGGGTGCCTGTAGTCCCAGCTGCTTGGGAGGCTGAGGTGGGAGGATCACTTGAACCCAGGAGGTTGAGGCTGCAGTGAGCTGTGAACCTGCCACTGTACTCCAGCCTGGGCAACAGAGTCCTTGTCTCAAGAAAACAAAAAACAAAACAAAACAAAAAAACAGCTCTCTCCTAGACCCTCATTCCCTGTATAGATCTGCAACATGAACCCCCGCTATCCTGCACTCCTTCCCCCCATTCCGTTTAAAAGAGACTTTCACTGCCACCCTTTTCCCTCCCAGGGCCCCTCCACCCTCTGGCCATGCCTGGGGTCTGGGTCTCCCCCAGGCACTCCACTTCCCTCCAGACAGCCCAGAGCAGGTGCTATTGTTGCCACCCCAGGGCCTGTCACCATCAGGGAGGAGCTCAGCACCGCCACAGGCGGCTCCTTTGACTCCCAGCCACTCTCTGCCTTAACTCCTCTGCTCCAATGAGCTTCCCGTCCCACTTCAGCCACCTTCTCCCGCAACCACACCAGAACTTGTCTCTCCCTGAATTCCTTCCCCTCTGAAATCTGATTCTCCAGTTCGACCCTGGCATCCACCAGGGCTCTTGTTTCAGAACCCCAGTCACGACAGCAGCCAGAATTCCCTCCTTCCAGGCCGGGCGCGGTGGCTCACACCTGTAATCCCAGCACTTTGGGAGGCCAAGGTGGGTGGATCACCTGAGATCAGGAGTTTGAGACCAGCCTGGCCAACATGGCAAAACCCTATCTCTACTAAAAATACAAAAATTAGCCAGGCATGGTGACAGGTGCCTGTAATCCCAGCTACTCAGGAGGCTGAGACATAAAAATCACTTGAACTCAGGAGGTGGAAGGTGCAGTGAGCTGAGATCACGCCACTGCACTCCAGCCTGGGCAGCAGAGCGAGATTCTGTCTCACAAAAAAAAAAAAAAAAGAATTCCCTCTTTCCCACCCTGGCTTCCCAGGGTGGCTTCACCCACAACCCACCAGGCAGACCTTGCTTAGTTAGCTGTTAAGGTTGGAAAAAAAATCCAATTAGCTCTTGCTCACCAAGGGATTAACTATTCATGGGTCACCTGAGAACTGATTCATCTTCCTGCTTCAAGGAATGACCATATATTCATCTTAGGCAGAGGAGAATCAATGTCACACTCTTAAAGTTATTGCCCTAATGTCTCCTCTCCTTCCTGTCAAAGTACTGAGTTTCAAAATCTAAACACATGACTCTCACACAAATATAAAATGAACATTGAACTCATTAATGAGCAAGCCAAGAGGATAGTAAAGAGGAATCAAAGAGCATTTGTGGAATTCATCAGCATTTAAGAACAAAACAGAATGCGAGAAGGACTGCTAGGTTAGATATAAAACCGGGCCAGGCACGGTGGCTCACATCTGTAATCCCAGCACTTTGGGAGGCTGACGTGGGTGGATCACTTAAGCCTGGGAGTTCAAGACCAGCCTGGGAAGCATGGGAAAACCCCGTCTCTACCGAAAACAAAAACAAAAACAAAAAAAAACAACAACAACAACAAAAATTAGCTGGGTGTAGGTGGCAAGCAGCCTTGGGCCCTAACTACTTGGGATGCTGAGTGGTGACAATCACTTGAGCCTGGGAGGTCAAGGCTGGAGTGAACTATGATTGCACCACTGCACTCCAGCCTGGGTGATAGAGCAAAGCCATGATTCAAACAGGCGTGCACACACACACACACACACACACACACACAAACTGGTTAATGTCCTACACAGGAATAAGACTACAACCTTTCTGGTTATCTTTTCTTGGAAACAGAAATTGACAAGTTACGTGTGACTTCACTGTGTTTGGGCTTATCACCTAGTAAACGGTAAAGTTAAACACAGGTATATTCTCCCTCAAAACAACTCCTGGCTCAGCCTGTCACACAGTGTCCCAGCACAACATTGAGAGGACATGCCCCTTTCCACTTTGCCTTAGTTCTAAGTTTTGGATAATTTTTCTTAATAATTCCTCAAGAGACAAAATTCTAAACTAGTTATCTCAAAATCCCCAAACATTCCTTTCTGAACATAAAAAAAAAAAAGAAAACCATAAGTGCATTACTCACACCTCATCGGGATTTTTTTTTTATTTTTTTTGAGACGTGAGACAGAGTCTCACTCTGACACCCAGGCTGGAGTGCAGTGGCACCATCTCGGCTCACTGCAACCTCCGCCTCTCGGGTTCACACCATTCTCCTGCCTCAGCCTCCCGAGTAGCTGGAACTACAGGCACCCGCCACCACGCCTGGCTAATTTTTTTTTTTTTTTTGTACTTTTAGTAGAGACGGGGTTTCACAGTGTTAGCAAAGATGGTCTCGATCTCCTGGTCTTGTGATCCGCCCGCCTCGGCCTCCCAAAGTGCTGGGATTACAGGTGTGAGCCACTGCACCCGGTCCCCATCAGGTACTTGATGACCAAAAAGTGACTGTTGCCCGGTAGGATCTCAGACATGGCCCGGCAGTAGAAATGGTATTTTGGCAGCCCTCCAATTACACAGATGGCCACCAGCTCTCCTAGGACTGGGCCTGGCCAAAAACAGACACTGAGTTCCAGGACAGGTCATTCAGGAATGGATTAGGTATGTTTACACCTTCATGAAGATATCATAGGATTGGAACTTGAAGGAAGCTTCTGGCCAGCCTGCCTCAGGAAAATATCCCCTAGATCTTCTATGACAGATGGTGTTTCCTCTTTTGAGTCCTCCTAGACTGAGGGAGCCCAGTGTTCATCAATAGCCAGTGTTTCATCAGCCTCCCTGGCAGGGATCACTCTTAAGCTCTCTCTTTATGAATTTAGGGCCATTTCTTCTTGTTCTGTCCCCTATGAAAATGGCTAACAATTGATCAGTGTCTTCACCTAAAACCTCTTGACTAACTTAAAGACCATTTTTAAGCCATCATTTTCTGTTAGGCTAAATAATCCAAACTGTTATCATTTTAATTCTATTATTAGTTGTGCTTTGCTGAGAATCTCTCAGGTCAGGTCTCTTCTAAGAACAGAAAGAACATAATAAGGCCCCAGGGACAATGACTTCGCAAACCAGGTTGATGATCTTCCAAATCAAATTGGCTTTCTCTAAATAAAAGCCTGGCATTTCTCTCATGTTTAACAACCTAGGGAAGTTTGCTGTGATTACCCTTTAGGTTGTTTCTTATATTATTTTGCTAGTCCTGTCTTTCTTGATTGTTACTGGTAATTTTTCTAACGGGTTTTTTAACACAGCATCCTTGGTTTTAAAAATTAGGAATTGGAGTTAAAAAGAAGAAAATAAAGTCCTCGTCATCACACTCAGAGATAACAACAGCTCATATGTTGGTGCTCAGCATTTAAGTCTTTTTTCCCAGATAATTTTCTTTTCTTTTGAGATAGAGTTTTGCTCTTGCTGCCCAGGCTGGAGTGCAGTGGCGTGATCTCGGCTCACTGCAACCTCCGCCTCTCTGGGTTCGAGCAATTCTCATGCCTCCGCCTCCTGAGTAGCTGGGATTACAGGCGTGTGCCACCACGCCCAGCTAATTTTTGTATTTTTAGTAGAGACAGGGCTTCACCATGTTGGCCAGGCTGGTCACAGACTCCTGATCTCAGGTGATCCACCCGCCTCAGCCTCCCAAAATGCTGGAATTAGAGGCGTGAGCCAATATGCCCTGCCAGTTTTCTTTTAAGAAGAGAACAGGCTGTACTGACATGCTCTGTAAGCTACTTTTTTCATATGGTAACATGGAACACGGGTGGACAACTAGTGCCCCACACCCTCCCCCAGCTCAGGGTGGCCTCACCCCCCACAGCATCTGACTGTCACCATTGCCACAAACCCAATTCAACACAAAAGCAGCTCCTACGTCAGAACCAGTCCTCGCAGCAGTTCAGATAGGCCTAGGAGGCAAAATGAAATGGATCTACCCACACTGATTCATTTACCTGAAGAGAATCAGCTCAGGAAGTGGGAGAACAACACAGCCACAAGCACGCAACAGTGCTCAGACAGGAAGGCTTGGGTTGAGATGTATATATACATTTTAATTTCTCAATTGACAAGTACAAATTGTATATATGTATGGTATACAACCTGATGTTCTGATACATGTGTATATCGTGGAATGGCTAAATCAAGCTATTTAACACATACATAACTCCCCATACTTTTTATGGTGAGAACACTTAACATCTACTCTCTTTGCAATTTTCAATATACAATATATTGACTCTAGTCACCATGCTGTATGACAGGTCTCTTGAGCTTCCTCCTTCTGTCTAACTAAAGTTTTGTGTACTTTGACCAATGTCTCCCCATTCTCCCCATTGACATAATTTTGAGCATGGAAATATCATTAGATTGGCACCAATTTGGAAGAAAACCAGCCAGCGTGAGGGTCATCTGCAAGGAAGGACTGGGTTGGCCCTAAGCACGCCATTCCAGGCCACCAAACTGCTCCTTCAGTTACCACACTGGTGCTCACATTAGGGCCCTGCCATAGGCAGCTTGGTCAACCCACTGTGGGGCACACAGCACCCCAAGGAAGGTCCCTTTGCGGGGCAAAGCGCGAGGCAGGCGAGTCCCGGGGACGTTGGGGCACTTTCGGGACAAAGCTTGGCTTCTCTTCGTTAAACCATTATTTCATTAAAGAGACTGAGAGGAAATGACAAGAATTGCAGCTAACTCTTTTGAGTTTTTTGTTTTGTTTGTTTGAGACAGAGTTTCGCTCTGTTACCCAAGCTGGAGTGCAATGGCGCCATCTCGGCTCACTGCAACCTTCTCCATCTCCCGGGTTCAAGCGATTCTCCTGCCTCAGCCTCCCGAGTAGCTGGGATTGCAGGCGCATGCCACTACGCCCGGCTAATTTTTGTATTTTTAGTAGAGAGGGGTTTCAACATTTTGCCCAGGCTGGTTTCGAACTCCTGACCTCAAGTAATCCACCTGTCTTAGCCGCCCAAAGTTACAGGTGTGAGCCAGGGTGCCTGGCCTCTTTTTTTTCCAGGAAAAATCAAGTTTTTTGCTGGTGGGAATGACCATCAAACTGCATGACCATTTTGATGATGCAGCAGGGTGAGGGGAAGTTTGCGGAGCGAAGCCCCCAAGCAGGTCCGAGGGGACCGGACCTTGGGCACAGGAGATGGGAGCACCCCTCCCCTGACCCCCACCTCAATGAGACGCAGCATCAGGAACATTCCCCGGAGCGGGGCTGGAGGGTGCAGTCACAGACACAGAACAGCGGAAGTGGTTCAAACATTTGTGGAATATTTCTTCTGATTCCTCCATTTTTTCAGTAAAATAGGGAACAAAGCCAATTAGCAGAGGTAAAATGAGGGCCCAAAGGTACTGGAAGGTTGAGAAGGGAAAGAAGGACCTAGTTTCCTGGGAAGGTAGAGGTCTGGGGAGCCATGCTGCCCCCAGGAGCACCACAGGCCCCTGTGTGGTTGTGGTCATGAGACCAGTCAGCAGAGATATGCTTTTCCCCAGGCACATCCAGCCCATAGGTGCAGGCTGTGGTAGAGTCTGAGTATCATCAAGAGAGGCCTGGAGAGTTGGTTGCAGCAGTAGACTTGAAATTTAAGGAGGGTGAGGAGGGCAGTGAGGGCATGAGGAGAGACAATGGATAGCCAGTAGGATAAGTGGGGCCCTGTAGGGTTGAGGGAATGGGATTGGAGCCAGGGTATAAGAGGGAGTGAGCTAGGAGGGAAGAGCGGGATGTTTGAAATTAGGACTCTGAATAATGTCGTTTTTGGCAATGACAGGGCCTGAGGTGTAACCCGGGAGTGGGTGACTAATGTTAGATGGATGGCAGGGTGGTGGGGAGGAGACTGGGTAGCCAGGAGGCCAGGCTTTTGGAAAGGATCACCTAAGTCGCCTAGGGTCACGTGAGATTGGATTGGAGAGAGTAACAGTGGCTGGGAGCTGAAGCCTTCAAGGAACACAGGAGGTGGCCTGGGGAACCACAGATGACTGAACCCCCGATGGTTTAGCCCAATGGCATGAGATTGGGCAATGGTCTGGATGGGACAAAGAGGACTGAAGACGCCTGCTTTACCTCTAGGCCTCGTGGTAGAGAAAAGACCCACTCCTGAGAGGGCTACAGGGGAAGCAGAGGCTTCAAGGGGCCCCAGCTTCCACTGGAGCAACAAGCAGGAAATGTTTACAGAAGAGGTGGAGGTGATCAGAGACCACTGATGACTGTGAGTTCCAGGGGCCCTGAGAACAGGTTTCACGATTGGACAGGAAGTTGAGTCAAAGGAAGGAAGGTATGAAGCTGAGTGGAGATTGGGTCGCCAAGGGTGAGGGATCTTCTGGAGGGCCTGGGATTCTCATGGTGACTGTCATCAAGAATAAAGGGCATCGTAATATTAGTCCCAAAGTTCTCAAGGTAGAGAGCAGAACCAGGCTCTGGGGGTCAGGAGGTGGGAAGCAGGGGTCTATTGGGGGAAGCAGAAGTGCAAGAAGTATGGAGAATTCATGGTGGTGGTGGTCTTTTTTTTTTTTTTTTTTTTTGAGACAGAGTCTTGCTCTTGTCGCCCAGGCTGGAGTGCAGTGGCACAATCTCAGCTCACTGCAACCTCTGCCTCCTGGGTATAAGCAATTCTCCTGCCTCAGCCTCCCGAGTAGCTGGGATTACAGATGCCTGCCACCACACCTGGCTAATTTTTGTATTTTTTAGTAGAGACGGGGATTCACCACGTTGGCCAGGCTGGTCTAGAACTCCTGACCTCAGGTGATCAGCCCGCCTTGGCCTCCCAAAGTGCTAGGATTACAGGCAGGAGCCACCGCACCCGGCCTCATGGT
This sequence comes from Homo sapiens, assembly GCF_000001405.40. NCBI lineage: Eukaryota > Metazoa > Chordata > Mammalia > Primates > Hominidae > Homo > Homo sapiens. Next base: position 34,152,106 of record NC_000021.9, on the reverse strand, counting down.
AGTGGTCTTAAACCCTCTCCGAACTGCACTTTGTATAGCAAGCATTGCTTTTCTGTTTTCTTAGGTCAGAAAAATGACAAACAATCCAGGAAGGAAATCAGCAAATTATTATGTTTATAAAATATTATAAACAGGCAATTAACAGGGAGAAAAACTCAGAATGACCGTTCCCATGAAAGTTCATGCTTATTAATAATAGAGAAAATATAACTTTAAGAGACACTTGTTGACACTTATTAGACTGGCAAGGCTTTAAAAAACGTAATACCACATAGTGGGAGGTACTTGAAAACAGAAATCTTAAACCTTGCTGATGGGTGTGTAAACTGATGCAATGACTTTGGAGAGAAATTTGTTAATAACGGAGATGAAAATACTGAACAAACCAGTTCTTCCCTTCTCTAGCCAGCAGTTCTTCTCAGTTTGCACACTCACATATATGCGCCAGGAGATAGCTAACTAGCAGTAAGTCCATGGCAGCATTGCTTGAAACTGTCAAATTGGAAATGCCCATGAATAGGCAAGTGGACAAACTGGGATACAGTCACACATGGCATACTATATGACAGGAGAAATCAGTGAACTACGTCAACAAGCATCCACCTGATAGATCTCAAAATGAGTGCTGAAGAAATGAAAAACAAAAGCCTATCACTGAAGCTTGCATACCACGAATAAGAATCCACAAAACAATGAGTTGTAGCTGCATATATATGTATCAAAAATATAAAATATGGATATAAATGATACACACTGACTGATAATGGTTTGGGTCTGTGTCCCTGCCCAAATCTCATGCTGAATTGTAATCTCCAGTGTTGGAGAAGGGGCCTGGTGGGAGGTGACTGGATCATGGGGGCAGTTTCTGGTGGTTTAAGATCATCCCCCTAATTGTTGTCATGGCAATAGTGAGTGTTACTGTGAGATCTGGTTGTTTAAAAATGTATAGCCCCTCCCCACTTTCTCTCTTCCTTCTGCTCCAGCCATGTAAGACACACCTCCTTCCACTTCACCTTCTGCCATGATTGTAAGTTTCCTGAGGCCTCCCCCAAAAGCCGAGCAAATGCCGGCACCACACTTCCCATACAGCCTGCAGAACCATAAGCCAATTAAACTTCTTTTCTTTATAAATTACCCAGTCTTGGGTATTTCTTCATGGCAGTGCAAGAACAGACTATTACACTGACTTTAGATATGGCTACCTCTTGAGGGAAGGAATAGGATAAGAGGGGGTACAAAGGATTTCAACTATACCTAATATTTTCTTTAAAATAAAAGCTCTGAAAGATATATAGCAAAAATACAGTATCTATTAAATCTGAGTGGTAAGTTCCTCAAATTTGTTACATTAACTTGTTATTTTTAGGTATGTTTGGATTTTTTACAAACATAGGTTTCTAGTTTCTCAATCCATGTGCCAGTTTTAGGAAAGGAAAGGGAGTACGAATAGCGCTACAAGGTGAGGACACTCACTGTTACAGCGTCATGCTTGCCAGAACAGAGATTTAACCCCAAAACCATTTGGGTTAACAGAGCGGTTAACAGAGATTTCTTTAGCATTTTACTTAGCCACATTTATAAATAACTTCTTCATATTATTTTTAGATCTGGTAAGATATATGGAAGAGGAACAAGCTTTTAAAACATTTAACTGCTAACTTTATAAAATCAGCGCCTTTAAAATCCCCTGTGATTTTGCTTTGTGAATGACCCTTTGCTGGTGTTTTAAAAGTAATTAAAATGTATTTGGAGAGTATTTGAAAACTCCTGAGCTGTCATGGTGCCTGCAGAGGAGAGTTGCTATACTTACTAATTATCCCTTTCCTTGGCCTCACTAAACCCCATCCAATCTGCCTGTTCCTGAGGCTGGAAGGTAACAGGAGTACTGCATCCAGGCTCTCCTAGTACAGTCTGGCTCTTTCTGGCCACATCACCAAATTCTCTGCCAAGGTACTTTTCTAAGGGCTCCTTTCAAAGAGAAGGCCCCTTGCTCATGCAGATGTCATAGTTGCCTAGTGGACGGGAGATGGTGGAGGATGAAAGTTTGTGTGCATGAGAAGAGGAGGCAGGATGGTGGGAGACAGACAAGACAAGCAGAGTAAGAAAAATGGTGGGAATCAAACTCCCCTTTTTTGCAGGTAAAAGTTGGAGATTTACAGAAAGATGTCAAAAAGACCCTCAGCAGAAAACTAAGCAAAATTCCTGCATCAAATAGAGCCTATTCTTGTTATCTGCAGTAGTTGTGTTCTTTAAAGTTGCCATCAACACTGACTTAGAGAACCCTGAATTATCGCTCCTAGGGGAAATACAGGGTTAGGTTAGCCTTTGGTCACAACGCTTATGTCAACCCATCAATCCGTGAGCTTGTTTTATGTGTGTTTCGTTTTAAAGACGTTTACTACATACTGTTGATTAACATTGAACTCAAGGCCAATGGCACTAGAACTCATGGCTGAACAAGTTTGTCTAACAGGTATCTTCTCCAAAAGGCACATCACAGCCTTCTTGCGCTTAGAACACAGTCCTGCAGCACTACACTTGGGGGCCATTTGAAACAGCAAAAGCACCATGAAAAAGCACACAAATGCAAAAAAAAAAAATGGCACTAAATAGTGAAAAAGACACTTGTTTACAGTATGAGAGCTGGAACAAGAAGGCAGAGTGTTGCTTTGTTCGACAGGGAACAGACTTGTCAAGTGACTCAAATTCTTTGCTACTCTACACATACCCGTTGAATGACTACAAAAGTATCATGGGTATTCATTTTGAGGACATAAATTTTAGCAAGTAAGCAGACTCGCAAATATGGAATCTGCCAATAATGAGCATCCACGATACCAATTAACAGAGCCTGACACCTCTGTCAAAGTGTAATATCCAGTCTTTCACAAATAGGTGCTTAACATTTTGGTATCCGATTAGACAAAGGATGCTACATCCAAGTCACATCATTTAGCTCAATACAAGCTTTATGGAAACTACAGAGTCTCCCACTTATTTGGAATAGAGAGGTCAAGAGTCCATTTTGCATAATCCTTACTTCAGGCATTGTCTGGTGAACAATGCACCCTTGTCTCTTCCACTCACAATGGAACTGTCTCAAGGCAAATTGCTTTCTCTGAGAAATGTGACGATGCTGGTGTTCTGGAAGCAAAGGTTCAGATGCCACACCCAGACACCAGTGCTGCTCCCCTTCAGCAGCCCAGCGGACCTGAATACTTTGGGGATGAAGTTTGGTTCCATGAGTCTTTTGTTAATCTCACTGGGTTGTGGTGGCACTAGGAATGTGCAGGATTATCCAGGTCTTACTGTTGTCACTTTAGAGGTCAATTTTGGGGGTTGTGGTGTAGCTCTCAAAAAACTACCACCAATATGGACTTTTCGTTTCGACATGGTTTTCCTCCTGCGACTAACAGAATGTGTCTTGCCTGTATTTGGCTGTAAGCCATGTCCCTTAAAGCTTCATTTTCAGAGAACAAAAAGAATGCTGGCAATCTGAGCCCAGCAAATGACTGTGCTGACCTCTGGGACTCCTTTGCTGTTTTCTTGTGATTAAAGACAGGCCTATTCTGTTTAGAATGAGATTACTAGTCAGCCCCACAGAATCCAATGGCAGGTTATGAAAACAACAGCTATGCTTATCAGAACATGAAAAGAAGTGTGCAAAGAATAAGCCTCTAAGAAATTATTTTAACCCTTCCCCACCTCCATATCCTACCAACTACCAAGTTCTTTAATCACTGATGGAATAACTCTTCAGCAAACCAGGCAGTAACTCGGTCCAGGGTATTAGAGACCAGGACAGGCTCTTTGAGACCATCTGCTTCACTGGCCACATTTTCCATGTGAGGACACTTAGACCGGGAGAAGAAACTGAACATGGTCAAGGCTGGTGGGTGGAGAGTTCTCTGAGCAGTTCTCCAACCCAAAGTCCTATGATCATTCCACTACTGCATTTTTTCAAGGTGACCAAGAATCCCACAAATCGCCTTGGAAACTTCCCACCATCAACACCATACTTGTCTGTTTCCAGGTGCAGAAAACAGGCCAGGGACTGGCAGGTAGCATCACAAGGCCATTACAGGTGCCGTCATCTCTCTGCGGAGACCTCCTAACGCAAATGGCAGTAGCCCAGACCACAGCAGAGAGAGAATAATTTGTACTTTTCACACGCTCCTACGCACATTTCAAAGCACACACTGTTCAGGAAGGGGTTGCCTGGCGAGCACTCGCCCTCTCTAGTCCACACTGCCCACCTTCTTGTAGACATCTGCACCCCTTGCCTCAGCCCTCTTTGTACTTCTCCATGGCCAATCAGTGGAATTATTTCCTTCCTCACAAATATGCAGGCAGCATGGGGTTACTCAATTAGGAGGCATGTTTTATAGCAAGTTAACATGCACAAGACTCATTCTTGGCTCTTTGTAAAGATCTTTCAAGAAACCCTGAGCAACCTGACTTCCCAATCTTACCTCCAGCCACAAGCCCTGCAACTCTGACATTTCCACCATCCTTCTCACCATCACACTGTAACTTGCCCCCCTCCCAGGGGTTCCCAAAGCTCACCATGCAGTCTCACCACCTCCCCACCTGGCCCCACTCTCATTCCAGGCACTAGTCAATCTAGTTCTCCCCCGTCCCCGCCCCAGTTTCCTAGCACTTGGTTTAAACATTTGTTATTATATTTATTATGGGCTGTGTTTTAGACAGCTGAACAGTCCAACCCCCACGTGTGAGAGCCCTGAGGCCAGAACACTGCCCCTCTGATCTTTGTATCCTGCCCAGAGCAGCACCTGCCATATGTGTACTCTCAAAAGACACCCGTGGAGCAATGTGGAGAGAAATGAGCAGTGGGAATTACAGAGCAGGGAGAATCATGAGAAAAAAATACCTGGTCTCCAGGAGACACCAACATTTTCTGATGTTCTCAGGATTTCTGTTTGAAGACCTGAGATTTAAAACACTCCCAGGCACAGTGGCTCACACCTGTAATCCCAGCACTTTGGGAGGCCGAGGCGGGCGGATCACGAGGTCAGAAGATCGAGACCATCCTGGCTAACACGGTGAAACCCATCTCTACTAAAAATACAAAAAATTAGCTGGGCGTGGTGGCGGGCACCTATAGTCCCAGCTACTCAGGAGGCTGAGGCAGGAGAATGGCATGAACCCGGAAGGTGGAGCTTGCAGTGAGCCGAGATGGCGCCACTGCACTCCAGCCTGGGCGACAGAGCGAGACACCGCCTCAGAAAAAATAAATAAATAAATAAAATAAAAAATAAAACCCTCCCAAGGATCCCCAGCTCCCAGCGCTCCCCTTCTCTGGCAGCGAGGAAGCCTGGGGTCTGGCTCTAGGTGCAGCGTCGGAAGGGCCCAGAGGAGCAGGTCATCCAGAGCCAGCCCCTCGTGGCATAATCAGGACTGCAGGGATTGGCAACATCTACCTCCAGGAGCCTGTAAGCAGGCCAAAATGGGCTCTGGAAAGAGAGACATGACTCCCAACTCCAACTCCTCCTCCTTTTGCGGCCTTGGGGATGTTATCTATTATCCTGTAAGCCTCAGGTGTCTTAAGTCATAAAACAAAAGAATATTTGGCTTAGGGGGCTGTCGGGAGGGTAAAGGAATACCCACATTGAACTCCTGCTGAAAGCACTGTGGGATCCCTCAAGTGGGTGGGGGTACACCAGGGCTCTTCCAGACTCAACTAAAAGCTTGGAAAAGCGGCTCATGTTTTCCGTACTCTCTAATCTTTTAACCGAATACTTCATCTCAATCAACATACATTTGGTCTTTCAGCAAAAATCTACTGGGCTCCATGGTCCTTTGTTGACACTCCATGGTACAGCGCCTGTCTCCCTTCAGATGCTTCATGAACAATCCATGTGAATGGATCCACCATTGTGAATGTCATGGAGCAGCTTCTGTTGGGAGCAGGCCCCCCCCAAAATCTGGCCATAAACTGGCCCCAAAACTGGCCATAAACAAAATATCTGCAGCACTGTAACATGTTCATAATGGCCCTAATGCCCAAGCTGGAAAGTTGTGGGTTTACAGGAATGAGGGAAAGGAACACCTGGCCTGCCCAGGGCGGGGAAACTGCTTAAAGGCATTCTTAAGCCACAAACAATAGCATGAGCGATCTGTGCCTTAAGGACATGCTCCTGCTGCAGTTAACTAACCCAAACTATTCCCTTAATTCGGCCCATCCCTTCGTTTCCCATAAGGGATACTTTTAGTTAATTTAATATCTATAGAAACTTTTAGTTAATTTAGTTAGTTAATTTTAGTTAATTTAATATCTATAGAAACAATGCTAATGACTGCCTTGCTGTTAATAAATACGTGGGTAAATCTCTGTTCGGGGCTCTCAGCTCTGGAGGCTGTGAGACCCCTGATTTCCCACTTCACACCTCTATATTTCTGTGTGTGTGTCTTTAATTCCTCTAGCGCCACTGGGTTAGGGTCTCCCCTATCAAGACCAGCTCGGTAGACTAGCTTCTTGGGCCCCCAGGCTCTCATTTTCAACCTCCCTGGGCCACCTTCAAAAAACAACCCCCTGGCTTGTCACAGGCCTGAACTGTGGCCACTACTTTGGACTTGGGACTGCAGACTCTCAGGACCTCCACTCTCGTAGACTGGAGCCAGCATACTTTCCTCCAGCCAGGGGGCAGGGCCCACTGGCAAAAATAAGCCCTTCCAGACATGCTGGAAGAGGAAAGGGGTGACTCTGAGTGCTGACAGGATCATGAGGATAAATATCACCTATGTCATCAATCCTGAGCACCATATCTTAAATGCCGATGTTCCTCTTAAATTCCTTTCAGAAGTCCAAGTTTCGTATCCTAAAATGCAGCCAGTCAAGCCGAGTATTGGCGAGATCAAACCAAGTACTTCTGGAAGACTGAGCCTGTCCAAAGAGGCCCACGAATAGTCAAGGCTGCAAATCCCAGGAAGATGCCCTTTCCAAGGACATGAGCCCCCCAGGGAGCATCCTGAAGCTGATGCCTCACCCGATGCCAGCCTTCTGCCTTCCATGCGTCATTTCCCATTGGCAACCTCCTATCCCTTTGCGCTTAACTCCTCACAGGTCTCCAGTCTCCCAGATCTGGCCCCTCAGTTCCTTGTGACATCACACGACTGGCTCCTCGCCCTTCAGAGCTCAGCTTGCACGTGCCCTCCCCACTCCATCCTCTGTACTCCCCCCAGCAGCTCCTACACTGTACATACTTTGTCTGCCTCCATGCCAATTCTCAGCTCCACGAGGCCAGGGCCTGTCTTTGTCTATGGCTCTACTGCCAGCACTTTGCCATTATCATCCCCTGAAGGAGGAGACCAGAGCCTCGGACCACCACCAGCCTGGGCAGGGAGACCGGATGCTCTACTCTGACAAATAAGTGGCCTGGAAACCACCCACCTGCACGCCCTGCTCCAACACTAGACATCCCGACGGGCCAGCAGCTGCCAGGGGATGAGGACCCCTCAGTTGCTGAGGATCCAGCTATGCACCAACCACTCACAGGGGAAAGACAGTGGCTTCGTTTTGGAGCTTCCAAGGAGGGGAACTGGCATACTGCACGGCTGCCCTACTTTGCCAGCCTCCTTCCTAATGCTCTCTAAATTGTGCCACAGGATTGCATGACCTGGAATACCCAATGGCGTCTTGTCAGGGACCGGCAAGTGCAGGAAAAGAAAGTGCCAGTGCTACACTCGGGCCATGCGGCCAAATGCCACTAACTGAGTGGTGACAATTCACTCCAGACACCCAAGTGCCTTGTTTAACCTGAGAGGGCAAAGACAACCTTACTGTTACAAGAAGGAAAAAACAGATGGCATCAGGGTCCCTAGTTCAAGATTCCAGCTATCACTGGCAGTTGTGGGGTCAAGGGCAAATCTGAGTGGGGGTTTCCTAGTCCAAGCAACAGGTATAGCAATGCTGCCTTTCCTGGGGCTGCTGAAAGGAGTAACTGAGGGAATGGACATAAGTGTGCAGCATGGCACATGGCGTGCGTTTAATAAACTCCAAGCAAAATGGACCTCAGATCGCACCGAGTCAAAGAACATCAGGACACAAAGTGTCTGCTAGAGAGTTGGTGCTCTCGCGAGCCCTGACCGAGAGCCTGCGCTTTCAGGAAATTCCGAATAAAACAGGAAGTAGCATATTTTCCCAGATAATCTTTACCCCTTTTATTTCCAGTCTACAGTTCTTAATGAGCCTCTTCACTGAATTATTGCTCTTCAGAGAGACTTTTTATAGCTTTTTGCCTCTGGAGGAAGTTAAGCTGGATACCGCCTGAGTTCTTAATAAGCAAGGCGACAACACTGATGACCCAGTGCAGACACAGGCAGCTGCTACAGAGGGAGGAGGCGCTGGGCCAGAGCTGGGAGACCAGGCCCTCCTGGCGCTTTGGGCATCTCTTGCACATCTCTCCATCCTCCGGTCTTGCCATGGTTAAAAACAAAGCAGAGGCCAGAACTCTCGGCTCCTTCCTGCTTTTCAGAGATTCCCAGAACCGGCACTTCCCCCAACATTTTATGTGCAGAAGTTCCGTCATCTGTGATGGTGACAGACACCTTGTGCAGGGCACCCCCTGGGAAGGGGGAAGGGCTAGTCAAGTCTTTCCAATCAGCCCCGAGGAGACCGAGGAAGAGATGCAGGTGACTGTTTTGGGAAACGACCTCATCCTCACCCATCCTGGAAGCCATGCCACTGCCAGGAGGCTACTTCCTACAAGAGGCCTGCCCTGGGATGAGGGACAGTGGAGGAGGCAGGTGCTAGTAGCAAAGGAATGACAGGGAGCAGCATGAGACCTTAACTGCACCAGAACACACGTCCCACCACAAAGAGCAGCACAAACCACAATGACAAGTGAGGTGTGCAGGGAAAAGTCACTGATTTTGTGGCGTGCCCAGTAAGGAACAGACAGACACCCCTCCTCCCCTGCCCCACCCCGGCTCTGGACCTCAGTGGGTACTGGGTAATGCCTCCCCGACACTGCCAGGCACTGCCAGCTAGACTGGAGCTGCGGGGCCCTGGAAGTGCACTGCACTGGGTAAGTAAAGGGACAAAACACCTCCCACATTCCTACAATCAAGTTTATTACTCAAAGCAAAAGTTGTCCATATAATACATTGGTCGTCAATTTTTATTTCCACATGGTTACACAGGCTGAATGACTAGCTCACAATCCCAGGAGGTATTATAAGTTTTGCTCTTCAAAAAATGGTGTTACTGTTGTAAGGGGAAAAGTCCTCAATGACAAAGAAATGACACTAATGAAAACAAAATCAAGAACGATCCACTGGTACTGCAGGTTACAGAGAAGCTGTCAGTGAGCAGTTCCCCACCTCTCGCAAGCAAAGGGGATCAAGGGCTAAAAATACCTTAGAAAAATCAAACAGCACCTGCAACACATGCTTATATAAAGGCCAAACTTGCAAATTCTTCCTTCTCGTCCATGCTGCCCAAATGTGAAGGAATTACATATAAGGCTAAAATCTGGCGAATCTTCTCACTTCTTCCTCTTCTTTGTGGAATATAATTTTTCTGCGAGTGGGACTGGGACAATCCCTTCACATTCTTTTAGTTCCTGGGTCAGAGGGTGTTTGACAATATTCCCTCTAATCACATCTATATCTCGAGACAAGTGCTCCACCATGCTTTCAACAGCTGCGGTGGGTGCATAAAAATCCACCAAGAAATACCTGCAATAAAATAAAAACTTGTGAGTGTCTGCATTTGAATTGTAATAATTCTACTATTTTGGTCAGTGTTTCCATTTTACTCTTCCTAGACAGACATCAACTACACACAAACACACACATACACACACATAACCTTGTCAAAATAGAAACTACCAGCTGACCAGCTAAACAGAATTGCAGTGTTAAGCCCAATCTCCCTTTTTCTATGGTCTTTCCCATTACACTCTTGTGAAAATATGAATCCAAACCAGCTTTATGGCAGCAAAAACACACTGTGACATTACAGATGGTGTGAAGTACTAGAAAGCATGGGGGAAAACTTCTAATCCATTGACGAGACTGAATTTTCCAAACTATTCATTAATGTTGTGTGTGTGTGTGAAAACATCTATTAGATACTCTTCTAACTTTTCAAAGGATTTTCCCTGTGAACTAACACACCTAAGAGAACCATGAGCCCACAAACATGGGAAAAGATTAAGAAAGGCATGGGACTGGTCTACAACTATGTTCAATACGGACAAGGAACAAAAAGAAAATTACTGGAACCTTAAGTAAGAAAAAGAATTTACCACTCATCACTCAAACCAGACTAATGTCGACGGGCATCCCGCACGGCTCACTGGTCTTCAAAGATTGACAAGGTCCTCAGCAGCCTGCTGGCTGACAGTGCAAGGAAAGAGCCCATCCCTACCCACTCCTGGCTCCTCTCAGACCTAAAAGGTTAAGCCTCCCTTGTACTGTCTGATTTGGACCATTATGTGACTAAAGGTCAGTTTTCAGGGCAGTATTTCAAAATCCTGCAATGTTCTAGCTGGTTAAAACTATGAAATTTTCGTCATCGCTTGCCTTGTTCTAGGCATACATGTGGTTCTCAGGACTCCCAAGCACATTCCCCTCCCAGGCCTTTGTACTCGCTGGTCCTTCTGTTGGAAATGTTCTCCGCCCAACTTCCACATAGCTCATCTCTTGCTTCTATCATGTCTCTGTCCAAATGTCACCCTCTCAGAGAGACCTTCTGTGCCCACTCTCCTAAAGCAGCACCCTCCTAGCTCCACCAAGGCCCCTCACTCTCCATTGCCCTCACTCAAGGCTTTGTTTTGTTCCACAAAGTACGTTCTCACCACTGGCACAGTATGCATTTGCTTACTGTCTGCCTCACTCCACTAAAGCACAGTTGCCATAGGAAGAAAGGCTCTGGTGTTAACCCTAGCACTCCGAATAGAGACGAACACGGAGCAGGTCCAGAGTAAATCTTTGACCGTGATGGTGTTAGCATGAAATGTGGAGCTCTCACAGGAAGCTGGGAAGATCAAGTTGAAAAGGAACAAATTCAGCAAGGAAGGAACTTATGAGAAAAGGGATGGCATTTTGTGTAATTCCAGACAAAGGGCAAAGAGGTTCAAAACTTGTAAGTAAATTTACCAAGTGACCATTTACTCTTAAAGCCAAGCCTAGTGGAATAATTATTCAAGTAAACATATAATTAAATAAAAGGACAGAAAAATATATACCAACCAAAAACACTAATCAAAAGCAAGCTCAAGTGGCTACAGTAATATCAGACAAAGCAGACTTCAGAGCAAAGAAAATTACCAGGAATAAAAAGAGACAATACATAATAATGGGTCCACCAAGATGTAACAATCTTAAATATACATGCACCAGATAACCGAGCTTCAACATATAAGAACAGCAGAACTGAACAGAGAAATGGACACATCCAGAATCACAGCTGAAGTCTTTTAACATTCCTCTTTCAGTAATCGATAGAACTACTTATACAGAAAATCACCAAGGATATAGAAAAAGTGAACACCAACATTAACCAAGTGGAGTTAACTGACATTTATAGAACCCTTTACCCAACAATCACAAGACAGACATTCTTCCTAAGTGTACACAGAACATTTACCGAGGCCAACCATATTCTGGGCCATATAACATAAAGGGATTCAAGTTATACACAAAAATCTTCGAAAAATGCCTCAACACTTGGAAACTAAACAGATATCTAAATAAGCTGGACAAACAGGTAGAAGGAGAAATCAAAAGGGCAATTACAAAGTACTTTGAATTGAATGAAAAAGAAAATGCTACAAATCAAAATTTGGGGGATGCCATGAAAGCAATACTTGTCAGGAAATTCATATCTACTGAACACCTAGGTAAGAAAAAAAAAAAGGCCTCGAATCAATAGTCTCAGCTTCTACTTTAAGAAACTAGGAAAAGAGCAAATTAAATCCAGTAAGATGAGAAGAGAGAGAGAGAGGAGAAATCCCCAAAGCAGAAAAAAGAAAAACAGAGAACATCAATGAAACCAAACACTAGTTCATGGAGAAGATTCGTAAAATTGATATGCCTCTATAGCCAGACTGTTGAGTAAAAAGAGGTAAGGGCCTCTATAGCCAGACTGTTGAGTAAAAAGAGGTAAGGTATAAATTAAAGGCACTGGGAATGAGAAAGGTGAAACAACTACAGATTTCATAAATATTAAAATAATAGGAAATATTATAAAAAATTTTTGCAAGGTCAGGCGCTGGGGCTCACACCTGTAATACCAGCACTTTGGGAGGCCTAGACAGGCAGATCAGTTGACACCAGGAGTCTGAGAAAAGCCTGGGCAACATGGTGAAGCCTCATCTCCACAAAAACTACAAAAATTAGCCAGGCATGGTGGTGTGTGCCTGTAGTCCCAGCTACTGGGGAGGCTGAAGTGTGAGGATGACTTGAACCCAGGAGGTCCACGCTGCAGTGAGCCGTGATTGTATCACTGCATTCCAGCCTGGGTGACAGAGCGAGACTCTGTCTCAAAAAAAAGCATTAAATTTAACAACTCAGATGAAATGATCAAATTCCTTGAAAAACACAGACTACCAAACCTCACTCAAGAAGTACAGATAACTTGAATGGCCCTATATCTTATTAACGAAATATGTGTAGTTTAAACCCTTAAGCCCTATATCTTATTAAAGAAGTTTAAAAGCTTCCCACAAAGAATATTACAGGCCCAAATGACTTCACTGGTGAATTACACCAAACATTTAAGGCAAAAATACCAATTTTTTTTTATTATACTTTAAGTTTTAGGGTACATGTGCACAATGTGCAGGTTAGTTACATATGTATACATGTGCCATGCTGGTGTGCTGTACCCATTAACTCGTCATTTAGCATTAGGAATATCTCCTAATGCTATCCCTCCCCCCTCCCCCCACCCCACAACAGTCCCCAGAGTGTGATGTTCCCCTTCCAGTGTCCATGTGTTCTCAATGTTCAATTCCCACCTATGAGTGAGAACATGCGGTGTTTGGTTTTTTGTCCTTGCAACAGTTTACTGAGAATGATGATTTCCAATTTCATCCGTGTCCCTACAAAGGACATGAACTCATCATTTTTATGGCTGCATAGTATTCCATGGTGTATATGTGCCACATTTTCTTAATCCAGTCTATCATTGTTGGACATTTGGGTTGGTTCCAAGTCTTTGCTATTGTGAATAGTGCCGCAATAAACATATGTATGCATGTGTCTTTATAGCAGCATGATTTATAGTCCTTTGGGTATATACCCAGTAATGGGATGGCTGGGTCAAATGGTATTTCCAGTTCTAGATCCCTGAGGAATCGCCACACTGACTTCCACAATGGTTGAACTAGTTTACAGTCCAACCAACAGTGTAAAAGTGTTCCTATTCCTCCACATCCTCTCCAGCACCTGTTGTTTCCTGACTTTTTAATGATTGCCATTCTAACTGGTGTGAGATGGTATGTCATTGTGGTTTTGATTTGCATTTCTCTGATGGCCAGTGATGGTGAGCATTTTTTCATGTGTTTTTTGGCTGCATAAATGTCTTCTTTTGAGAAGTGTCTGTTCATGTCCTTTGCCCACTTTTTGATGGGGTTGTTTTTTTCTTGTAAATTTGTTTGAGTTCATTGTAGATTCTGGATATTAGCCCTTTGTTAGATGAGTAGTTCAAAAATTAATTCAAGATGGATTAAAGACTTAAATGTTAGACCTAAAACCATAAAAACCCTAGAAGAAAACCTAGGCATTACCATTCAGGACACAGGCATGGGCAAGGACTTCACATCTAAAACACCAAAAGCAATGGCAACAAAAGCCAAAATTGACCAATGGGATCTAATTAAACTAAAGAGCTTCTGCACAGCAAAAGAAACTACCATCAGAGTGAACAGGCAACCTACAAAATGGGAGAAAATTTTCGCAACCTACTCATCTGACAAAAATACCAATTCTGATACAAATTCACCGAGAAAAAAGGAAGACACATCTCAATTTGTTCTGTGAAGCCAGCATTACCCTATACCCAAACCAAAGACATTACAAGAAATCAGATGAATGTCCCTCAAGAATACACACTTTAAAATTCTAAACAAAATTTTAGCAAATTCACTACTATCATATATTAAAAAATACAATATACCATGACCAAGCAGGCTTTATCCCAAGAATGCAAGATTGGCTTAACATTTGAAAAAAAATGTAATTCAAATTAAAACATATTAACAAACTAAAAAAGAAACACCATATGATCATTTCAACAAACACAAATGAAAGCATTTAACAAAATCCATAGCCATTCCTGATTAAAAAAAAAAAAATCTCAGCAAACTAGGGATAGAAGTGACCTCCCTCAAACTTATAAAGAGCATCTTTGAAAAATCTACAGCTGACATTTCACCAGCTGGTGAATATCTAAATGTTCTTCCCCTAAGACTGGGAACAAACCAGAAAGTCCACTGTCACTTCTATTCAACACTGAAATGGAGGTTCTAGCCAGTGCAGTAAGGCAAGAAAAAGAATAGGTACCTAGACTGATAAGCAAAAAGTGAGACTGTCTTATTTGCATATGACATGATTGTGTTTTGAGAAAGTATTAAGAAATCTATAAAAAAAATAGAACTAATGAGTTTAGCAGGATTGCAAGATACAAAAATCAATGTTATTTCTATATACTAGTAACAAATAATCAGACCTTGAATTAAACATTCAATACTTGCAGAGAAATCAGACAAAAGGTATGCAAAACTACAAAACGCTGCTGAAAGAAACAAAATCTATCAGGTATATCTTGTTCACGGGTAAGAAGACTCAAAATTTAGATGTCAACCCTCTCCAAGTTAAACAAAAATTGAGATCTATTATTTATTTTACTGAAATAAAATCTATTGACATTCAGTAGAACCTCAATCAAAACCCTAGAATATTGATTAGAAAGTTCATAATGGATCTAAAACAGCCAAAACAACTCTGATAGAGAATGTAAGTTGAAGGACTAACACCACCTGATTTCAAGACTTATTATAAAGCTATGGCCATCAAGACAGTATGATATTCATGTACAGATACACAGAGAGATCAAAAGACTAGAATGGAGTACAAAAATAGAGATTTACAACAAATGGTGCTAAAATAATCCAGTATCCACACGCAAAAAAACCGAACTTTCTTCCCTACTTGTACCATTTAAAAAATTAACTCAAAATGGGACAGATTTAAATGTAAAATATAAAGCTATAAAACTTAGAAGCTTTTGTAAATTTGGATTAAGCAAAGTTTCCTTAGACACAACACCAAAACCAAAATCCATAATAGAAAAAATTGATAAATTAGATTTCATCAAAATTAAAAACTGCTCTTTGAATAAAAAGCCACTAAGATTTGCGAATTAGAAGTCTGATAAAGGACTTGTATCTAGAATACAAATAACTCTCAAAACTTAATTTAAAAAAACTTTTAAACAATGGTCATAAGATTTGAACAGACATTTCACAGAAGACATACGATGGCAAAGCAGCACATGAAAAGATGCCTAAAGCCATTAGTCATGAGAGAAATGCAAATTAAAACCACAAAGAGATACCTACTAAAGTGCCATAAAATTAAAAAGGCTGACCACACCAAGTGTTGGCAGGGATGTAAGAAAAACTAGCATTCCATGGATGTGGTGGCTCACGCCTGTAATCCCAGCACTTTGGGAGGCCGAAGCAGGCAGATCACCTGAAGTCAGGAGTTCGAGACCATCCTGACCAACATGGTGAAACCCTACCTCTACCAAAAATACAAAAATTAGCCAGGCATGGTGGCACGTGCCTGTAATCCCAGCTACTTGGGAGGCTGAAGCAGGGGAATTGCTGGAACCTGGGAGGCGGAGGTTGCAGTGAGCAGAGATCGTGCCATTGCACTCCAGCCTGGGTGGCAGAGCAAGACTCCGTCTCAAAAAAAAAAAGAAAAAAGAAAAGAAAAACTGGCACTCCAGGGTGGCACGAGGTCCACGCCAAGTAACAGAGACACTCGGGCTGTGCCCTCTGGATGACCGAGTGGGAGACAGCACCAGCAGTGGTAGAGACCCCTGACACCAAGCTCTTTGGGAAGTGGACGCTGTGCAGATCAATGATGCAGCACAAATGATGATATGCAGATCAGTGACATTTCCCTGCAGGATTCCATTGCAGTGAAGGAGAAGTATGCCAAGTACCTGCCTCACAATGCAGGGCCTTATGCTGCCAAACGCTTCTGCAAAGCTCAGTGCCCCATTGTGGAGTCCCTCACTAACTCCATGATAATGCATGGCCACAACAACAGCAAGAAGCTCATGACTGTGCGCATCATCAAGTATGCCTTCCATTTCATCCACCTGCTCACAGGCGAGAACCCTCACCTCCAGGTCCTGGTGAACACCATCATCAATGGTGGTCCCCAGGAGGACTCCACAGGCTTTGGGTGAGCAGGGACTGTGAGATGACAGGCTGTGGACGTGTCCCCACTGCACCATGTGAATCAGACCACCTGGTTGCTGTGCACAGGCACTCTTGAGGGTGCCCTCCGGGAGATCATGACCATTGCTGAGTGCCTGGCAGATGAGCTCATCACTGCCACCAAGGGCTCCTCCAACTCCTTTGCCATCAAGAAGAAGGATGAGCTGGCATGTGTGGCCAAGTCCAACCGCTGATTTTCCCAGCTGATGCCCAATAAACCAGTCTGCCCTTTGGGGTAACCCCACGCCACCACAAAAAAAAAAAAAAAAAAAAAAAAAACCGGCTCTCATATACATTGCTGGTATAGTTTGGCACTTTCCTAAACATACACCTACAGTTATGATCTAGCCATTCCACTGCTAGGTATTTACCCCAAAGAAATTAAAGCATGTGTCCACACAACAACTTGTACACAAATGTTCACAGCAGCTGTACCTATAACAACCCCAAACTGGAAAAAAACAAATATTCACTACATACAATGCCATACTACTCAGCAATGAAAAGGAGTGAACTATTGATACACACTATTGATCTCAAAATAATTATGCTGAGTGAAAGAAACTAGAGTAAAAGGGGTCCAATACCATCCAATTCTATGTAAGTCTAAAAAAAAAGATGTTCCTCAACTTACAATATACGCATTTCGATAAACCCGTAAATTGAAAATATTTTATGTTGAAAACGCATTTAATACACCACCTAACCTAACATCACTTAGCCAAATGCCCAGAACGCTTAGCCTACAGTTGTGTAAAATCATCTAACACAAACCCTATTTTACATTAAGTGTTGAATAGCTCATGTAATTTTACGGAATACTTTACTGAGAGTGAAAAACAGACTGGTTGTTTGGGTATTTGAGTACGGCTTCTACTGCATCTGCAATCACTTCTGCACCATCATAAAGTCGAAAAAAATCGACAGTGAAAGAAAAAAGATCAGTGGTTGCTTGGGATGAAGGACAAGTAGAGGAAGGAATCGAAGGAGGAGGAGGAAATTTTAGGGGTGACAAATATGTTTATTATCTTGACCGTGGTGATTCTGTGAGTGTATACATATGTCAAACCTTATTAAATTATACACTTTAAATATATGCAGTTTATTACATGCTAATCATCGCTATAAAGCTGATGATTTTAAAATGGCAGTTTAGAAGCTGAATGGGCAGGACTTGGTCAATGAGCTGATGTGGGATGGAGGCAACAGGGAGCAATTACAGCTGATGAAGACTCCCAGGGTTCCTTAAGCAACGAAATAAAAACGGTACAAACGAATCCACTATTCCACAAACTTCTTGAAGCAGTGACTTGCACATTTGCTCACTGACAAGACTGCCACTTGGGCTCACTCTGAAAACTACACATAATCCTGGCCACATTTTCCAAGGTTTAATTCCACTTGCTTATTTCTACTCCATATAGCAGGTAATAGGGTTGCAATGACCCAACTTATGAATTACTCATTTATTCAAGATTTAATTATTGATTACTTACTTTGAGTTAGGCTCTGGAACAGAGCTTAAAATAGTGTGATCAACCTCAAATCACCACCTCCTTGCAACCCTCAGCCTTTTACCCAGTCACTCCCCTTGCCCCACAATAATTCCATTTGGCCACCTGGTGGGCAGTACAGGGAACTCTCACCCAACAGGGGCCCAATGCTTTTTTCCTTCCCATTTATCCATTTGCTCTTTCACTCACTATTCATCAAAATGTCCTTCCAATCTACCACGGACAAGTTATGACCTCACCCTGTCTGCCAACATTCCCAACACACTGAAGTCTATAGCAGGTAGTTTTTCTCTGAGCTCCCGCCTCTTCCTTGGCCTTGTCCAGTTTCCCTAGAAGCCTTCCTCTCTTGCTTCATTCCATTTGAAGCCCTGTGCTTAGAGTAATGTGCTGCTGAAATGCCATGCATCAGGAGGGAGGCTCTAGCAAGAGCATGACATGCTCTGGCCATCAAGTAACCCAGACACCACCACTGCCGAGTGCTCCATGCCCCTCCCTCCAGAGAGTCCACAGGAAGTCCAAGCCTGCCCTTCCTTACAGTCAAGTATTCAACTTATTCAAATAGCACCTCTGGGGCTGTCTTGGTCTTACTTATGATATTGTTCATAGCAAGCACTGCTTTCTTCCATTTTCCATTCAACTGCTTCACAGGGTTAGAAGCTTGTGAGCTAGCCTAGGAGTCTCAACATGTTCTAAGAGAAAGTGTGTTTACAGATGCCAACAACCAACTCAACTGCCCACTAATCAATTCTCATCCAGCCCTCCTGAAAGTGTTCTCCATATACTCAGCACTCACTCAATAATCCTAAGAAATACACCCAAAGCTTTTGGATTCTATGATGTGATAAGGGTAAAAAGAATACCCAAGGATGGAAACAGGAAGCCAGATATATCAGAAACCTCATATTTCTGAACTTAAAAAAGAAGTGTCTTTCATAAGACTCTAATTTTCAAAGTACTTTCACAGCTTTCAGACAACTTTTGAGGAAGAGGATGAAAGAGAAGTGGCAGCTCCACTCCGTGTGGCAATTGAGGAAAGGGAAGAAGAGAAAGTGGTGCCGAGTGTTGGTTGGGGTCCAGCAGCCCTCTCCCCAGCAACAATACTCCTCTAGGAGTCTTCAAAGTGGTTTCCTACACGTTGCCTCCTTTGAGTCGTACAATTTAATGTAGTTAAGAAGAGAGACTCAAAAAGGTTAAGTCATTAGCCCAAGGTCACTCAGCTATGAAGTGGTCACTGCCAGGATTCAAACAGAGCAGGTCTTTTGACTCCAGGACACAAGAAACCACAGATAGCTTTGGGACCAAATGGGTTACAGAATCATAGACTGGAAGTGCTGGAAAGGACCATAAAGACAACGCAGCCTAAACCTTTCACATGAGCAAACTGAAGCCCAGAGGGGAACTGATAGGCCCCAGGTCACAAAGTGAGAGTCAAGCTCCGGACTCCAGACCCCACAGCTCCCCACTCTGTATACTGTATCTCTTGCTACCTAGTACCCACATGTTGGAGGATTCTCAAGGATAAAGAGAAAACCTAGTTAAAGACCTGGAAATCCTAACACTGGGCTTTCCTAGCTTCGGGAGGCTCCCTGTTGCTACCAAAACCCCTCTCTTGCCTTCACCCTCCTAACTGCTCTGACTTCCTGCCACCAGGCATGACAACGCTCCTTCAGCAACCAACTAAACGAGCACAAGCCGGCATGCACAGCTGGTGACTGGCATCTCATGCTTGTCGTCCTGCTGCTATGCGCCCGGGGCTGATGTGGGCAAAGACTGCTTCCACTCCCATGGCTCCCTATTACACCGTGGAAGTTTCCACAGAAAGAAAACGCTACCAAAACAGCGAAGGTGAGAAGTGACTCCGAGACAGGCAGACCTTACTGTATTCGCCACTCTCCGAAGTTGAACCTCTTACCAACCCCCTCCCGACCTCTTCTCCCAGGGAACCAAGATGTCTCTCCCAGGCCACAAGAGAACTGACCAGAAGTCCAGGATAAAGTCAATCTCTGCCTGCTTCAGTGACCCAAGTACACAGATAAATGGTCCATTATGGTTTTCCCACACAGGAATGACCTTCACCAATTCCTGGTTGCTTCCAGTACATATCCTTTTCTTCTTACCTATTCATCTGGGCAAACTTAACTTGTTAATGAGCATCTACTACAGACAAACCTCAGGAGGTTAAATGGATGAGGCACACATGGTCTCATCCTCCTGGAATATGCAGCCCAGCTGGGCAGAGAGGCTGTACGAGCTGCTGCATGAGCAGAAACCCAGGCTTCCACCGCAGTCCTGTGGGAGACTGTCCATGACAGGCAAGGACCCCTGACTCACTGCTGGGCTTTGCTAACTACAGATGACCTAAGGACTGAGAATGAGACTTTTTACAGCTATGACAACACCAAGTACAGTCCCGCATTTCTATTTTTACACATGAAGAAAGTCAGGCCTAGAAACAACCTGTGTGGGGTGGTGGGGCTGGGTGGCTTTTGATGCCTGCGAGGATCCCTTTCTCATGACAGCACAGGTCCACAAGAGACCTACAAAAATGGGAGTTAGGCTGAAAAAATGGCCTTGGAACTAACTCCCTTGATGCCCGCTCCCTGCATCCTCATGAAGGTTGCCATGGAGAAACCATTCTAACAATCAGAGGAGCTGCTGTTCAAGGGAAGGTGACCAGAAAAGGGGCTCAGTGTCTCCAGGGGAGTTAGAGCCCTCTGCCCCAACTTCCTCCTGACCCTGGGAAAAGAGAGAATCAAGAGGACTCCACAACCACAATGAGCTATCAGTGTCTGCTTCTTCCCCAGCCAAACTAGGCAGAATCAAAACACAAGACCAGAAGTCCTAACGCACGTGGACTCACGATCAACTCCTCACTCAAGGCACAAACGTCTGGATTTGACTACATTGCAACTGACTAGACATGCCCCAAAGCTGACATTCTTACTTAACAAAAGCTCTCCAAATAGCTAGTTTTCCATTTTCCACTTCTACTCTTGGTGATTGAATCAATAAGTACACAGCTCATTTTGGGAAAACAGTCTAAAATCTAATTACGTTACACATTCCCAGCACCTTCGACCATGTGCTACATGGCACAAGTGACATGGTTCCGCCTACCAGGTAGCCAGGGTCCATGCAAGCACCAACATTGCCTTGAACACAAAGCCGAGCAGTGTTTACATTTTAAAGGTTTGTTTTTACATGTGTGGTGCTAATTATAGAATCACCACTTCTATGAAGTTGCTATCAGCTTCACAAAAGCATCTCTCTTTTCTATAGAAAAGCACGTAACTTTGACCCACACTAACTCTGCAGAAGTGGAAGTGAGGAGATGACTGATGCCAGGCAAGAAGTAACCAAGAAAGGTTCAGGACACTAATGCATTTCTCACTGCAGATAACAGTGTTTGAAAGCTGGAGCAATAGTGAACTTCTTCCTAGGTAGAACTTGCCCACGTGATCTTCCAGGTGATAATGTGCCCTCCTTTATATTTCTTAAGACACTCACATGCTACAAAACTCTCTACTACATGGCCCAAACCCTCTAGAGATCTGAAAACACTCAGAGAAATGGCTTCCCCAAGACAGACTGTGCCCCAATACTGGAAAACAATGCCACCAAAAACACTCCATTCACAGCAGCATGGTTGTAAGAGAGCCAGCAGCTCTCATGTCCCTTCTGCCCCTCCCCTGGAGAGGCCTAGCCCCTCCACCATTCAGTCACCATGCAGACTGCCCGGTGCTGCCAGCCCTTCCCCGACTCCCCTAGTTGTCCAGGGGGAAAACTGTATTTTCTGACAGTGCCCTTAAATGTAAAGGTTGTATTTTCTTTATTCACTTTTGTCTTAACCCTGTATTTACAAGTTTTCCATAAAAAGAGCTTGCTTGAATTTGAGTTACATTCTTTGTCTCTCTCTCACCCTCCCCTTCTCCCTAGCAGACAAGTGGAAATTTCCACTGAAGCACTCAGTGGCTCACAGTGGGTGGGGGGATGGGGGAGGGGGATGGGAGGGCTTTGCAGCCCTGAAGCATCCTTGAGCCTTTTTGAAGATAGGAAACAGATCTGTCTAAATGCCAGTTCCTAGACCGTCTCAGTTAAACCTTGTTGCATTCAGGCTTCACCGAGGCAGTGAATTATTCACCTTCAAACTGAGGTACCCTCTGCATGGAAAAGCCCCATTTCTTTTTATATCTGTTGGGTCTCATACATTTTCAAAACCACTAACACTAAACCTGCTGCAGAATCCTTACAAATCTTGGGGCACTGCCACTAAAAAGAAACCTCCAAGGCCACAGCAGCCCTGTCTGAAAACCTGGTGTGGAGTACCTACACACGAGAACGGGGTCAGAACACTGGCAGAAAGGCACGAGAACATGGAAATGTTAGCTAACGGGAAAACTACAGAGGAGAATCAATCTCCTCTAGAGAGGGTGCCAGTGCTCATGGAGTAAGCTGCAGACACATTTGGGAAGCGAGTCAGTAAAATTCCACTGATTCACCATGGAGCTGGTTATTTTTATCATTCTGCTTACCCGTAAATAGAAGGGCATCTTATATGTAGGCCAGCAGATCTCTGCTATAAGCACCTATCCAAATTTTAAAGCAGATGAGAACAGGCAAAGAACGGGCAAAACAGGCAAGAAAAACACCTTCTACTTAAGAGTTCTTATACACAGGCATTTGGAAGCCAGCCCAATCTCACTGCCATAAAATCAGACCCGGTAGAAACAGAGCAGAGGCATCCTTTTACAAAGCAGCACAAGCCCAACGCTGAAATACGACCGCACTTTTTGTATAGTTTCCTCTCAGTCTCAGCTCAGCCCCATCTAGTGGAAAGAGAACCGAGAACCATAAGCTCCGTGCAGCCCTGGAGTGAGTGACGTGGTTCTGGCAAAGGGTGACTGTTACTATCATTCAGTAAGATGCCTGCCCCTTTATAGCACGGGTCTAAATGAGCCTCTCCTGTCATTGCTCCCTCTAACATAAATGACATCTTCCCCTTCCAAACGCCCAGGAATACAGTAAGAATTTTCCACACCAACACCTTGTCTGTCCCGCAGAGCAGATGAGGGTGTCAGGGTGAGCACGTGCAGACACAAAGGGGAGGTAATCTCGGGGACCTGAAAGAGACCCCAGCAAATCCAGAGCTGGGAGTGACTCCCAGGCCTCTGAGCCACCCAGCTCCAGGTCATGCACCAATGATTTATTTAGTGTTAACAAGTTAGAGGGCTGAGATATTGTCCCAATCCCTGATAAGGGTGGCCCAATCCAGGCCCCATTCTGCTGCCAAGGGGAACACTGAATTGCATTTTCAAAAACAGGTTTAAAATGGTCCTCAGCTGAACACGCATGACTCCCCCAGTTCTACTGACCTTCAGAGATTATGAATTAAGAAAATCTCTGTGGACTAGTCTGGGAACTTAACCATCAAGTTGTTCCACTGGGAAAATAAGTTCTCAGTTATAAACAACAGACTTACAGGCAAATTTCTGGAACACAACCTGTTTCTAAAGTGGAGTCTGACCAAACTAATATTTGAAATATAATGACTATATTTTTATTTTTGGCATAAACTGGAAACAGTCTTGATATAATAATAAACATCAGGTATCATTTCCAAAGTATACTCTCCTCCTCCTCTGGGCAGATTTCCCAGATAACCCTAAAGCAACAGGCTCTCCCTTACCTACTCTTTTCTTCCAGCCTACTGGGCATGTACGTGATAAGGCGGTTGATTTGGGGGGCGGAGGGGGCTGGGCATGGGAGAACAGTAGAGGCAATTGCCCAATACACAGTGAAGTCATTGGAACAGAGATACCTACCCGTCAGCCCCAGGCTTAGCTTTACTCCTGCTGTGCTGGGCACTTTCACACACACTCCCTCAGCCGGTGCCTAGGTTAGCATTATGCAGCCAACTCTCTGATTAGACTGAAAACTCCTTGAGACCAGGAACCACGACAATTGTGAGAATCAACCTGAGACCTGTGGACACCACTAGGACATACCATTTCTCCCCACAAAACGTAAAAGCAACAAACACACGATACCAACAGTACCATGATAGAATGTGGACTCTCAGAAACATCTAGGCTCACTCCATTAGCCAGCCAAAAGCTGGCTCTCGCACACCACTGTCAGGTTTCAAATCAGCGCCTTGCCGTAATTTCGGATACGTGTCATAGCCTCTAGGGCTGTTCAAAAAGAGCCAAAACTTTGAATGCTAAACGTGTAACCAATAAAACCACTGTTTCTTCTCAACCACTTCAGAAAAGCAAGTCTCCCAGTACATAATCCACTTATTACATGTTTCTAACACTTTCTGTGGCTATGGATTAATGCACATAAAGAATTTGCCAAATGAACAAAATACCTGGTACTGCCATGGTTAGGGTTAGTGATTATGGGGCCACTGCCTGAAGCCAAGAGAATATCAGACTAACCTTAAGCTCCACACTGCAGACACATAAACGTTATCGCCCAATTCCAAATCTTTATTCGGGTAACTTCAAACTACACTTGCCTCTCACATCCTCATTTCCCAAAAGTCACTGTGGAGAATGTTCACGAGTATTATAGAAATAAAATGTAGCATAATCAAATACAGTGAATTAATGAACGGATCTTACTGAAGGGCTTCTCATCATTTATGTGCCAATGTGCACTGTGAACCTCTAGAAGGAATTCGATCATGTAAGGCTTCCCACATCTAATTGATCACACACACCCTACTTCTCCTTTTTTGATGGAGCATCTCTACGGAATTAGCGTTTCAGAGACCACACTTTAAAAAACATTACCTTTAACAAATAAATACCAGACACTGATTTATCCCAGAAAATAGGCTTAAAGCATGAACCTCCCCCACTGCAGCTGGGCACTACCTTTCTGTGTCTATATATAATACACATATGTAATACAGAACACTGCTTCTGTTTGTTGAGGAGTCTGAAAGTAAAAGAACCAGCAATAAAATCTTTAAAAGTCAATGAACTAAGTGACTGCAACATATTCCTCAGCGAGGCACATGCACCTTTGCCAGGGGGGAACCCAGAAGTAGGGCTAGTGTTCTCAGCAGTTCTGGCTTGGTCCCAGTGGGCTCCTCCAGGACCTGAATTTATTCCACCCATAAAGAGAAACGGCTACCCACCCCCAACCCCCACCACTGCACACAGAGGTCTGAAAATGAACTGAGTGAACACAGCAGTTCTTGAGCCTGGTCCTCAGACAAGTGACGTCAGCATTACTCAGGCTACGTGTTAGTGCAGATCCTAGGATGCTGGTCATGCCAACTCTCAACAAAGTCAAATCCTCTACTTGAAAAAAGGGCAGAAACCCCTGGAAGTACTACATGAGTGGAGAAACTGACTTCTTCACTGCCTTCCATCCAAGAACTGCGCTAATGACTCTCGGACAGTTTTTATATGCTCCTCTTTCAACAAAAAAGGCAAAAGGATCCATAACTGCGCTGTTAAAACCACACCCATTTGTGATTAAGTTTAAAAGAAACAGACAGACAGACACACATGCTCTCCATCCCTCATTGTTATTATGACTGTGGAAGAAGCCTAGCCACTGTGCATTTCCTGTTGCCTAGCAACGCCTCAGGCATTCTCTTCAGAGGTGTTCTCAAGAAGCTGAACACTAGCACAAAACAAGGTGAAGCAATCAAAAGATGAAATTTGCAGCACGGCAGAAGGTTTAAATGCAGTAAGAAAGCCTCGATGTGAGACGCGACTCCACTCAGGCCCTATCACACGTACTGTACCTGCACAAGACAGCTCGACTCACATAACTACAAGCAGCATTCTCGTCGCAGAGCACATCTGCAGAGACTGTCTTGCTGGGTCCTTGTGGCAATGCAGATGGGAGACCCATAACCTGAGTTCTGTGCCCAAAGAAGCCAGAAACAGAAGGGGAGGCCACAGAGTTGCTGAGTGCCAGAGAGAGCTGACTCTTCTACTCTTGGACTTTTCCTACCGCGCTAAAACCTGATTCCCATCTTCTCTAACACCCACTCCTAGGAAATCCTACAACATGAGAAGATTCAAATCTATTCTACAAATTGTTCTCCAAGAACTTCTACAAAGATAGTTATTACTACAGAATCAAATCTGTGACATGTATTTGAGGAAGCTGCTGTACACAGTAGGAGACAAAATTCCAAACTGTGATCATTACTTGGAGTAGGTATTACCATTTTTCTTTTGTTGATTAGGCTTAGGTTACATACATCAGTCAAAAGCAGCATGTTCTGTTATTTGCAACGCATATGTTTAAAACTGATACACTATGTTTGTGGACAGCACTGTTCACTAAGGTATTTTAAAGGCAAAAGTTAAAGAAATGTCAGGGAAAACAGTGCTAAGGTTGACAGGAAAAGGTTCCACAAGCTAGACTTGGTAAGCCCTTTGCTCCTAGGATGGCCTAGTTTTGAACTCAGATCATAGTCCACGAAGGGCCAGCATATCACATCCCATCTGCAACACAAGACTGCCAGAGTGTGTACCCAAAGGACACCTAGGCGCAACAGGGGTCTCAATGTGAAATTTTAAGAACTTCTAATAGTAATTGAACAGTACTCTTTACTGAGCCTATCAAAAACGTCTTTCAAGACTTCATGAAGAAACTTACCCGCCTCTGTTGTGCTGCTGACTGTGGGCAGAGATCCTATAAGGAAGCGCTCGTTCACCCAGGTTTTCCAAGTCCCTCACTATTGCTCCTCTGTCCATCAGGGCCTCTATCGTACGTTTCAAAGTAGCAGCAGTCTCTGGCTGTTTTTGTTTGTGTTTTTAAAGAAAAGAAAAAAAAGCATCAGAATTAATATAAGAGCTAGAATGATTAAGTCTGCTCAGTTCCAATCATAACAGCTCTACTGGTAGGAATCGCTGGGTAAAAGCAACAGAAGCTGGTTTTGGTTAACTTAAAATAAAAGAGAGAGAGAATTTATTGTAAGGATATGAGATAGCTCACAGATACGAGGAATATCTGAAGAACCAGGCTTCGGAGAGTTCAGGGACCAGGGCAGCTCCAGGGATCTGGGAGGCAGGAACTAATGAGTGGCTTCTTCAGAGCACCTCGGCCAGGCTGAATCAGTGCCAATCACTGTCAGTCCTTGTATCCCATGACTCAAAATTCAAATTCCAGGAGAAGAGTATCTCGTTGGCAGGACACCTGAACTGCCCATCCCACCAAAACTGTAGCCAGGGGGAAAAGGTGTTGTCTCCCAAAGAAAAACTGGGAGACTGTAACCAAAAGGGGGAAAGGATGGGTAATCAGACCCAAACTCTGCCCTCATGGAGCTTACAATCTAATAAAGGACAGAACACAAAATACACATGTATGGAGAGCAGAGGGCAGAATACAGGAAATAGCATAGAGACCAGAGGGCTCACGAAAGGAAGAAACATTCAGCTGGAAGAAGGGTTTCACTAAGGAAAGTTTACTTGAAAGGCACCCGGAAAATGATGACCGGAGGTACAAAGAATGAATGAACCAGCAACTGAGCCCCAGTGATGGGGTTCAGGGCAAGGGAGTGCTGAGGAGATAGACGGGTATACACTGGGCACAAGTCCATGAGTAATCAAGGCCTGTTATTTAAAAAAAAAAAAAAAAAAGCTTGAACAATATAGAATCCCATTACCCAGAGATAGACTGGATGGTGAATTAAACTTTCTGGTGAATTTCTTTCCAGATATCTCTCTATGCATATGTATACACAAGCAATTTTTGGAAGAAAAGATACTTTATAAGGATAAGCCTGAAAACTGCAACGAATGCAATGTGGAGAATGAAGGCAAGATGTGGCGAAGAAGGGCACCACAATCTGGTGGCTGAGAGAGTGCAACTGTCACTACAGCTAAAAGGAGAGCTGGAGAAGCTGGTGAGGACAGTAAGAGATGAATCTGGTTTAAGACACGCTGAGTCTCAGATGCCATGGCTCCCCTAGGTTGACCTCTCCAGATGTAAATCTTAAGCTCAAAGCAGGTGGATGAGAAATACACATTTCATAGTCACCTGCACAGACGGCTCTCTGAAGCCTGAGAAGGAGGTGAGATCAATAGAAAGGGTGGAGGGGGAGAGGAAAGGAGATCACCAGCAGAACCTTGGGGAGTACAAACATTTAGGGGCTAACAAGAGGACTCAAAGTCAGAGAAGCAAATATAAAACGTATCATCAAATAGGACAAGGAAAATCGGGAGACTGCCTTGTCCAGAATGACAATGGGGTAGAGGACAGAGATCAAGAAAAAGCCGCGGTGTGGTAGCTACATGGGCATTTGGCAAGATGGGGCCAGAAAGCAGGCTGCCAAGGTTCCCATGGTAGAGGTATGAGAACAATGGTGAGGAGGAGAAAATGCCAGGGCTCCAGGGACAAGCAACTTGAGCAACGTGTTTTAGGAGAAAACACATGGGCAAGTTGGTAGTCAAAAAGGAGCGGACCATGCAAGACGATAAAATGTAGGATTTCTAAAATAGCAACAACGATGACAGCTATGATTTACTGGATAACTACTATATGGTCTAGTGTCTTATTGTTACATATTTTATCTTCATAAAAAAAAAAAGCCAAGAAGGTTTACAGATTTGGGATGGGATCTCTAGAGAGATGCTGACAGGGCAGCTATTAAGTGGAAACGCCTGCTGCAAGGAGAAGGAAAGCTGTGGAAACCATCGGGGAGGAAGCCAGAGGCACACCTTGGCAAAGACAAGGTGCACATCTCCTCAAAGACCTACGTGAAGAGGTGCAAGCAGGGTGATTTTAAAGTGCAGGAGGAAACTTAAGAATAGGCTACCTTCCAGAGGTTCATTTGGGGATCAAATGAAGAGAAAATTGCAGAACAAGTTTAAGTGTGCATTCTGGCAACCAAACAAAATCCACTATATTTTTAAAATTTTCTTTCTGACAAGTGCTGCTAAAATGGTATGAAATGTGCTAAGTATTGGCTTAAGGCTTAGAAAAAAACATTCTTTACTTTCTTTTCATATTGAAGTCCATTAGGGATTTTAAAAATTCCTACTGAATCGTTGTTTATATATTTAACCAACCTTAAGATAAAACAGAAATTTCCTGAAGACAATAAAAATTCAGGCCAAAATCTCTTCCCATTAACAGTAGGTAAAAAGTCTAAGGCAATTTATCCTTATGATTGTATCAAACACATTCCTAGACAGTTCTAATCATATGAAGACTACATTCTTCTCACATTTCATTATAGTTCACAAAGACATCGCCATACATCTGCAGAGGACTCATTATTAACAGCAGCACAGTATTTCATTTAACTGAAAATGCTGTTTCTTGACCTGGCATTACATCAATTAACGTATGATAAGGTAAAGGAACAGCCCATCCAAATAAAGAGTCGGGTCTCAGCTTTGCACTCAAAAAAAAAAAGGAAAAAAACATTTGATTGATTAGTTTTCTGATTAGCTACCCAAATAAATTTCAATTCCAGTTTTGCCTGATTAAAAAGGAATATATCTCAATATCTTTTAAGTTCCAACTGAAGTGTTTACAGTATAAAACTCATTACCCTCTTCTGAAGTAAGAGCTTATAAAGTAAAAAACATTTTCTTCTTACATCTGTCTCAAAAAGGGGAAAGGCTACCTAACAAGAATGTAACTTAGGAAAATATAAAAAAAAAAATTGTTTGACTTCAGTATGTCAAGGTCAAACTGTAGACTACTGGAATGGCCACATTCATCTCACTTTAATTTCAAAACACCCAGAAGTATAAAACGAAAGGTGGAAGGAGGAGCAAAAATAACGCCCCATAGACCTTACCTCACCATAAAGCAGGGTTGGCAAACCAGGGCTCTTGGGCCAAATCTGGCTTGCTACCTGTATTTGCAAATAAAGTTGAACTGGAACACAGCCAACTCACACATCTGCATAGTGTCTATGGCTACTTCTGTGCTAAAGGTAGATCTGTAATTACAAGAGACCACATGGCCCCAGAGCCTAAACTATTTACTATCTGGCCAACCCCTGGTTCTATATTGTGATGGGCTGAGGGAAGCTGGCAGGTCCTTAATCCATGTACCCTAAAATGCACCACAAATAAAACCATGAGCCTGGGCCACTGACTGACGTATAGAGGGTGTATTCCTCACTGGATGTGTCATCAGGTAGACACATCGGGTACCATCTAACGAATACCATCAGTTGAGCTGTTCAACTCACTGCAGGGCTCAGAACTGATTCCACTAATCCACTATTCCATCTGCCAAGCTCCTAATAATGTCTTTATCAACCCAGGTTGCCAACTTCAATGTTCCTCATTTGGTGAAACCTATAGATCTATTAAAATAAAATTCTTACGCTTAGAGGGGAAAAAGTTCTGCTCAATCCAGCACAATGTTCAACTTACAAAAGCATATAGTTTACAGGAAACAAATGATCTTGCTGCCATAATTCTCATTTATAAAGTCTCTGAACCACTCAATTCCAACTATTCTAAGAGAAGTTGTGCAGGCTTCTGAGAGGCTTCTCTCACCCCATCTGAAAGCAACTCCTTCAACTCTTTCCTTCTACCTACCAAATGCATCAATGAAACACACTTTGGCAAGGCACAGACTGAGGGCTGAAAACATTCATTTGAAAAAAAAATACAGAAAGAAAGGAATGAATGAATGGGAATGGAAACTAGAAAAACTAGGACTATGATTCTAGTCCTAGCTCATTCACTAATGAGTTATACAAACCTGAATATGTTATTAAAATTTATCAATTTTAAACTTGTACCTCAGTTTCCTCATCTGCTAAATTAGTAGTTCTCGATTTTCCTGTTGCTACAAGCTTCACATGAATAAACAACATTCATACTGCAATTCTCAACATCTGCTGGAGGCACAACAAAGTTTGATGAAAGTCTTTTTATGCCCCCCAATTCTGATATCTTCATCACCAAAATGCACCTCCATCCCCCAGTTCTCCTGATGTCATTCTTTTTTTACTTCTAACAGCACTACAGCAATCTAAAAATATTCTTTCACTAACCAGAATGTAAGCTACAGAGGAGCAAGGACCTTTGTCTATCTTGTACATGACTGTATTCCCAACGTCTAAAATGGGCCACACTCATCGAACAGGTGCTAGAAATAGCTGTGCTAATTGTACCTCCTTTAAGAGGGTCTCTTGCTTACTTACTCCTATCTTTCCTCAAGGAACTCTAAGTTTCCTTCTATCTCTAACATAACTTGAAGCCACTTTTCATATACAACAAAGCTCACTATCAAGGTGGTAACTGTAACACTGAGGCAAAATTACAATACTAATGTTTTCCCATTTACTTCACGCAGTACCAAAATGCTGTTCACACCAATACTGTATTTCAAAAATACCTACAATTCATCTAGAAGTGAAATTAATTAAATATTTTATACATTTCAAATATCAAATTCCAATACACATATAAATATAAATGTTAAAATTACATTATAATTATTTGCTGATTAGGTAAGATAAAGTACTATCCAAAAATTTAACGAAATAGTATAATACTTATAAAAAAGGTAATTAATCCTAGAAGAAATTAAAGCTAATTTTTTATATTAATTACCAAAACTAATGTTTAGCCTACAAAAGACTTAGGGAAAACCCAAGAGCTAACTTCAAATATTTGCAGGGCTATTATGCAAAAGGTAGATTTGTTTTATTTTGATTGGATTCCAAGAGTGGACTAGAATCAAAGGGTAAAAATTAGAGAAATCAAGCTGTATTTTGTAAACAAGAACATATTTCCAAAAATATACAGCTGTATGAAAATGCAGTGGGCTGCCTTGTGAAGTAGTGACCTTCCCATCACTTGAAGTACATAAATAGATACAGGATGGCTGTTGGATTAATATCTGCATGGGTGGGAGGTTGAACTCAACAACTTCTTAAAGCCCCTACCAAGACTAAATACTACTCTGGTACCACTCATCATTCTGAAGGACATTCTGCAGTGAAGCCAGTTTTGAAAACTGCAACTGCATAGCAATGAAGAATACACGTACTGCTAGGAAAAGTTAATGCTGCTGACTAGATTCATGCTAACGTACCAGCTGTTCTACTCACTACTGTTTTCACAATGATCTTCTAAAAGGGTCCCCCGTAAAGCCCAAGAGTCCTCAAACCATATTTTGAAAACCACAGTTCTAGAGATGCTAATGGGAAAAGTTGCTGTAGTAAAAGATGAGAGCAAAAAGGTGGGAAGAATGAAAGGAAGAAAGGAATCTCTCCTTGTCCCCCAAATAAAATCCCCACTCAGGAAGGTTACTGAAGCTAAGAATTCATGGAAGTATCATAACCACCACCACTAGTCAATGACCAACGTTTAACCTAATTAAACATATTTTCATCCCAGAAGAGAAACTTGTCAACAAAATTATCTTAGAAATTAGACTCTATGGGAAAGACAGTTTTAAGCCAGTGGCCTCCAATATACCCAGCTAGCACTACCACACCCTAGTTCCCCAGAAAATAAAGCACACATAGAATCCACAACATTCAACAGCATGCAGCATCTACCTACACCCTGCCCGCCTCACGTTACAAAGAGTTATACAACACTCAAGAGCAGGCAGGACTCAGGGAAGGTAGAGCCAAGACACAGAACTGTCAAAACCTGTGAAAATGTACATGTAAAAGTCTTTCCCATTCTTTGCTGAATCTTAATTCCAAATCTTACTTCCTTTAAAAAATTTCCTTGCAATTTAAATTTTCAAATAGAAAGGCTGTCCCTGTGAATTCTGCATTGACATTCTCACAGCAATCTGAAAATCTGTGAGCCCTAACTTTTCAACAGTCAAATGGGTGTCATGGAAAGTGGCTGAAGTTCTAGCAGACCTTGGGAGAACCATCTACATAAAAATATGTGAAGTGCCAGCCTTGCCTAATGACATAAGCAAAGCCCAACTATGAAATTGATTCCACAGGAACTGTTTGATCAAATATTCTTCATTGTAGAGAACCTCTTTTGCCCAACAATTTATTGAATCAGGAGTTTCAGTCCTCTAGGTAATTAAGGAATAAAAATTATCGAACACAGAAACTACTTTTTAAATTAGAATAAAATTCAATAAGGACAAGTCTAGAACACTAAGAAACATAAAGATGCCTAAGTACATGTTCAAATGTGATTACTTACCTCTACAGGCCTGAACCTGAAGTTATAACTTGAAGTGACTAGAAAAGTAACCTTTATAGGCTTTGTAAAGGTCAAAGATAGAAAACACTTATTAAAATTTAAATGCTGTACTCCTTTGCTTATGAATCATATTATATAGGCCATTTTTAAGAAACATGGAGTAGGCTGGGCACAGTGGTTCTTTCCTGTAATCCCAGCACTTTGGGATGCCAAGGCGGGCAGATCACTTGAGGCCAGGAGTTTGAGACCAGCCTGGCCAACATGGCGAAACCCCATCTCTACTGAAAATATAAAAATTAGCCAGGCGTGGTGGTGTATGCCTGTAGTCCCAACTACTCGGGTGGCTGAGGCTCAAAAATTACTTGAGCCAGAAGGAGGTTGTAGTGAGCTGAGACTCTGTCTCAAAAAAAAAAAAAAAAAGAAAGAAAGAAAGAAATGTGGAGTAACTAATGAATAAAGACTTAACAGGCTTTAAAACAGTAGGTAAATGGGAGGGGAAAGAAGAGACAGGAACCAAAATACAGTGACCCTGGAGCAATACAGGTTGAAACTGTGTAGGTCCACTTACAAGCGAATTTTATTCAATAAATATATTGGAAAAATTTTTGAAGAGTCACAACATTTTGGAAAAAAAAACTTGCTTTTTCTCTAGCTTACTTTATTGTAATACAGTATATAATACACATAACATACAAAATAACATTGGTAAGGCTTCCAGGTCAACAGTAGGCTATTGGTAAAGTTTCTGGGGAGTCCAAAGTTTACACACAGATTTTCAATTATGCATACCCCTACACTGTTCAAGGGTCTAACTGTACATAAAGTGTAGTAAGAAAATAATAGTGTAATGCAGAGAAAAACTCTTTGAATAAACCAATGCTGTGTGCTCTGCAAAAACAAAAATACCCCAAATTTTAAAATTTTTAAAATAATGTTGAAAAAAATACTGCAGATTCACAGGTCAGGCTTTTCAAGTGGTCATTTAATTGTCAGGCTATAGTGTAGAATCTTAAGAATTGCTTAAGTTAATATATTAACTAAAAAGCACTCGTGAATATGGTATTTATATAATCATCTTTCTGAGAAACAGTTACATGCGGGAAAACATCACGCATCTTTATGGGGAAGCCATTTTAAAATAACTTAAATGGCACAAGTCATTTAAGGAGATACATACATACACAGGAGATACATACATCCTGACACCTGCATGTGGAGTGAAAGGGCAAAGTGAATGATCTCTTATGGGCAGACCAAATTCTGCGGGTATCAGAAATGTAAGCTGAAACTTAGGAAATTGCCATTTTGGTTCAACTTAACATTTATCTGGAAACATTCTTCTCAAAGTGTCTTCCTCAAGACAAGTATGTCCAAGCTGCTCGCTAGGAAGCCCATCTCCAAAAGGGTAGCCGCAGGGAAATGGAACACCAAGTCCCTGTCCCTAAAAAGTCTGCGATACAGATAGGAAGACAGACACTTGTAAGTTACTAATAAAGGCAGATTCAAACACAGGCAATACTGATGTGAAAAGCAATGATGCCACAAGAACTCAAAAGAAGGAATTACTACTACTAACTGGTTGGTTGAAGAAAGCAGATTTCAGCCAGACCCTGAAAAATGAATACCCCGTCAGGAGGGAAAGAGGGCCACTTTGGGTGCTCTCAGAGTGGGTCTGAACTAACAGCAGACGAAAGGAAGGGAGAAAATTCTTATGAAATTTATATTTGGGGTAGAATCAACATGGGTACTGAATTTAGTATAGGTAGAAGCCTTTGTTTTCTTCCACCTATGGCACTATTTTGCCTAGAACATTAAGATTTCAGTTTCTTCAAACACTCACCTACACTATTGGTAAAAATGTAAACTTTCTGGAAGACAATTTGGCAATGTATATTAATTTAAAATGTGTACACCTTTAACTCCACAGCTACTTCTAGTGTGGGGAATCAGTCAGAGTGGTGGGAAAAACTACAGGGAAAGGACCTAAACCTTCTGAAAGGTCGGAAGGTTCTGCAGAGCCCCAGGGGAGAAGAGCTGAAGGCAGCTGTTCTATAACCCTGAGGCAGAGGCCAAGGAGTAGGTACAAGGGAGTGTAGGGGAATTTATCTTAAAGAGGCTTGTTTACTTATGCTGACCAGGAACTGATCTTTGATCATCCTCTCGCATGAGGTTCTCTGAAAGGGGGGCAATAAATGTTAATTACCTACAGGTTGTGTTTGCTCCATGTTTTCAGCATTGTGCCGGCACTGAATAAAACCAAGCAGCTCC
Organism: Homo sapiens; assembly: GCF_000001405.40. NCBI lineage: Eukaryota > Metazoa > Chordata > Mammalia > Primates > Hominidae > Homo > Homo sapiens. Next base: position 34,116,709 of record NC_000021.9, on the reverse strand, counting down.
AGCTTCTTGGGGCTGCTCTGGCCACTAGAGCCAGGCAGTCAACTAGCTGCTCTTACACTGCATACCTGTGTCTGAGTACTCATTTCATCCGTAGCCAGGGTCTGCAGGACACACCCAGCATTCTAGGAATTTAAGCAAACTACCATACCCATGTACCAGACTTAGCTATGAAAAATGCTCATCATAAAGTTATTAGGATAGTGAATGAATGGAAATCTTATTGCCCAATGGAGACTGGTTCAATAAACGATTTCCACTGATTGAATAAGTACGATACAACCATTTAAAAATCCACCAAGATTTCAGAAATCACCACTAAAGAACTTATTAATGTAACCAAACACCACCTGTTCCCAAAAACACCTATAGAAATTAAAAAAAAAAAAAAAAACATGGATGATTGAGAGGCTGAAGCAGGCAGATCGCTTGAGCCCAGGAGTTCGAGACCAGCCTGAGCAACATGGTTAAATCCCATCTCTACAAAACACACATACACACACACACACACACACACACACACACACACACACAAAATTAGCTGGGCATGGTGGGACACACCTGTAGACCCAGCTACTCAGGAAGCTAAGATAGGAGGATTGCTTGAGGCTAGGGAAGATGAGGCTGCAGTGAGCCATGACTGTGGCACCACACTCCATCCTGGGTAACAGAGTGAAACCCTGTCGGGGTTGGGATGGGGTATGATCCTTACATACTGGCATAAAAACATTTTAATAATAAAATAAAATCAGCATGGAGAGTACATCCATGTATCTTCCAAAAAAAAAAAAAGGACTATGTAGACAAACATGGAAAAAAGAACGGATGACTATGCAAGGTATTAGTCTTCCCTAGGTAGCAAAACAAGTGGAGTATTCCATTTTTTTTTCTTTTACACTCTGATTTACGATGAGCAATTAAAACGTGTTTCAGTGACAAACTTCTTTTGCAACAAATTCAATTTTTCCTTTAAAGAATTTCTTCTCCCAAGTCTATCCCAACCGCTATCTTGCCACAGATACCATAATTTGTAAATTCTGTCTTCAAGTCCCAGATCTACACTTGGACACTGAAAACTCATTCACTGACTCCGTGTCCATCCAGGCTTTTAACAATATAGTAATAATCAGAGAGGTATAAACAGGTGGCTTCCAGAGGTTACTGAAAGAGTCTTGCAAGCTGGTACTTCCAGCATCATTAATTATTACAACTGGTTACTCTGTCTCTTGGGGAATGAGAGGAAAAACTGGAATCCAGAAGTACTGGTCCCAGAATCAGAGTGCACCAAAAAGACGTGATAGGACAAGACCAAGTCTGGCCCTGACACCACAGTGGTCAATGAAGCCAAGGGATGTGGAAACAGGAGCCTGCCCATTCTATGGCCATGCAGCCAGGAATAAGACTCTTGAGACCTGGGAAATCCAACATTAAGAAGTACTCTTTGGGCAATGTGATGAAAACAAAAAGAACTCAGAGAAGAATGGAGGTTAAAAAGAAAACAGGAGCAAGAAGCCAATGACTGGTCCAGTAACTGATCTGAGTTCAGCACACATTAATCCTGGGCCAAAACGAAGGACCCAAGAACAAGGCAGAGGCATTGTTATCTTCTCAGTGAGATAATGCATGGCTGAATTTGCAAACGTAAAAAGCAGATGACTGAGGAGTAAAGCAACTTGAGCTGCAAGGTAGGCAAAATGCCTTTAAGTCATAAACTACACTTACCCATCCAAGGGGCCCCTGCACCAAGTGCCTGCTAAGCCATCAATACCAGCATTGGAATCAAAAGGCTATGAGCGAATAAATTTAAAAAATGAACCCACTGAGCAGAAGGGAAGACATAATTATAGGAGATCCAACCTTGTGTGAACTTACTAGTTGTCAGCTATATATTAGTTAGTCATGTGCCTTGGTTAACATTAATCTCTAGTTCAATAATAATGTACCTTTGTTCCTTAATCAACTAATTTCTGAGGTTTCAAATCAAAGAATATCATTCAGATGTCATTCATTTAAGGACAAATTTGGGGGCTCACTTGCATATAATCAATCATTCCTTTCATGATTTGGGTAAGTCAAAGGAAAAGGGCAGAAATCACCAAGGTATTTCTCAGCACTTGAATCACCTGGGAGCTTTAAAAATAAAGGTGTCTGCATCTTACCCTCAGATATTTCAATTCAATTGGCTTAAGGATTCAAAAATCCTGGACACTAAGATTTTTTTAAAGCTCCCCAGGTGCAAACAAATGTGAGAACCGCACTCTAGTAGGAAGCTAGCTGGCTTCTCATCCTCCCAAAGATGAATGACTCTGGCTGAATTGCAGTTTGTAAAAGATTTTAAGCAATGATCTTCTCCAACACTAATTTAAGGAACATAAAAGTTTCACTCTTTCTCACCAATAATATTGGAGTCTTGTCTGAATGTGAAATGGAAAAATGACAACCCCAGTGGGTGACTATTTGTGGTAAATACTACTGCATCAGCTAGAAACAATGCCAAAATGAAGGTACCCTACTTGCTATTCTAAGGACATTTTAAAGTCCATGATCCTCTTGCTGAGAGGTTTCCATTTCTATACTCCCCATCCCCCTTCAGATGCACTCACAGATAAAAGATAAACGGGAAGACTGGCAGGAGTCCTGGTTACTATGACAGCAAGTAAAGGAAATGCCTAAGCTTGTGAAATGGATAGTGGGAGCAGGAATCAGGTAGGCATTACTGAGCCACCTGCCTTATTGATTGCATGCCTTCATGCACAATTCAGTTCCCTGCCTTCGCCTTATATTTCAACCTCTTCACAGGGTAGAAGGGAGACAGCACTGGAGTGACAAGAAAACCAGGGGAGGGAACAGTCAACCAAAGATTTAGATGGTAGAGACAAAAGGTTTATAAGAAAATGAATCTTCTACATATCCATGTAAGGTTTAGCAAAAATATCACCTGGTGGACTGGGTTAAGAGAAGTTCTTAAAATCATACATTCCTAGAATGACAAACATGGACTTTGACAAAAAAGTCAGATTTGCATAATTTGCTCAACAACAGACAAAAAGCATGTCCATCAACTAGGCCAACTGCAGTGATGCTTAAATTCAAGTGGTGGGAGGAAGGCACCTGATGGACTGCTCTATTCTGTAGAGCAGGGAAGAGAAAGGACACAAACACAAAGGAATTATAGGAATAAAAACATGCATCAAGATTCAGCTACTTTTTCAGATGCCACATATGAGGGAAATCATATGTTGTCTTTCTGTGTCTGGCTTATTTCACTTCACATAATGTCCTCTAGGCTCATCCATGTTGTTGCACAGGATTTCCTTTTTTATGGCTGAAGAGTATTCTATTGTGTATGTATGCCATACTTTATCCATTCATCCACTGATGGACACTTAGGTTGATCCACATCTCAGCTATTGTGAATAGTGTTGCAACGAACACAGGAATACAGACACCTCTTCGATGCTGATTTTATTCCATTTATCCAGTAGTAAGACTGCTGGATCATATGGTCATCCTATTTTTAATATTTTGAGAAATCTCCATACTGTTTGCCACAATGGCTGTACTAATTTATTCCCACCAACGGTGTGCAACAGTTCCTTTTCTCCATATCCTCGTCAACATTTGTATTTTGTCTTTTTCATAATAGCCATCCTGACAGACATGAGGTGATATCTCAATGTGGTTTTTTGTTGTTGTTGTTGTTCATTTGTTTGTTTTTGATAGAGACAGGGTTTCACCATGTTGGCCAGCCTGGTCTCAAACTCCTGACGTCAAGCGATCCACCCACCTCAGCCTCCCAAAGTGCTGGATTATAGGAATGAGCCACCGCACCCACAAAACCCTCAGTGGTTTTGTGTTTCTCTGAATTATGTTAAATGAAATAAGACAGGCAAAGAAAGACAAATACTGTATAATCTCACTCATGACATTTTAAAAAGTTGATCTCATAGAGAGTAGAATGGTGGTTACCAGAGGCTTAGGTGGTTATGGGGAGGGGGGATTGGGAGCTGCCAGTCAAATGATATATAATCATAGACAGAGGAATATTTTTTAAAGTGTCCAGAATAGACAAATACAGACAGAAAGTAGGTAAGTAATTGTCTGAGCCAGGGGATAGTGGGGAGAGAATAGGTGTGGGGAGGGAGAATTGGGGAGTGACAACTAATGATTATGAATGTTCTAAAACTGACTGTGGTGATGGTTGCACAACTTTAAAAACCACTGGATTGTACACTTCAAATGGGTGAATTGTAAGATACATGAAATTTATCTCAAACTGTTTTTTTGAAAAGATCCAGCTACTTTCTATAAACGTGTCTTTCTTCTGTAACCCCATAGGTATCGCTCGCATTCCACATACATCTTGCAAGTGTAATTATATAGGAGTCTGTCCCTATTCTTAAACCTCTTCAAATTGCTTCTTACTCATGGTTATTAGATGCTGGAGGTCCAAAGAACTTGGCTTACAATACACGTTCAATAAATGTTTGATGACTAGTCAAAGAATAAATGGAGAATTGAGAAATAAAAGTTGCTAACTGTACTTAATATAACTAGAAAGGAAGAAAAGATTATACTGAGTCATAAAATTTAAAAGATCTTCACTGCAAAGAGGAAAACAGAGTATTTTTTGAAAGACAGAGATGCATAATGAAGTTAATGCACATCCCACTAGTCAAAAGGAGAGATGCAGAGTAAAAGAACTAGAAATAAGACAAAAGACAGAAACAACATCTAAGGCACAGGCAGAAACACTTAACAGTGCATCCAAACTTCTAAAAATTCTTGGGATTAAAATACAAAACCAAATGGATGTTCAACTCCTGAAGCATATGGGGAACAATACAGCAACAAAAAAAAAAAAAAACCTCAACTCTGAAAAGCCATGGAAAGCTGGAAAGAGAGTCAGAAACTCCTATGAAGAGACAACAGGACTTTACAGGGGGCCTACCTTAGGGTATGCCAGTGAGATCCCAAATTAGACTTGGAAGGGGGCAAGCCCTAGGGAATGGTGGCTCTCATTTTGTTGCATTATTAGCAGTGTCTCTCCTCAATTACTGAAACATGGAGGCCACATATGAAAAGGAACCTCAACTGCCTCAAAGTTATCCAGAGGAAAAAACAGAAGAGCAAGATGGTGAAGGGTCTGAAATCTATGCCCTGTGCTATACACCCAGAGAGTGAAGAACATGATGTCTGATTTTGAGACTTCAGAATACATTTATCTTCAACATTTCTCTTCAAATAGAAGTGGGGGAGGGGATAACACTTCAGAGGTAGAACTTGGGAGTAAAAGCCAGAGACAGATTTAAGGTCAATCAGAAAATCCTTTAAAGTTTAGAACTTTCTGAAAGTGGAATGAGCCTCCTTGGCAGGAAGCGGGTGGTGGTGCTGGTAATGTTCTATTTCTTATGGGTGGTGGTTACATAGGTATTTGCTTCACAATTCCAAGTGATTCTCATTAATCATGGAATCCATATATGCCAATTTGCCTACTTGCTAAAATTTATTTGTAGCCCCCAAATCAATACCCCCAACAATACTGCAGTCATCTGTAGATATGCACACATGCACAGCATGGTGGAAAACTGCAGTCCCCTATTGCACACATTCCCAGCTGAGGCAGACAAAGGCAATGTTTCGCCCTTGTTTCAGCTCACATATCATAAACAAGGGTCCTTTGGCTGTCTATTTAGTACCATGTTTTTTTGCATGTGTGCTTTCTGGGGGTCATTTCGTTGTTTAAAATGGCTCCCAAGTGCAGTGCTGAAGGGCTGTCTAGTGTTCCTAAGCGTAAGGATGTGATGTGCCTTAGGAAGAAAATTGAAGCTTATCTAGCACAATGCAGGCATGAGTTCTAGCGCTATCGGTCTTGAGCACAATGTTATCACTGTTAGCAATGTTATCAACAATTAGTAACTATGTTGTCTTTAAACAGAAACACACATGAGGCAAGGTCATGTATTGATTGACAAACACGTATTGACAAAAATGACATGACCATACACTGGAAGGAATCTAACGCAAGGGGCAACGATTCAGAATTCACTCATGCAGTGTTTGAGGTAAATTTACAAAACATAACTACCACAAATAACTGTTTACTACACCATACATGTGTCATTTTATGGAATATGTTAAAACTCACAATAAAATAGCTTTGATGAGTGGTATTCAATACACATTGTATAAAAGAATCACCTATACAGCCTTTTTTTTTTCTTTTTAATGAGACAGGATCTCACTCTGTTGCCGCCTAGGCTGGAGTACAGTGGCACAATAGTAGCTCACTGTAGCCTCGACCTCCCAGGCTCAAGCAATCCTTCTGCCTCGGCCTCTTGAGTAGCTGGCCTCTTGAGTAGCTGGGACTACAGGTGTGCATCTGCACATGTGGCTAACTTTTGTGTATTTTGTAGATATGGGGTTTCGTTATGTTGCCCAAGCTGGTCTCGAACTCCTGGGCTCAAGTGATCCACCAGCCTCAGCCTCCCAAAAGTGCTGGAATTACAGGCATGAGCCACTGTGCCCAGCCAACTACGCAGCTTTTAAGGCCCCTTTGAAATGTGAACAATTTTCATCGCTTAGCACTTAGAAATAAGCAGAACTTTAAAACTCCAACTGTGCTTCTGGTAGGCAACATGTTATCTCAGGGAAGGGCAGAAATGGGCAATAGGCTCTGAAATTTCAACCTTCAAAAGGTTAAAGGGTGAGTACCAGAATTTCCAGGCAAGCCAGAGGATTCAACACAAGCACCTAATTATGCTCCCACCTGAAAACCTACTAGAACTACTGTAAAGAGATTTTTTTCAGCTTTATGGAGGTATGATTGTCAAATAAAAATGATATATATTCAAGGTAAACAATGTGATGTTTTGATGCACATATTGTGCAGGATTTTTTTTTTTCAGGTACAACCTTACAAGAATACGAGAAGAAACATTAGCAATAACATTCTGGAAGAAAGGAAGTAGAAGCAGAAAATCAACAATGGGAAAAACTAAGAATCAACCATACCAACACTGGGCACCTCTGGGAAGTGGGGGTGAAGTGACACTAAAATAAATACAATTGGTCAAAAGTTTAAGGACTAGTTGGATCCTGAGATGCATATTTGAAGGTTTATACTCTGCGGCAGATAAAAAAGAGGGCTCTGCATTGGAGGGCACAGGCACAGCTCTAAATGGTAGTACTGTACCAAAGAGATTAAGGAAAAAATGCAGGCTGTGAATGATGGGGCCCCTGTGTTCTTTCCCCACTTGGCTCTCACAGTCATGGCAAAAGGCCTTTTATCCTTCAGTTTAAAACTCAAAACTTTCTTTGGAAAGCTTGACTTATTCTAAAGATATCGCAGGACTTAACCCAACAAACAGCCAGGCCGTTGCAGGCCCAATCGTGATGCCAGCGTGCTCCACCCTATTAAAAATAAGCAGATCAGCATATATCGGAGAAAAGCCTTTAACATGGAAGATTAACACAGAAAAAAAACTATCTTGAAGTAAATAAAGCGGGAGTGGAAGACGACAGTACCTTCAGAGATGAGAAGATACAAGATATAAGACAAGAATAAGAGACTATAAAAAAAGATTTCAGGAACAAAAGAGCTCTTAAAATTGAAAAACTCAACAGAAATTTTATTCTTTTTCAACAGAAGGGTTGGAAGATAAAGTTTAGAAACTGCCCTAGAAAGAGCAAAGAGATGAAAATTAAGAGCAAAGGCATGAAACCAAGTGTACCAGTCCAGGAGGTCCAAGAGCTAAACAAAAGGGGCTCTAAGCAGGAGAGAGCAGGGAGAATCACAGTCCCAGCACGGAGCTGCCATACTGAAAGAACCCACCAAGGGCCAGTACTGTCCAAGAAAAACTTTTGTCAAGGTACCTAACTGAAATTTTAGAGCACAGAGGCTAGAGGCTAGAAAATTCCTATGGTCTTATGATTTCAAATTTCTGAAGGAAAGTGCTTTCTAACCCAGAATTCTACATTCAGCCAAAGTTGCAAACAAATACGAGGTAGAATAAAGACTCTATCCATGCAAAAATTAATTCTAAGGTGTTACAGGATTCAACAAAATGAGTTGCATCAGTATTATCAGATTTCTCACTGCTGGAGAAGAGAAATACAAACACCGAGGGAAGGCTAAAAAGAAACCACTGGTGTTGGTTTAGAACTGGAGGCATCTGTAGATGTGCACAGTTAGCAACAGGAACATGTTCTGAGAAATGCGTCGTTAGGCAGTTTTGCTTTGTACAATCATAAAGTGTACTTCTGCACACCTAGAAGGCGTACCCTACTACACACCTAGGCTATGTGGTGTAGCCTACTGTTCCTAGACTACAAACCCACGCAGTTACTGCAGGGAATACTGTAAGTAACCGCACAACGACAAGTACTTGAGCATCTAAACATAGAAAAGGTCCAGTCAAAATATGGTATAAAAGATAAAAAACGGTATACCCATAAAGGGCACTTACCATGAATGGAGCTGGCAAGACTGAAGTTGCTTTGGGTGAGTGGTTAGTGAATGTAAAAGCTTAAGACATTACTGTCCACTTTTATATCCCTGGCAGCAGAGTTTGTTTACACCAGCACCACCATCAACAGGAGTAACGTGTTACGGTACGTTACAAGATCACTAGGCTACAGAAACTTTTCAGCTCCATTATTTTATAGGACCACCATCATATACGTCGTCCATTGTTCACTGAAACACCATTATAAGACATGTGACTGTATGTGTATTTCCTAGTTCTGTACACTGAAAGGGCCCAGAAGTCATGATACCCCTACAGCAGTGAGTACTCCAAGCCACTCTACTAAATGCCCAATCCCCAGACTGAGGCAGGGAAATGACACAGTGCATCCAGAACATCTTACTGTGCTGGAAAATGCAAAGCACTCAAGAATTGATGGAAACGTCACAAAGGACAAAGAAACCATTGATAAAAGAAACCAGCTAAATCTGGAAACATCTAAGCAAAATAATGACAGTAATGAATAATAACTCACTGAACAAAGTAATCCAGGAGTTCATACTGACAAATGAACAGGAAAAGGGGAAGCTCTTGAGTACAGTATCCTCCCCATCAAAAAAAGGCTAGAAAATAGCCATTACAGTAACAACTCAGGCAAGATTCATAGATAAATGAATGCTAAAACTAGGGGTTCAAGTTTGATGAGAAATAGGTTATTTACATGGTTTTTAATATCCCCCCACTAATTACATATTACCAAAGGGAAAAAATAGTAACTAACACTGGAGAAACCTGGTGGACACCACCTTAACCAAGATCAAAGTTAGTATCATCGATAATGGGACAACACATCCAATGCCTCCTAATGTGAGGCTTTAGGGATGTAGCATCACTTTTGTATTTCTGCCAAAAATGCATAGTGTGAATCTAATCATGAGGGAACAGACAAACCCAAACTAAAAAGGGACAGTCACAAAATGATTGGCCTGTATTACTTTAAAAATGTCAATACCGGCTGGGCACAGTGGCTCACGCCTGTAATCCCAGCACTTTGGGAAGCTGAGGCAGGTGGATCACCTGAGGTCAGGAGCTCAAGACCAGCCTGGCCAACATGGCAAAACCATATCTCTACTAAAAGTACAAAAATTAGCCAGGTGTGGTGGCGCATGCCTGTAATCCCAGTTACCCAAGAGGTTGAGGCACGAGAATTGCTTGAACTCAGGAGACAGAGGCTGCAGTGAGCCAAGATCGCACCACTGCATTCCAGCCTGGGCGACAGAGCAAGTCACATTTCCCCTCCACCGCCAAAAAAAAAAAGTCAATACCGTGAAAGACAAAATCCAAGAAGTAGTCCAGATTAAAGGGGGCAAAAGACATAAAAGCTAAATGCAATGAACTGGCTTCTGAAAGGGGAGGAAAAGCTGCTATAAAGACATTACTGGACCCAGGAATATCTGAATAGTCTTTTGATTCAAAATCACTGTTTCTCTGTCCAGTTTGATAACTATGAGTGACTGTTCTTAAGAAATATACACGCAAAGTACTCAGGGAGTAAAGGGGAACAATGTCTGCAAATAGTATCTCAAATGGTTCAGAAAAAATATTTATGCTTCAGAAGAATGGCAAAGCCAATGTGGCAGGCAGTATGTTAATCCCTGGTGAGCCTGGATGAAGTCAAGTCCTAAATTCCTCATTCCATTCTTAACAACTTTCCTATAACTTGAAATTTCAAAATTGGAAGTGAAAAAATTAAGAATATTTTAATTTACTCTATGTTTTACACATAATCCTATTCTCAGTCAATACCTGTGAGTCAGTGTTTACAAAGATTAAAAATGACAAAAATTAGTAGGGGGAAATTCACTGGAAACCATTCATGGGCCAAGGGCAAAAGAAACTGAGGTACAAACTCTTCTTCAACTCTGAGACCCAGAACACTACATTGTGGCAGTGTTCATACTGAAAATACTTAGTCACAGAAATATAAATTTTTCATTTTATTCAAAGTTGGTACAGAATTGCTAACATTTCCATAAAATAATTACTATACTTCAGTTACAGGACAAAATACCACAGAAAGGAATGTACTTTGCAAGAAATGTAGTTCATCTTAAGTTTCCAAATACTTTTGAAGGCTAATGCAGCAGCTGGCAAAATAACACACAGTACACAAAGAACAGTGTATTTTACAGAGTCAGTAATGAAAACTGACAGCTCTTTAGCAGATATGCTTTTTTCATTTTTTAAACAATAACACTTTCAAAAACACATGAAACCAAGATCATACATGTTTACAATTTTAAAAAATCAGATTGTACACAATAGGTTAGAATAGACAAGTTAGAATTGTCATGATTTTAACAATCTTAAATCTACAATTTCAACTGTACTCCTTTCAATATAGAAATAACCTGCTTTATACCAAATTCTACTTTCTGCTTGCAACTAAAACACTGTACAATGAGATGGATACAATTAGTCAAACCTTAAAATTAAAAAAGCTGTAGACAACAGAAGGTAAACTGGAAATCCATTTACAATTCAAAAAACTCACTAATAACAAAATTAATGTTCATCAACTTCATTTATAATCACATTTGGCCTACAATGCCTAACTAAAATGACACATGTACACAATATACACCCCCAGTGTACTAACTGGTCTCTTACAAAAAATCTGAACAAAGCATCATAAGCAGGACACTGGGAAGAACATGTTTCAATGTAGACATCTTTTAAAAATGCATTAATACTTACATATCAAAATTACTAGATAAAAGCAGCAGCACTCTGCTGACATTTGGCTTAAAAATAAATGAATGAATGAAGCAATTTCACAGGATATTATTAGAAAAAGAATTGGTTTTCTTCTTGAAGAAGACTACTAACTTTTGCACAGCAACTATTTTTGATATCCATCTTATCAAAAAGAAAAAAGAAAGCACTGAGAAGTATAACACAGTTCATACATGATTGCCAACATGGGTCTGGACAAAAGAAAATGGGATGTCCAAGCAAAGAACGGGTAAATCCCTGCTCTATTTCTGAACTCTGCTGGCAATCTATAAACTGAAGCAGTAACAGTGGGGGAAAGCAAGGGAACAAATTCCATACCATCATCTGACACTAATGGAGTATGGCATTATTAAAAAAAATAAAGCTTTTGCATTTTAATAACCCCACAGAAAAGTCTATGAGCAAAAGACTTGATCTGTTTGCCACTCAAAAGTTAGAGATCTCACAGTGAAATTAGAAAACTCTAATTATACATATTTACACTGCTAGGACTACTTTTCACCTAGGCTAATTAAAGCAGTTCTCCATGAAATTATAGATGAAAGGCATTTCTGCCAAAGAAATCTCCAGAAGCATTTTTTTGTACAGTTCTTACAAACTATCTTAAATTTAAAAACATGTAAAGGTACAGAACACATAGTACGTAGGATTAACAGGTTATAACAGCTTTGCATTATCACATGTTGCTAAGCCAAGGGTGTTCCTCAAACTTCTCTTTCCTGCACTTCTGGTAATCTTCTTCCCCTCATCCCCCCAGGCCTGAGGTTTGATATTCTCAAATAATGTGGTAGGCTCATTCCTGGCTAGCTTTTTGCTGGCAAGAATAATCTCTCCCTCAAAGTGTTCAGGTTAACTCTTCTAAAACATCTCATATTAGTCTACACCAGATATAGTCTTCCTTCTAGATATATTAGAGTTGACCAAGTCTTTCCCTAAAAGGATAATTATATAAAAGAGTAGGAACAAAGGTAGTCATTTCTCTCCCATTCTGAGAATTACATCTTTTAACACATGGGCAAAATTTAAGACAAAGACATTCATTCATTCTTGATAAACAAGCTACTCGGAGGTGAAGTGAGGAGGTGGAAAAGGGCAATGCTGAGTAGAAGAACATACGTTTTCTTCTACACACACATTAACAGATTTCATCTCATCTAGACTAGAAGAGGGTTAATGGGACAAGTGAAAGAATCCTCTCCACCCCATTGTGAAAAGCAAAGTAGCTCCTCTAGCAAATATGCTTCAGAATTAGTCTGATGCTCAGAACACTCAGATCAAATTATCCTTTATTAAAATGAAGCACAGTCAAGTATAGGAAAAAAATAAAGGTAACTTCATCTCTCACATACAAACGTACACAAAAAAAATCAAAGACAAGTAGTATTTGCCCTGTTAAAGTATGACTTTCTGCATGTTTGGGGGGGCACTGTTAAGAGGTAATATTTCCTAAAAGATTTAAGATTTTTTACAAAAAACCCCAATCACACTACAGCTTAAAACAGAAATATGTCACCTGTTCCACCCACCAAAAACCTAGACATCTGTCCCTATTTCTCCAGTTTCAAGTTGCAGTAAAAAGCCCTCAAACCCCATTTTAGCTAGTAACCCCCAAATATAATTTTGGCATTCTTGACATTTATATTCTCTCCCTCCATCAATGTGGTACAAACTTATTGAGATTATTCCTTTGGGTCCCTTACCATTAGGACCAGTTTAGATACCGCATTGTCTTGGGCTTATCAATACTGTAGTGCTCATAGCAACTCTGAGACAAATACCTGGTGGCCTTTATGACTGGCACTTGTGGGATACAGAGAATACTATTAGTCTTGTGCTTTCTATGTGTGGGTACACTAATGTGTGAACACGATTTTGTGCTTTCTATGGACTTTAGCTTTCTATCATGGAATATAAACTGTTGTCACGTACCTGTTCTCGATATACCTATCAACCTACAATGGAAACACAACAAAATTAAGATCACAGAACATAAGTAACTTTAAGTTTTTAATGGATATAAAAGAAACAACATTTAGGCTACAACACAAATACAGAACTACCTGGTTTCACTGAACCTAAATAAAGGCTGCACATAAAGTATGTCAATGTAATGCATGTTTTTTTTTTTTTTTTACTTCCTTCACTAGTTACGACAAAATTTAAGAGGAATAACAAATACAAATTTTCTGTTAAGAACGGAAAGGTGCAAACTAGCAGAGTCAATACTGGTAACCAGAAGGCACTAATCCAAACACATAAATTTCAAAAGCTGGTTATATTATGGAATACCATATATACTGGCCTTTGCCAGTTTGGGATTTCTGCAATAGCAATAAGCCTCGTTTCTGTTTCCAATTATAACAACAAAAAGATGAGTTACTAATGAACATTCCACTTACAGAAGTCTAGGCTATGTTGATAAATTGAAAACTTATCTAGACTACTCTGTCTAAGAGCAATAAAAAGTAAACACTCTTTTATCCAGCAGCACTAGGAAACAGGGTGAATTTACCAAGATAAATTAGGTTGGGGATACCTACTGCCAACTTGTGCGGTTGTCGAATTCACTGTAATATGTATTCCTCTTATTGATAGAGCTCTGAATGTAAACAACCTAGAAGTGAGGGGAAAAGCTTCAGTATCATGGACAACAATTATGTTATAGTGCTTTTCAGTGGTATAGAGCAAAACCACTGTTCCCACACTACGAAAAATCTGAGACCACTGTGTTTTGTCTTGATTTGCTCGCTCTTCAGCTGCTTACTTTATTCTAGCATCCTTTCTCTTCAAGCAAGCTGTGAACCCAGGTAACCAAATTTAAGAGTCATTACATAAAGTACAGTTATTGGTTTAAGTCAATAGCCTCAGACTATGTATGGTACTGCCCAAAAAGTAAAGTGCACAAGATTAGCAATGATACAGATATACCAAACAGTTTTTGTTTATTTCTGAGTGAAAGACTATATATGCCAATGGTTAGGGTTGTTGGTTACTGGATAAATTAGGTGCTTACCCCAAAACAAAAAAACTAATCCCTCTTTTTATAAAGAAGTTTAGATGGAAACAGAAACAGAAATTACATCAATTCTCACAACATTCCTTTAAAGGTGAATCAGTAATTTAAAGCCTTATTCTCAGCATTGAAGAGAGAGAAGTTTAAATAAAAACATTTATATGACTACTAAGTGAATAATGGTGTGGGACTCACCACTGGCAAAGCCAGTTAATTACTTTGAACCTTAACTAAATTCTCTCCTAGGAGTCAAAGTAGCTGAACAGCTAAAGTATTCCAACAAAGGACAGTCTGACAAAAACATTCCATATTAAGTGACCTTGACAGAAGAAAAAGATTTGCAGCCCTAAGTTAACCAAGTCTAGCAATCGAAAGATTACCTTTTCACAATCCAGCCTCATACGTTCCAGTACAAAAGGGTTCCTCTATATGCCAACTAATTCCAAATTTTTACTTTTACTGCAAAAAAACCTTTTTGGCATCAAAACTCCATTGTTTCTCTGCACTCTGACACCATCATTTCAAAGGGGCTCACATAAATGATCACTACTGCTCTCTCCCTAATTTTTGAAAAAGGAGTTTTGAGAATAAAACAGTGCTTTTATTATTAGCCAACACAAAGTGTGAGAAAATCATTCCTGAGAATTAACATTTTAAGCTAACAGAAATTCAGTATACTTAAAACATAATTATATTTAATGAGTCATTATTTGGATCTAAAAGTCCTCAATACTGGGGCAAAACATCACTTTCACACACCATGCCAATATGCCTTAAAGTGAACTAAGCTGACAAAAAAATCAAAATTTGAATTTGCTAAGTGCTGAAAAGACTAGGTGTAGAACTGACACAGCAATGTGAAGGAAGACAAAGAGAAAGACCAGTCTCTCTGAATGGTAAGTGGGCATATACACATATAGAAACAGATCCCATTTGTAAAGAAGTCTGCTCAGGCTATTATCAACACTGAAATGCCTTCAACAACCTAGCATCTGGCTAATGCAAAATCTTACAAATACTGAAGCCTCAAAGCATTTTTCTACTAAATTATCTCTACTGTGGTAACAAACTTCGTACTTTATAATGCTTAACATCAAACCAGGGTTTAAAAAGCTGAAACTTATTTATTGGTGCCCTGATTTATATGGGGAGGAGTTTAAAGTAGCTGAGAGCCAAGGTGCTTCAAGCTCTAAATCTAATGAAAATGATTCTACATATGCAGATTTTAAGCTAATATTTGTTGTCTTTTACCAACGGGCTAATATCTGTGTCACCCAGGTACTTATCTCACTTAATCATTTTTCTGATTTCTTAGGAAAATTTTGTCCTGGCAAGTCTCTGTAGTCACGTAATTTAACAGGAAAGGTCTTGTATACATCTCTCTATCCAAACCTAGGAAACAGTGAGGTGTCACCACCAACGACCCATGTGATCCCTTTCCAGTCATCATGCCTCTGATGAAAATGAGCCAGGAGAATCATCATAAGTTAACCCTGTAAGCTTTAACACTGCCAAGCAGGAACAGGGAAGACCTAACCTTTGAGTAGCAAGTAACTGAGTAGCTAATAAGCCGCTTTATTTGGTGGTAAAGAATGAAAATAACCCACAGGCCACACCAAATGATATTCAAAGTCAGAGGGGAAGATCCATATGCCTACTATAAAGAAAATGAGCCATGGACTGCGAATACAGACACACTCTATTGGCTCTCACAAGAGTTAACCCCTTGCTTAGCCTCAAGTTACAGAAGTGCATAACAACCCCCTCAACTCAGTTCTTAAAATGTGAAGTTTCACAGAGTGATGGGTCCCAGCTAATTTCTTGAGGTATCATCCCTAAGAGCTATGGCTACATGACCCTGGCCAGGCTCTTTGTGCCAAAATACAATGGATCCTTTGAGCCAAGTGAAAAGGAAGCCCTAGGAGATGAGATCTATTGAATTTAGGCCGAAGGACACAGCACCATTGCTATTGCTTGATGCTTCTCTAATCTAAAGACAAAGCATAATTACCCCCAGGAAAGAATAGCTGGGGAAGAAGAAATCGGCTCAAGTGTTTACTCTCTGGGGGTGGCAGAACAGAATATTCTGAAAGATGACCAGGGAAATTAGAGGTCCCACAAAATATGCAATAATCATCCTGCATACCAATGTAATATGCCCTTCTCATCAGATCTTGAGATGAAAATTGCCTGAGAAGACAAAAGTCTAAGAACTGGGGATACCATTAACACCTGGTAAGACATTTATTTTTCTCTACCTTCCAAGACCAGTGTCCTCACCTCATTTTGACTTTTAGCTATTCTAGTCAATATCAAGCTTCAATTCTGAACCTTAGCTTGAGCTAATATAAAAATATACACATGTTAATGTCTAAAGACCAATGTCATCATTTAGGACCCATTTAGTCAGTGTAAAGTATGAACATTTTGCTAGCTTAAGACAGTCCATGTATGATCATTCCAGGAACAATCATTCTAATGAAATATAGATTGAAGACTGGTCCCTGAATTAAGTTGCAATCAGCAATTCACAAACTTACTCGAGCACATTATCTATTACTGGGAAGCAATAAGAAAGACAAGCTTCAGGGACTTTAGTCTAAATAAAATGATGTTTATACTGGCAAGAATAAACAATTCTAATGAATATGCTAATAGTCATTCCTTATTTACAGACTTTAGTACTCTAAACTTGACCTACTGCTATATACACACAGACACAAGATGATGTACCTTATGTATCTTACTAAGACAAGAGCAGAAAGAAGGTAGAGGGACCCTAATTCTCCAAACTACTAGGACTCAATGTTAAATAAAGGGAGAAAAAAAAAATCACAAACACCTCCTATTCATTTACGCTGGATATGGAAGAGATAGGCTGCCCAGCCAATATGTCAATTATCAGTGAATTACACAGTAATGTGGTTCAAAGAAAATTTTAGTTCTTACAACTTAATGTTAATTTGAAAAATCCAAGATCTTATTACTTTCCCAAACACCAAAAGGTTGTCCCAAAGGAAGAACAGTTCCTTTGAAAAAACAGGACAAAACATTGACAACCATTTGTCCAGACACATCTGAACAAACCATGAGTCCAGATTTGGAGACCTGGTTTCTGTTCTTCCCAAAAGAGACTTCATAACCTTGGACATGTCGCAGCCTCAACTTCCAAACAAGAAAATGATGAGCTCTATCTATTTGGCCCCCAAATTATAAACCTCAAGAATAAAATTGAGAAAAAAATTCTACAAGGCACTCTAAGCTCTTCAGAAATACATGCTATTCATACATAAATTATTTTTTCATTTACAGACTCAGTCCTTCAGAAAGCCTCCTGATCATGGGAAGACACTATGCTACCTGACAATTTCTAAAATTAACTTTGGACTAATCAAGTCCATCATAATGAAACTAGTTTATAGACTACAAAAAAATTAAAAAGACTGAGTTTTGATTCAAAATCTACAAAAGTATTTATGAAAGTAATTTCCCTAAATACAAGCCTAGTAAAATCATGCAATCTAAAAAGTATCAGAGATTAAAGAAGGTCAAAGAAAGTACATACATAATTTGCTTCCTTCATCTTTCATGGAGGACAAAGGACAGTGTTGAGCATACGAAGACACAGAAGTACGTAATCTGTAGAGCTTTTCTCTAACATCTTTTGTACCCTGTACCCACTAGCTGCAAGTGGGTGCCAAGCCATGTCAAGTTAGAGTCCTATAATTACACAGTCCTGTAATACCCTCCACAAGACACACTACTAACCCCAAAAGTTCTTGTTTGGCACCTCTCAAACATGCTATCCATCCTACAGAAAGACTATATTGACAACCTAACAACAGCAAAGTATGCACTGAGTTTTCTGTTACCGACGGCCAGTTTGCACTGAAACATCCTTATGCTCTAAGTCACTACAACAAAAATGTAGAGGCTGTGTACAGATGGAAAGTCTTTTGAGGAAAAAAAAAATCAGGGAAAAACTTATCAAGGATGCAATAAGATATCAGAATTAAATTTTCCCTCTAAAAATTCAACCTTGATATATCATGATCTAATCAAGTAGAGCAATCCAGCACACAAAGGCAGCGTCAATTTTTCTTCAGGTTTCTGGACATATCTTCCAACTGGATCCACCTAGGAAGGCATTTGGCTAATAATTTTTCCAAATAACAAGAATAAAGCTAGAAAATTAGCAGAATATATGAGTAATCATCTGATTAGCATAAGTTAATCAAACACTGCTTAGGGGGCTGGTCATTTCCAAACTATATAAACAACCTTAATATGATCAATAAATATGGGGATCATCAGCAACATTTACTTCATTTTCTCCCCCATAATCATTTAACAACACAATCATGACATGTAACTTTACAGGCAGACTTGTTGGTCATTTCAGTATGGTTCACTTAAACTTGAAAGTAGAAAGAAAAAAAAAAAGGAACTGGAACAAAGTTTTTCCCTAACATTCCATATACTGGTGGTACAAAAATACCTACAGGAAAACATTCTTTCTTTGGGAAATCAGAATCCGTAGGCTCATGCTAACAAAATGAACCTGGCAAATGAACTTGTCCTGAAACAAGTATCACACAAGCACATTCGATTTTCAGTACATAACTGATTGTACAATGTCTAAGAAATAAGTTTTTCTTAATGGTAGGAGGGATTACAGAGACAGAAAAAAAAATTTAGAAATGAGCAAATCTTCTACTTCAGGGTAAGGTCTGCCAAGACTTGGCAGTGCAGACAGTATACCTTAATTCATGGTAACTTAACATATATTCTGCTCTAAGTGCTCTGTGAGAATAATTGGTCTCTTCTTACTTTGGTATGCAAAATTTAAAACCACATTTGCACAATTCAGTCTGTTAGGTTTGGCTTCACTTAAGTTGAAGATTTACTTTAATCCATCTCTGGGAAAATAAAGTCTTGTAATTAGATGATTTTCTGCTAAGTAAAATTTGGCTAAAACCTACAGCGTAAACAATGCCTGAGAGATGCACAGTTACATAACTTTTTTCCCCAAAGACCAGTCAGTATTGTCTTAAGTTAGTGTCTCACCATATCCTTAAGTTCATAAGGAGAAATAAACAAACATGAAAATTCCAAGTGAACACACAGCAAAAAGTCCAATATTTAGTATTACTTTAACTTGCCGAGTCTCTTCTAGCATCTGTAAACAAACAGCCTCCTCTTCCATCAGGTCTCTGAGACTCCTCTTGCTGAGGCTCTTACTTTTAAAGCCACAAAACCAGTCTATGAACTTCCAGTACCGACCTCCATCATCCGTTTCTTTCTTTCTCTCTTTCTCACCCATGAGAGCTGCTTGCCCATTGGAGTAAGCGTCAACTGGTGTTTCTGCCTCTGAATGACCTAAGGATGCCACTGGGTTGCCCTCCTCTCTGCAGGTTACCAACAGATTAACATCTTCAGGCTGAAGGCCCTTAATGCTGTCTTCAGATTTCCCGTTGGGAATGATGTGGTTGATGGTCTCATTATTCTCACTGCATCTCAGAATGCTCTTTTCTTGCATTTTGTATGGTTCCTCTTTTGGGGAGCAGTTCTCCTTCACCACCAGGTTCTTCTTAGACCAAAAGGTGGTGGTTCGAATCTGTTCCTTTGTGGGAGGTGGTGTGAGAAGGCTCACAATTACAGTAATGAGTCCCGTGACCCAAAACAATCC
Source organism: Homo sapiens (assembly GCF_000001405.40). Lineage (NCBI taxonomy): Eukaryota > Metazoa > Chordata > Mammalia > Primates > Hominidae > Homo > Homo sapiens. The sequence goes on along the minus strand of NC_000021.9, from coordinate 34,096,746 downwards.
TGTGGCCACATACATATAATGGATGTCTTTGATGAAGCCCGGCCTATTATCAGGTTGGTCACATTCTGGGGCACGGTAGGCAAAGGCCAGTATCAAACGGACTGCTCCAAGAACAAAGCCAGCCATTCCACCATAGAAAGCCCCTTGTTCATTGCAGCGCTTCCAGAAAATTGCCAGCAGGAACAAGGCTGCCACTGGGGGTGTCAGGTAATCTGCTACCTCCTGAATGTAAAGGTACATCTGGCCTCCTTGCATCTCCACGATGATTGGCACCCATGCTATGCTGATCACCACCATAAATGCCACAAATATCCTCCCCACAATCATTAACTCCCGGGAGCTTGCGCTCTTGCGGATAAGTTTGTACACATCGAGGGTGAATATGGTACTGGCACTGTTAAAGATAGAGTCTAAGTCACTCATCAGAGCTGCAATCATCACTGCCATCATTAAACCCCGAAGGCCCACAGGAACCAGCTTCATCACCAGGCGTGGGTAAGCAATATTGGAGCAACCAGCTCTGCTTCCACACACCAGCATGCAGTGCTCTGGGTTGATGCAAGCTATATCATCAGTAAACAGTATCCTGGAAATCATTCCTGGGACAACTATGATAAACATTGGCAGGAGCTTTAAGAAGCCAGCCATAAGAGTAGAGCCTTTGGCATGAGCAATGTTTTTGGCTGCAAGGACCCTCTGCACGATGACTTGGTCAGCACACCAGTACCATACTGAAGCTGGGGTCTGCCCAAGAATGAATCCAGGCCAAGGAACATCTTCATCTGTTGGATTCCGCAGCATTTTCAGGGCTTCTTTCTTAGGGGAGACATTACAAGAATTTGTGTTGGAAAGGTTGTATGTCAATAAGATGGAAGTGACATCGGGTGAGGCCAACATGTACCTTCTCTTAACTTCCTCAAACCCGCCAATCTCCATTATGCTAATAATCATAAGTGTAAGTGCCCCAATGATCATGAGCAGAGCCTGCAGAGTGTCTGTGTAGATCACTGCAACAAGGCCTCCGGTGACAGTCAGCAAAGCAGTCATGCCAATGAGCAGGATGACAGACACATAAAGATTCCAACCCAAAGACTCCTGGATAAAAAGGGCACCCGAATACAGATCCACCGAGAGCTTGGTGAAAATATAGAGAATCAGAGACAAGGCTGCAAAATAGACCTGAATCCTATGGCCACCAAATCGCTTGGACAAGTATTCAGGCATGGTATATACCCCTGACCGGATGTAAATTGGGATGAAAACCCATCCCAGAAGTTGTAAAAGCAGTAAGGCATTGAATTCCCATGCGCCCACTGCAAATCCACTTGCAGCTCCAGATCCTGCCAGCCCAATGAAGTGCTCACTCCCAATATTGCTCACAAACAGAGAGGCACCAATTGCTACCCAGGTCATAGAGCGCCCCGCCAGGAAGTATCCACTCACGGTGCTTCTATTAGATTTCCACATGGCAAAAAAACCAATGCACATGACCAGGATAAAATACAGGGCCACTATGGCAATGTCTGCTGTGTCCAGTACAGCTCTCATTCTGGTAACTTGTGAATAATAGCGCTCCAATGACAGAAGTGTCCAACTTTTTATTTATTTTTAGTAACCCCAGCCAAGTCTGTAAACCATACGTGAACTGGACTACACAGAGCAACACAGCAGGGTCAAAGTCTTTGTCCTTTGGTTTGCTGTCTTGATGGTGGTGGTTGTGATAAACTTTGAAGAAGACAGTTTAAATTTTCCGCTTCTTAATTGGGATTGAGAACTTAGCTCGTACTCTTAATCCACTCTCCACAAGACCATCAGCATTTACTCAGGTGCTGGAGGAGAAATTCTGAGTTGCAGCTAAGTCTAGTGAAGCCTACTGTACCAACCCTGCAAGGCAGCAGAGACAAAAGACAAAGATTGAAGTAGAGGAGGTCTCGCCACGTGATGAGGAAACTTTCAGTCTAGCAAACCCGGCGCAACGAGACATTCTTTATTGGAAGAAAAAAAATTTTTTTAATACACTTCAGTTCCACAGGAAAGAGCAATCTATATGATCACAGCTGATACTTTTGTCAGTGAGAATATTATCATTTTGAGCTGAGGACAGAAATTCATCTACCTCATAACTAAGTGGCCTAACTTCAGCAGCTAACTGCCTACCACAGCATTGCCCTTTCTTGTCTTACTGTGGTATGCTCAGATTAGGACAGGCACTAAGATCTTAAAGCACCCTAAAGGGGAGAAAACACTAATTATATTCGTAATAAGGGCACAAAAATGAAATCTTAAAATACTATGAATCCTAAGAGAGTTTGGGGGTAACTTTATGGCCAGTTAGGGTCCTGGATGGAACAGGCAGGTGGTGTTTACTAGATGTTATCATCTACCCTCAGAAAATTTAAATACAGAAAACCAAGTACTGCCTAGTCTCTGGAAATGTATTGTTATAAAGCTTCTTAAACTCCAGTAAATGGATATAGTTGTCATACAGTAACCTAGATCTTGTGAGACGCCCCCTGCCCTAATGGGAAACACGACATTCCACACAAAACTAAAAATATCCAACTTACAAAACAACTCAAAAATTGTATTATTTCTGCCAGTTAGAAGATGCTGCAAGAAGATAAAAAGCAAACTTTAAAAGAAGCAATTTCCTTCTCTTCCTTTTCATCAGGCAGTATTTCCAAAACAACCTCTGAGAGGATAACGGCACTGACTAAAGGCGTGATTTTATGTTTTCCTTTTAATGCTTTTTGTTGAAGGGTATAAGAAGCAGAGAAAAGAGGGAGGAGGAGAAAAGTTTTCAGAAGACTAAAAAATGATTTATTATTATGTCCGCCAAACCTCAACAAAACAGACATTTGTGGACCATTAGATAAATCTTCAGTAGGACCATCAGGAATTTTTCAGTTCTGGATTAAGATAATCACTCTGCAAAACAGACATTTAAATATACCTAAAATTAAATGTATTAAAATTTGACGGCTTCTCTCCTGAAAAAGAGACAAATACTAAATTTTCAGTTAATTGTAATTGCAGCTGACAGATCAATACGAACAACAATTTTATTCAACCTAATGCCTTCCACACATTAACTTCTAAATGATTTCTCCTTTTCCAATAAGGCAACCTCAGAGAAGAATGTTTTTCCATGCTTTTTCTGATGATTCTAGGCATTTTCCTTTTAAGTCCTATAAATTATACTAAAGCTACCTCTTCTCAAAACCGTTCAAAACAGACCACAGTATTAGAAACTTTACAACACACTTCTCACTGACAAAAGGAGCTAAACATAATGCCTAGAGACTACTGCCCTACAAAATTAGGTTCTTAGGTCTAATGCAGAAAAAACTGCCTGGATAGAAATGTCTCAATCCCATCTGCGTGCCTTTTTAAAGCATTAAGCAATACAATAATTATGCTATGAAAAGTGATTTAAATCCTTTCTAAGTGTCAACGGCTGGCATAAATAAGATTGATTGCCAGAGAAAAGCAAAAAAAAAAAAAAAAATCTTAAAAGTTGAGGTTTGTATCACTTCATACCTGCCAAATCCTGAAGATGATCATATTTCTATGACCACCTTCCCCACCCCCAAAAGCTTCCAAGTTTTTAAACAAATGCTTTGACATTATGTAGGACGAATCATCTAAATTTTTAATAAAATCTAATCAGATGACTAGTAAACATTATTTAAAAAGGTATCGTTAAATGTTTCTGCATAAGGGAAGCTTGTCAATTACAATGAAAACTGCTGTGTCAATTACAATGAAAACTGCTGTTCGCAGTTATGAAACCCTGCCTCCAGGGCTCTCTGCTACCCAACAGCCATCCAAGTCATCCTCAGGCCACTTGTTTCAATTTTCAGAAGGCTACCTGGCTAATCAGGTATCACTCTTCCCAATGGCAGTAGCAACCACGTGCTTTCCAAAGAAGGGAGAGAAAAACACAGTGGGTATTTCTGGTTTCATCTGGCCGTTGGGGGGGAAATAGGGTGGGTTATGTGTCATAGTAGCTGCTGCAGCTTATTTGTTCAGAGAACAAAGTGCTGAAAAAGAAAACAAGCACTTCCTCAATCACTGGGAAGCACTGTTACTATCAGTAACATTGTTCTTCATTGTCAAATCTGATTTATGCAAGGTAAATATAGAAGCTATATTCTGCTGCCTGATGAATGCTCAAACTGCATGAAGTTCTCATGCTAGCCCTAACTCCTAACTTCTCTAGTAAAGTCGCTCTGCCCACAGGAGAGGTACCAAATAGTACCCTAACACTAGCTCAAGGCTGAATTCTCAACTCTCCGCCTAGGCTTCCTCATATCCTTCAAAGCCACTGCGGACAGTTCCCTTCTCACTGGATACCATACCACTCTGTGGGTCGTGTCTAGATTTTTCCAACTTAAACAAAACACATGCAGAGACCAGCACCTGGTAAAGACTGGAAAAGGAAAAACAAAACCAAAAACAGGTCAATTTGGTTTGTAGAAATATATAAAATACTATAATGCAATGCAGCTATATTTTACACTCTAGTCACAGTCACAGCCTTGAATTTCAGTCTTTCAAGAGATAAACTACATTCCTTAAAAATGGTTCTGAATATACAGTATGTTATATATATATATATGTTTTTCTTCCTTTTAAAGAAGTTAACATTTCTTCAACAAAATACAATGAGCACTGTCCAGGGTTCCCTTATTTTTATAAGAATACACATGGAAGAATCTTCAGCTAACATGAGGCTTTTTAACTTGTATTTTTATATTTATATATGCTTTTTGTCACAGTTCATCATTCACGCAAACCTCTCAAGTAAAATTATAAGACAATAAAATAGGTATAGTTATGAAAAGCATGTAGGTGGGTTCCTTGGTAGTCCATTTTTTTCTTAAAAAGCTTCTGTAATGGGAGTAATACTTGTAGAATGCAAAAAGAAACAGTCCCCTAGTGGTGATGAGCAGATTTAGCCAAACCTTGAACACAAAGGTGCTTTGAAACAGAGCAGATTCCCCTTCTTCCCAAAAGAGAAGGCATCCTTCTCAGAAAGTAGTATTTTATTGTTTTGCACAGAATTAGAATGCAGTTTTGGTTCTATTCCACGCATCTGGATAAATTAAATTGCAACTGAAGAATTAATCCAAATAGAGAAGTGTAAATATAAATATTTGCTGCATTTGACCAAATAGAAAGAGAAAAAAAGGTAAGACCAAATTTAAATAAGCACTCCTTCAGGTGATATAACCATGTTAACCAAAATGTAATTAGTTATCATGACCAGATCTCTCTAGTACTGTCTGGGTGACCATATAATTTATCTTCCAAACCAGAAACTTATTCTGGAACTATATGTAAACAGCAGGATATATGGGCACTCTATCAAAAAAATAATAAAATAAAAAACCACCTGCCACTAAAACCAAACAAGGAACAAGAAAAATTATCTCCTATACTCAGGGCTTCAAGTCATAAGTTCAATGACACAGGGCGGGGCCTGCAAAGAGTAGTACGCAATAATCTTAAACGTGACCAAACAACCACCTCTTTTAGCTTTGGAGTCAATTTACAAACCACACACTCAAGGTACAATCTGAGACGCCTAGTCCAGCACTCTGTCAATGGTAAGCTTGATGAGCCCTGCTCATCCTCTGATCCAAATGAAAAATATTCACTTAGCCAGCTAATAATTGAAGGGTTATAGAACACACAGACACCTCTGAAAACTAATTACCTGAATTACAATCACTTTTGTGTAACCTACCAAAAACAAAAAACATGGGCATACCCAAGCTTGTTTTCTCCCCACCCCAACAGACAGATTTCATGATTCTGTAAGAAGGGAGGTGGGTGTAGGTACCACATCTATGTAGGTGGCACGGTACAGAAGAAAACAGCACAGTTTTTAAGGGCTGGGTTCCATGCTCCGTCACTTCCTAACTGTAGGATCTCAGGCAACAACTTCATCTCTATGAGCCTCAACAAGTCTCAACTGTCTGGCTTTTAAAATGAAACCAACTTGCTCCTTATGATTTATAAGGAATAAGTAACAGAGAAAGCTAGTATTGCCCAGTGCAATGGGGAGGTGGCTCAGTAAATGTCAGTTTACTCCCTACAACCTGAATATACTAGAAGTGATATTAGTTCCTTTCAAATTAAACTGTCAACTATGTGCAAGGCATATTAGGATTTTCCCAAGTTATTTATATATAGAAAGATTAGATAAAATAATGCATTAAAGATGCAGCTCTCTCAAACATTTTAGACTCCCAACTGTCTCATCAACTATTAGCTCCTACTTAAATCACTTCAAGTAAAATACAAAAAGAAAAAATGTATATAAAATTCTTAAGACTTTACATACATGCTTTCACTTTTGTCACCTTGACTCAAGTTCTAGGAAAGCAAATTCCTGTGGTGGAATAGACTACTAACGCTTGATGCAGAGTGTATGTGTACTCACATAGGACTGTCCTCAACCCCTGCTTACTTTAAAAATGTGGAGCAAGGATACTGTAGCGGTTCATCAGTAACACAAAGAGCAAAACAGGTTTTCCTAATATAACTGGCCTGAACTCCAGCCAGTTTTAAATTGTAAGTGGAGCTAAAGACAACACTACAGATTAAGTATCCCTAATGCAAAAATACAAAATCTGAAATGCTCCTCCCAAATCCAAAACTTTTTGAGAACTGACATGATGCTCAAAGGAAATGCTCACTGGAGCATTTTGGGTTTGGGATGTTCAGATATGGGATGCTCAGCCACCAAGTAATATGCAATATCCCACAATCCAAAACACTTCTGGTCCCAAGCATTTAAGATACGGGATATTCAACCTGTACCGTAATGTTTTAACCATCCCTAAAATATAAAGAATTTGCCCTTAAATCTTTTTGACAAAACATTTCTATTAAACTTGCACCCTCAAGTTTTTAAAAGTTATTAATTATACAAAACCCTGATTGGACTCAAATGGTGCTGAAGCTGTATTCTGATGGGTGAAGTTGAGGCAGAGTAGGGAGGGACTGCGGCCCTCCTCCCAACCCTCTACCACCAGAACAGCTCTACTTTTATCAGTTTCTCCCGGGACAGGAGTGGGGAGGGGTTAAGAATGGATAATTTCCAAAGTAAACCATTTCCTCAAATAAAATCTTATTCACCTAGAAAAGTTCATAAACCACCAGATTTACTTCATCCATATACACTCCGCCCAAGATATATTCATTTTAACCTGATTCTACCAATAAGTTTGGCTCATCATGAATTTTTTTATAGAAATCTCAGAGAAATAAGACCTTGTAGATATGGCAGTCAGGGAGGGAAGAACAACTATGAAACTACTACTGGTTTTAACTTTTATGTGAATGATACTAGATCACATATAGGAGCAAACTCCCAACAACCCATTTTGTTAAAGATAAATGAAAACATGAAATAACAGGCTGGGCGTGGTGACTCACACCTGTAATCCCAGCACTTTGGGAGGCCAAGGCGGGTGGATCACTTGAGGCCAGGAGTTCGAGACCTGCCTGGCCAAACCTCATCTCTAAAAAAACACAAAAATCAGCCAGGTGTGGTAGCACACGCCTGTAATCCCAGCTACTCAGGAGGCTGTGGCAAGAGGATCGCTTGAACCCAGAGAGGTGGAGGTTGCAGTGAGCCGAGATCACACCTCTGCACTCCAGCCTGGGCAACAGAGCGAGACTGTCTCAAAAAGAAAAGGAAATATGAAATAACAGAGCAGCAATGCCTATTACTATGTAATCTTAACCAAACATTTGTGTAACTCAATAAGAATTCAAGAGGCTCAACACTATCTGCTTGTAAAAGACTGTTTATCAAAGATAAGTGAGTTATAAATAATGGAAATTTAAAAAAAAAAAAAAATCTTACACTAACCTAAGTCCTAACACCATCTAGGTACTGTGTCTAGTTTTATGTGCATTACTTTAATCCTTATAACAATCATGAGATAAGTACAATTATTATGACCATTTTACAGATGAGAAAACTGAAGCCATGAGGTAGTATAACTCACCCCAGGCCACAGCTGTCTGTGTTACAGCCAGGATGTTGCCTCACATCTATATGTCTAAACAGCTTTTGCCCTTAATCACTATGCAATACTACCTTCAGTGAAAAGGACATTACTGACAGGAAGAAACATTAACGATATTGATAAAAGATCATGCGTGTTTAAAAAGTTGTGCTTGAAAATACACAAGATGGATATGTAACAACTGTTAACAAAGTAAGACTGCAAACAGCACGTAAGATAAAAACCAGTTGAAATCTTTGTGTGATCATGTGAATGGATGTGTATGGATAAAATGCAGAGATTAAAAGTAAAAAGAAGTCCCAGGCATAGGCTTCACATACAGCAAAGCCCTGATGGGTCAGCTGTAAGACCAGACGTATCTATGTTCTCACCATCCAAGTTCAACGCTTTCTGCCTTCATTCTTTTTATCAGTGTTAATTAGTCATTCCACCAGAAGGGGAAAAATAGTAAGTCTTAAGTGTATTCTATACTTGACCCAGTCATCACAGCTATAGATTCTATCTAAGCCAATCTTTATCAACTCCCACAACTTTAAAACATTAAGTTAAAGGAATTAGCTGTACAATCTACAAATGCAAGGGTTCTCACAGTAAAATTTATGGACAACTGCTCTTAATGGATGAAGTGTTGTAGTTGCCTGTTGTTCCGGGGTATGAATAATTTGCTCTTGCCCAAAAAATGTGTTCTACTCTCAATCCTCCCCATCTCAGAACAGCAACTTCATCCTCACTATTGCTCAGTCCAAAAATTTTAGTCATCCTTGACTGCTCACTTTCTCCCTCAACCCACATGCAATCAATCCATCAGCAAAGCCTGTTGGCGATACTTAAAATATATCCAGAATCAAAGACAACTACTAGCACCTTAGTTCAAATCACCATTCCATCTCATCCAGATCACTGTCCCAGCCTCTTGTCTCCATGCTTCTGCCCTTGGCCCACTACAGGGCACTAGCACAGCAAGCAGTCAACCCTTTCATCACAATGGACCAAACTAGCCTCTGGGACTGGCTATTTCCTATGCAGGCAACACTTTGTAACCCCAGGTTTCCACAAGACCTGTCTCCTCTCCTTTTACGTCTTTGCACAAAAGTAACTTCCCTGACCATCTCAATGCCTCCCTTCCAACTTTGTATTTATCCATAGTACTCAACACCTAACACGCTATAAAACTTAAACGTTTCTTCTGTCTCCTCACTACCATGTATGTAAACTCCATGAGGGTAGAATTTTCTGTGTTGTTCCCTGATGTGTCCTAGTGTCCAGAACACCATCTTACATATTACAGGTGCTCAAATGTTTGTTAAATAAAAAAATCAAATATTAACAACTAAGTTCTTCGCCATCAAGACTGCTAAACTTCCAATATCCTATATTACCATCAACAGTGGTTTTTTAAGCAACAAGAGATGCAGATTAAAGAGGCTAAAGGGAAAAAGAGCCTCCTCCCTCCTCCACCAGTGATCTGCAATCTCAAATAGCTCCAGTTGAGGGTATGTGTAATGACAAGGCAAACTGGACTAGACAAATATGTTCATTCAGATAAAAATCTCAGTGGCCCATGACATAGTAAAAACCTGTATCTGGAGCCACCATCTCCCTCAACCTACCACCTACCACCAGTCTGGCCCACTTCCCTTCACTGTGCTAACTCCACTGCGGAACGTGTTTCAAGTTTTACTGCTGCAACTGTCGACATCCACCTCTTAGTGTGCAGTGATATGTGCAGACCTTCCCTGTGCGTGTCTGTCTGGCAACTGTTCCCACACAGCTGAAAGAGCAGGTCAGTGCCGGCAAGCAACAATTCCCTTCAGCTCACCCAACAGAAACCCAAGCACCCTGATGTCAACTCATGAAGAATCCTCTTCCACCTCTCCATTACAACTTGAGTTCAGAGTTCCCACAAAACTAAAGAAGTTACCTTAGTAACTAGCATTTACCAAACACCATGTGCCAACCACTATTTTTACACTACATGTTTGAGCTCATCTAATCCTAACAAAAACCCCAAGAGGCAGACATGATAATGATCCCCAATTTACAAATGAGAAAACTGAGGACATTTGAGAGGATCACTAAGGGAGTTCATGAACATCCTTTCTGAAATAAAGATGAAGAACGCATCCTTTTACAACACCTTTCAGGAAGATACACACACACACACACACACACACACACACAAACACAAACTAGAAATAAACACAAGTCAGATAAAATCCAGCTAACTGATGCAAAAGGACTAATGTAATGAGAAAAATCACCACCGGTAAGCCCTGAAGTAATGCACCCAGGCTATGAGTACAGGGATGCTACAATTTTCAGGAGAAAGGCTGCTGGGGGACTTCAAAATGGACGCATGCAGCTGCTAACATCTGTACCCACACCAAGAATTAATCTTTTCTCTAAAATGCAGACATGTGTCCCTCTTGATGTGATCTATCCCTCCCAAGACCACTTAAGTGCTCTTACAAAACAAAACAAAACAAAACCTGAATCTAATCAAATTTCTAGAACCTATGGGTCTACAGAAATTACCTGGAATAGAAGAATATATATAAACAGCATAAGTGACCAGCCAAATCCGGAAAGGTAAAGAGTGGGGTAAGAAGCTATTACAGAGTAAGAGACTTAAGGTCATTAAGCAAACATAATTTGTGGACCTTGTTTAGATTCAGAGTCAACCAGAACTGTAGACAGACACTTTTGACAATTCAGGGAATTTGAACATGAACATGAGGTGTTAAGGAATTGTAGTTAGGTGTAAAGGCACTACGGTTGTTTAAAAGTCCTTATTTCTGGCCGGGCGCAGTGGCTCACACCTGTAATCCCAGCACTTTGGGAGGCCGAGGCGGGTGAATCACGAGGTCAGGACATCAAGACCACCCTAGCTAACACGGTGAAACCCCGTCTCTACTAAAACTACAAAAAATTAGCTGGGTGCGGTGGCGGGCGCCTGTAGTCCCAGTCCCAGCTGGGGCTGAGGCAGGAGAATGGCGTGAAACCCGGGAGGCAGAGCTTGCAGTGAGCCGAGATCACGCCACTGGCACTCCAGCTTGGGCGAAAGAGCGAGACTCAGTCTCAAAAAAAAAAAAAAAAAAGTCCTTATTTCTTATACACTAATTACTTACAGGTGAAATGATATATCTAAGTTTGCTTTAAAGTACTCCTGCAATAACTGATTCAGTCACCAACAGATGCTAAAACCAATGCAGATTGTTGGAAAACAAAATATTCAGTCTCAAGTTTGTTATTCCATAGATCACTTAATACAAAAGGGAAATAGGGTACATTTACAATGGCCCATTCTGGTGAATGCCACCTAACCAAATGACTGCTTAACAAAGTGGTATGCCTCCCGGTGTGATGCATTGACATCCCTATGAAATACTCATTCCTGTCAACAATGGCTAATCTAACTCTAATCATGAAAACGCAACTACAGTCAACTCCAAAGTGAGGGTTTCTGCAAAACAGTAGGCCTGGACTCCAAAACTCCTCAAAGTGCCACTGTTATTAATGACAAAGGCTTTGGAACTGTTCAAGGAGACTAAACAAGTAAATATATGATCCTTGATTGAATACTGAATTAAAACACTAAAAACTATTACTGGAAGAACAGCGTAAATTTCTATATGAATTGAATATTTGGTGGTAGTATCGTATCAATGTCCGTTTTGAATGTGATGACTATGTTGTGGTTAGGAGGAAGGCCCTTATTCCTAAGAAAGGTATGTCAAGATGTCTGCAACTCTCAAAATAACGCAGATTAAAAAAAGATAAAATAAGGCATATTCTAACAATTAGTGATCTAGGCAAAAATCATACAAGTGTTAAATGAACTGCTCTTTAAGTCTGAAATTTTTTTAGTCATGTTAGCCAAGGGAAATTAATGAAAAAAATTTTAAGATAAAGAAAACAGAGGTGAGCAGACTGGAAATTAACAGTTGAAGCTGAGTGATAGGTACAATACAAAATTTCATTAAACTACTGTATTTACCATTACGTATGACCAAGTCTGTGTTTTAATTCTTCAGTTTTTCCATTTGTAAAATGGAAATAGCTCTACCTAACCTTAGATGGCTGAGGATTCAAGAGAATTGTACATATGTGTGTGTGTATAATATGTAGGTGTGTATATATATCCTAAATACATATACACACCTACATAACCCCTGCACCCCTACTTCAATCCATTGCTAAGGTTAGGCATTATTATCAACTCATCTAGCCTCCCTCAAAGGCTAGCAACTATGAGGTTTATAGAGGTAAAACATCCTACCAGGTCAACTTTGTGTTTTTTTTCTGTTCTCAGTCTACTTGGTTCCAATTTTATGTTTCTAGAAAAAAACTGTTTCTAGAAGGAAATCGCTTCTGCTCATCTTTCCATGTGACTAAGGCAGAAAACCTAAGCACAAGCACCTTCCTGGTAGACCAGATTATAATTCTCCAGGCCAAGTTATAAATAGAAGATTCAGAAATTAGGGTATTTCCTCTGAAAGATACTTTTCAGTTGGAAAACTTTAAAACCTTCTAATTTTCTCCAAGGTTTGGAGAATATAACACTCAAGAAGTAAGAAGTAAGACCACAAAAAGAGTAACTTTAACAGTATTTGGAGGGACTGGTAGAAATTACGCCCTGAATTAAACCTAAGAAATAAAAACAGAAACATGGTATTCTAGATTATAAAGGCAGCTGGATTTTCCTCTTGCATTGCAAACACAGGACAAGTAGAGGGATAGAAAAATCCAGGGAAATAGGGTCACGACTGTTTTCTTTGTATGCCAGATGACAAGAAATCTTGAAATTATCAATAGTTTCCAATGAGTCCATCCTAATCAGATAAAATACTCAAGACAGTGACATTAGGAAAAATGTTTTCTTCAATCTTCTTACACACACAAAATTTGCAAAATCTCCTGGCCCTTACTTAGTCCACACATGAGAATGGCATTCCCATGAGACCAACAGTGCTACCAAAGTCTGCGAGACTTAGGCTGCCTAATGGAAACTTGGTGTCTTAAAGCTTCAAGATACTATACTTCATACAACTGTTTTCTCATATGACTATTAACAAAACAGAAGGCAAGCAGTACACCAACAGAAGAATGGCAATCAAAACAACCCATGACTGGGTCATTTGCTTACTTAACAGTGTCAAGCAGTTAAAAAACAAAACCACACACTTCAGTACCATACACCTTTCCTACAACATGCCTGACAGAGCCTACACTCAAATTTAGCTTTTCAACTGAGCAACAGAAATTCACCTTAAATCTGAATCAAAACCAGACTGAACAGATGTTTTATATTCGGAATTCATACACGGGGCATCTGAGCACAAAATGAAAAGGGAGCAGATATCTGGAACTTACACTGATTCTGCACCTTTCTAACGGAAGCAAAGACGACACATGGATTTGCAAGAGCATCTTCCCAGCAGCTGAAATGCAACCACAACACTGCACTTCTGATCACCACAATGAGAATTTTCTCAAACTGGATTATATCCACAGCAACCCGGCTACCATAACTGCACTTGGTTTCTTCACCTGACAAAATTAAAGCACTTAACCACTCCAGGGTAGGTGTTACAGAGAAACTTTTAAAAACTCAAGTCAAAACAAAGACAAAACCAGGAATTCTCGATTCTGGGGCAGAAGCAGAAAAATGCCAGTTTATGAGGATTGAGGGCTCCAATAAAGAAAGTTTTGCTAAGTCTGTGCTTTCACTTGCAATTTCATTTTTAAGCTTTCATCTACACCAACCTCTACTGAGGTATGCCCAAAGTGGACAGAAATTACCTTACCTGGGACTGTAATCATAGTAAAAATGATTGCAAGGGGAAGCAAAACAAGTCAATTACACCTTGGGCCAAAACGTACGTAAGAACAACCTGGGATCTGAGTTCGTTTTATTTGCAATTTGATGTTATCTATCTGGAGTGGGAGTGAAAAAAAAGACAAAAAAAGAAGGTTAGTCAAGGTAATAACTTGGCTTCTATTTTATGGAAACACAAAGCCTGGTCAAAAATAAAAATGTCATCACCTCCCTCCTCTATAATCTTTACCAAGAGAGCACCTGAATTTTTTTCATGGTAATACTATTTTCCAGGGATCATGGGTAAACTATTTTTAATTCCACAGATACACTCTGAGCAAAAAAAAATATTTTCTAGGCAAAGCAATCTTTGCATGCCAGTAGTATTTCAAACACCTAAGAGGTTAATACAACGGGTACAAACCAAATAGTACTAATACATGCCTAAAACAAGATATCACTCAGACATTGAAAGAAAAAGTGGACTGTGAATGTCACTCCCTCACAGTTTACACGGTGCAGCTCTGAAGCCTACATGTATATTTTAGCCTAAATGCACATATACAACCCAACAATCCGAAACTATAGATACTTTCAAGAATTGAATATGCCTGCCATTGCTGAAATCAGTCCTACTGCAAACCAGTGACCAATTAACAAGGTGGGCTTTGTCAACATAAATGCTAAGAGATTTACAGACAACCTACAGCTAATTATCTGAATATCTAGATTACAAAATGAGAGCCAACCTAACCCACAGATACATTACATTTGATCCATGGTACCTAAGTATTCAATTAGTTGGCAACATCAAAAAAAAAAAAACCAGATTTCCTATAAAATCTGGATTTCTGGCTGGTAGGAGGAAGAGAGAAAAAAAAAGCTGGCAAAACCAGGCCCACACCCCTCATGGCAATAATAGATGGGAGCAGAGTAGTAAGCACCAACACCACTAATTCAAACATTTACTTAACAAGAACTGTATTTCAGCTTTGATCTAGTTTGGGATTCTGATGAAATAAACTTAGATATAATAAGTTTTATCTTTTAGAGTTTCTTCATTAATAAACTGGGAATAATGAAAAACTAGGCAATGAAGTTCACAGCGACTTGCCTAAGACCACAAAGCTACTTTAATGACAGAACTACACTTAACTACCTCCAAGGTCACATAACCACTTTATCTTCAAATACCCTCCCAAATGAATTACTTCCATTTTACAAAGAAGGAACTGAGGATCCAGAAGGTTAAAGTCCTTAGGAAGTAGGTGCTACAATCCAAAACCCAGTCCCATCTGCCTCTAAAGCTCCTTCTAGTCTCCCAATGCCAGTCTTTGTTTATTCTATGGTAACACATCCAGTATCTTCATTTCAGATCTTACAAGGTTTTTCTACTCATTTATAATAGAAAACAAAAAAATCAGCATTTTTCTATAAAGCAGAAGCCTTCATACCCAAAGCCATATCCAGTCATAAAACTATATATACGTACCTTAAGTATTTTATTAAGTATTTTATTCAACACATAAACATACATTTATTTGCCAACCTCAATATAGGGGTCATGACAAGCACTTGGAGAATGGAATCGATGACCTGGAGTTCCCTGATGATTTGAGTTCCTTCTGCTTGATCTAAGCGACATCTACAGATGGCATTATCTACAATTTCCAGTTTCAGCTTCATTAAAGTGGAAAGTTTAAAAGATCCTTGTAAAACACTCCACATACACAATCCTCCTAGTTATTTTTCTTCCCAAACTTTGAGTTATTTCAGCCATATCTAATTCTACAGTCATTATTTTAATGACTCACCTTTTATCAAGTCTTCCCAAAGAATCCAACTTGGTTTTCAGGAAACAAAGGTTTGCACTCATTTCATCAGCTCACATGATATTTAAATTATTTTACGGAAACAAGATTACCTGTCATAAAACAGTCTTGGAAATCAACACAACTTCTGGTAACATACAACTCACCCAGCGTGAGCGAAGTGCACTGACTTGTAAGCAAACTACTAGCACGAGGTCAACACGCTGTATCATAGCAAATAACTGTTTTATAGAGATGAGAGTAGTAACCCCTCAAGGCAGCTTAGTAAGTATCTACCATATATGCAAAGCATAGCAGAACAAACATGAAAGACTCAGCTCTCAAGAATTTGTAATCTAGCAAAGGAGGTAAAACATATTCACCAATTAACTGTAATACAAAGTAGAAAGTGATCCATGTGATGGGAGACGTGATGAGATTCATGCAACCAAAGGAAAGATTAGTCTATTATACTCCTAATGTTGCAGGCCCTTGATATTTGTTTAATGTACCAAATGAGTTAAGATGAACTTGGAAGAACATGAGACTGGTTTTTCATGGAGGTGGTGGGGTATTGTGGAAAGGGAGGGTGTTCCAAACAGAAAAACAGCATGATGCCGGCACCAAAGAAAATAAAAGGTAATGGTATTTATAAGAATCTGCACAACTTTGTTTACTGGGCATATAAAATGTGGAAAAAAACTGAAAGATGAGGTTAAAAAAATAAGTTGGGAGTCATACTGAGACAGCCTTGGATGTGACTTCATCCTGCATGTATTTGAAAATGAGAAGTATGCAGTAATTTGGCAAGTGTTGATACAATCAATTAGTATGGGAATCAGAAAGCCATCACTTAATGCTTTCTACTATTTCCTTGTTATAAGTGCACCTATTTAGGTGTTTTAAAGTATCTCAAGGACATATATTTGCACTACAAGCGTATTTACAGGTATTAGCTATCCTCCCCTCAGTAGTATGTCAGGAGACCAGCTAAGAAACTGCAAGAGTCCAAGGAAGAAACAAACAACATGAGCAGTTCAACTAGGGCAGAGAAGACTATATGGCATTGAGACTGCAGGAAAAGAAAGAACTGCATTTGTTCAGCCCCAGATGACAGAAGACAGAGAAGCGATAAACAGAAATAAGCAATAACAGAGGCAACTTTGGGGATAGGCAACACATTAAGTTCTTAACCACACTGAGTTTGCAGTGCCAAGGGGATACCCAGGAGGCCATAACCAGCACAGAAGAGAACAGAAAATGCCAGAGTTGTCAGCTTGTTAAAAAAGGTGGCAAATCATCCACATGAAGGTTAATGGAATTGTACATAAAGAGAAGAGGGCCTGTAATCCCAGCACTTTGGGAGACCAAAGCGGGCAGATCACGAGGTCAGATTGAGACCATCCTGGCCAACATGGTGAAACCCCATCTCTACTAAAAAAAAAAAAAAAAAAAAAAAAAAAAAAATTAGCTGGGTCTGGTGGCGCATGCCTGTAATCCCAGCTACTTGGGAGGCTGAGACATGAGAATCGCTTGAACCCAGGAGGCAGAGGTTGCAGTGAGCCGAGATCGTGCCACTGCACTCCAGCCTAGGCAACACAGCAAGACTCTGTCTCAAAAAAACAGAAAGAAGAAGAAGGGAGAAATCAAGGGAGTAACATCAGAAAACAGCAGCATAAGAAGCCAAGAAAAATGATGCACCTAGAAAATTGTGTCTATATACTCTAAATCAGGGGCTGGCACATTTCTTCTGTAAAGGACTAGATAATAAATATAAACAAAAGAACAGGGTCATGTTCCAATGTAACTTTACTTATGGACTCTGAAATGTGAAAGTTTTATGAAATTCAAGTGCCATAAAGTATTGCTGTTTTTTTCCCCACCTATTCAACTGTAAAATCTTTTCCTACTTCACAAGCCACAAAAATATAGGTGACAGGTCAGATCTGGCCCGGAAGCCACAGGCTGCCAACTCTTGCTCTAATTTCAAAGCAACAAAAAGGATAAGAGGCTGAATTAACTGTCACTTTCCAAACCCAAGGGTAGTTCTTCCTTTAGACAAATTGATAACTTACCAGACATTCATTTGACTAATTCCTTAAGTAAGGATTCCCCTAAGAGGTAACTACATGTGTTGATAACACGTCTTAAAAATATTGCCTTCCACTAAAAACAGATAAACTCATGAGTATATTGGAAATTCTAACACAAAGCTAAGAACATTAAATAGGAAAAGTCTGATAATCAAATTGCAACAACTTTTTATAACATGAGTAATCACACAGTATTTTATCATTTGTTCTCTACCCTTCCTTCCACCTTCATGTTAAACCCCATTATGGTATTCCAGGTTTCTTTTAGATGAGTTAAACATGTAGTAGTACAAACACAGCAAAGGCACTAGATGAAAAATATTACTTCAGAATTTTCCCGTCATTGCTTTTGAACTCTTAATTTTTTGAAACTGATTTTATAATCTAAAAGGTTAGAAGATTCAATAGTCTGCATATAATACTAGATATAACCTAGATTTTTAAAATCTAGAAACATCAGTATTGAATGTGTGAGTCATGAATTAAGAAAAAAAATTAGTGCAAAATGTCAACTTCTGACAAGCAGTCTTCATACATACAAACCATATCTGGTGAGGAAGGACTCCTTACCCCCAAGCCATTCCTTGTACCTTAGCTGTAGCTCAGGGGCAGGAACAGGACTCCTTCCTTCTTCAATAGCTTGCTGCGGCAATAAGCTGTAACCCAAGAAAATTTAATACCAAATGAAAGTATAACATTGTTCACAGGGTCAAGTCTTCCATTACTAGGTAACTATTTTAAGTTGCCTGGTTTCAAGCAGATAAAACACAAAGAGAGATTATTAAAGATACAAGGCTAAGCTGTTTAGGGAGGGCCCATGGGAAGAAAAAAAAGACCACTTGACAGCTAGATGTTTCCGTTTGAACTGATGTCTCCCACCAACACACAGCAGAAACTTCACTATTTCCTAGTTATCAAATGCTTGCCAAGCAAACTACAAGGACCTAGGGTTGACCTGACTCATACTTCAGTTTATTAGCACCCTCCATCTCCAAAGGGTATCTAAAATACAGGCACTTCATAGGCATTACTTTCAGAACATCCTAACTTGAATAGAACTCTAGAACAAATACAAAACTTTTGCCAGGTGTTCTAATCAAAAAAGGCTTGCATTTAGAGAAAAACTCTTCATCACTCTACCAGAAAACCAACTGTTTTCTACATTTTAGGAACTGATTATACTTTTCTATATTCAAATTAAACCAAGTCAGAACTCAAACTCAGATTACACAAAACTCCTTACCCTACCAAAGTACTATTTCAATGAGTTATCTAAATGTAAAATATAATCTGCGTTGAGTATTAAACATAAAAATTACTGTTTGTTTTAATAAGAACTTAAGATTTCCAAAATAGCTATCTTCTTTATTCCTATTAGAAAAACATATGAAGATATATATATATAAATGCTATCTTATTGTACATGCAATGGAATCATTTAGCAAGTGAATTAGTTATTAAGCCATTAACCTTTAATTCTTCATGTAAAAATTCCTGAACGCCAATGAGAAGATTTCAGGAAAAGTATTATCCCAGGGCTTTCATAATCTATGCCAACTGTGAACACCTTCTGGGAAAAGGGCACGAGACGTAATTAGCGTTCCTAAAGTAACCACAAAATACTTATGTATTGCACAGATTTCTTTCCTCAGATTTCTTCTTCCTGTATACCCAAGGCATAAAAAGTGTCTACAAAGTTTCATTTTTTTCCTAAGCTCCTCTACATTATACAGTATGCGGCTTTACCATTCATGTATTGGCACTTCAGTCTTTTACCTAACTGAAATACCAACCTTTAAAATCTAATTATCAAGTGAAACCAAAGGGCTTCAACCATTTTCCCACTCACAAGAGAGCTCACTCACCAAACACATGACCCCTTCTCCTCATCTACCTCAAAGTTCTCATTGCAGGGGGGGCAGGGTGGAGGTGGATATAGACCTCACCATCTCACAGGCAATCCATTTCTTTTTCCATTGTCAGAGGTCTTCCTCACACTGAAATGAGGCTACCTGGGACTGCAGCCTTGGTCTCTCCTTTGCGGCTATGTCCTTTCACATTACAGCCTTTGAATACTGTGTTTTCCAGAAGTGAATAAAACTCTCTTGATGCTATCTGATATGGGTGTAACAGGACTTTTAAAATCTTTTTATTCCAGAGACTCTTCTATAAATATGAACTAAGACTGGTCTAAACAACTGGTTTTTCAAATTGCTTGTCACCTTTAAAGGCCTAGTTTCACAACATCCATTACTTTACCGTCATATTTCAGAATTTAACCACACTTTTACCTACTTTTCACGCTAAAACAGAAAATAGAAATAACTTTTTTTATATACACACTTTTTTAAAAATCAAGCTATATGGTACTTGAAAATAAATTTCTTCTTAGAAACACTAGTTAACTACATTCCTAAATGCCCAAACTTGGAAGTACAAAAGTAGATACTCATAATCAACTTCTACTTGCAAACTGAGAAAAACATAGTATTGGAATTTCTGGGTGACTAATTGTACAACTGTATAGTTCAATATGACTGACTCTACATAATACACTCTGAAATCTTTCAATGGGCATTCCCGCAACTGACTTTGCTACAATCCAGATACTGTGACAGCCAACACAGGGCCTGTATTTTAAATTTTAAAACTTTGCAAGCTCAATTTAAAGGAGTCAAGCTAGGGTCAAAAAAAAAGTAATGAGGACAGGGAGGAGTTAATATTCTCCAAACAGACTAAGAATGCTCTCCAGGCTGAGTACTGCGGAGAAAAAACAGGAGAGCAGCTCTGGGAGTCCAAAGGCTGGAAAACTATAGTTTCTTAACTTCCATATCCGCTGTTAAAGTTGCCTAACACAGCATTTTCCTCAATTCCAAGATGCACAAATGATTTGGGGAGGAAAGGAAAATACATCATATTAAAGGGGTAAAGAGGTATACACTTAAGAATCTAAAAACGTGGAAGATACGCAACTTTGAACTGAGGAGCTTCAATACCCTTCTTGCAACAGAAGCACAAAGTGCCTCGGGTTAGAACTGTGGTTTCTCCAAGGCCTGCTACCGGTGTGCAAGCTCACAGTCGCATTTTTCATTTCATAAGCCTAGAGTTAACTTTTTAAATTCGTTTCCCCCCAAACATTCATCCTATTTTAGAATCCTATTTTCCTAAACTGAAAGCAAGCAAACTGGTCTAAAACCTGGAAGTCTTTGTGTTTGTGCCACATTTACAAGCTACAGATAGGTTTTTGAACAAATAACTGAGAAGCTATTGTTTAATATTACTTTATTTAGGTCAAGGATCTCCTCAACATAACTTCGCCATTGTACATAAGTCACCACTGTTACAACCTTCTATCTACTGCCATGGGGCCTCTTTCTCCAAGAGGCAGTTCACCTTTATTATCTACTTTCTAGGGCTTTTTTTCTTTTTTTTGCCCCCCTTCCCTCATGCGAAGATTTCAAGGAAGGTTATTTATTATTTTAACCAAATTACGCTCTGTTGATCTGAACTAGAGTGAAAAATGGGTGCTCCACATCCAAAGGCTATGTTATTACAGGACATAAAAAAAAATGGTAAAAGAAATACACTTAATACTTGCAGCCATGTTAACCAAGATACTTGGCAACTATGGCAAAAACAAAGGGGAGGGCAAGTCTTCATTTCAAAGGTTTCAAAGGGTTACAGAATGAGCAAATATTATTGCCTACAGGTTGCCTCTTTCAGTGTCACCTGCTACCTCCCCAAGACAAGGAAAGTAAACAAAAGGAATTTCAGTAACGAATTTCCCAGGTTCCACATTCCCTAAAACACGTAAGTTGAAGGGAGGGCTTAAACAACTTCCACCTAATTAAAAATCTTCCCTTTTAATAATGCTTTGTTTTCACTGCTCCTATCCTTTCGGAGTTACATATGCTGGTAAGCAAGGAGGAGGGCCAAAAGGGATATTCAAGAGGCTGAACAGATACTATCTTAACTTCTTCCAAATCCATGAAGAACAAGCTGGGGGACACAATGGCATGCCTGGCCAGGCTGTCTGGACCTCATAGAGAGGCACTGGCGTCCCTTCCCAGTTAACAATATGCAAAGCACACTTCCTAACAATCTCCCGACGCTCCGTGATTGTTAGTTTATCAATTGAGCTTAAGTTCAACCAAACTTGGTAATACTCCTCGCAATTGACCTGGAGCCTAATTTCAAACGTAAAAATGCGTCCACTCCTCTAGCGCTGTAGGAAGCTGTGCTTACAAAGTTCGGACGTGGTACAATGATTTTTGTTTTATTACACCTGGTGGAGAAAAAAAAACATAACACCAAACTACGTTACCGAATTCCGAATTCACGGGAGAATGGGGATTTCGGCGACGACTTGAGGAGTACATGACCCAGGACAGAGGACGAAGTGAGCTGCCTCCGGGCCGCGGGCCCCTGTCCTTGGCCACGCCGTCACCTGAAAGGGGCCGCTGGTTCGCTTAGCATCCCTCCAAACCTGAAATCCCCTACCTCAAGATCAATCAAAAGCAGGGGGAAGAAAGTGTCTTCTGGAGGCGCAAGAAAGGCCACAACTTGGATGAATGAAACTGGGCTAAGGGCACCCGGAGCGGGATTTTCGCTGAAGTCAGAAAAAGAAAAGTCAAAAGATTTTTTTTTAACATGAGAGCGATTGCAAGAGACTGGAATACAGACAACGGCACAAACAAGCTTTGGAGGAACGCTTTATTGGGCGCGGACGTTCCGGGCGGCCGGCGGGCGCTAGAGCGGAGGCGGTCGGCGGCAGCCGGCGGGCGGCGGAGCGGGACGGACCAGGCGGCGGCGGCGGGGCCGGCGACGAGGCAGCTTCACGACTGGCGGGGACGGGCCGGAGTCGGGCTGGGCGCCCGCGCGTGTCCTCCCGCGGACCTTCCACTGGACTCCCGCGGGCCGGCGCCGGGATCGGGGTCGGGGCCCGCTCGGTCCGCCCCGCCCCCCGCCCGGCGGGCCGCTTGCGAGGCACACCCTCCCGGACCGCGCACACGCGCAGGCACACCCCCGCCTCCCGCGCGCACGCGGCCGGGCCCGGCCGGCCCACGCGCGCCCCCTTCCCGCGGACGCCCGCCGCCCGCCCGCCGCCCCGGCCTCCTCCGAGGAGTGCAGGAAGGCCCGGGGTCCCGCGGCCAGGGCGCGCGGGGGACGGCGGCCTAGCGGCAGCGGGGGCGCCCGCGCGGGAAGACCGGCTCTGAGGGAAGGTCACTTACCCGCTGCATGGCTTTCAGGATTAAAGCCAGCTCGTAGCGGGGCATGCCTGGAGGATCGGCGAGTGCGGCTCGGAAGCCAGCCGGTTCCCGGGACGCGAAGGGGCGGGACGGCGGGGACAGTGGGGACCTAGAAACTGCTGCGCCGGACGGCTCCCAGGCGGCGAAAGCACGGTCCGAGAGCGCGAGCCCGGGCTTAAAGGCGCTGGCAGCTGCGCAGACGCCGCGCCACGCCCCCTCGGCGCGCCCCGCCCCGCCCGCGCGCCTTGCCGCCGCCCCGCCCCCTCTCCGCCCGCGGGCGGCCGCCACGCCCCCTCCGCAGCCCCGCACCCGCCGCACCGCCCCCGCCCCGACCCCAGCCCAGCCCGCCGGCCGCGGCTAGGGGCGGTGCTGCAGACGCGGCCCAGAGCGGCTCGCGGCGGCCGCACGCCCCCTCGCGACCCTGCCTGCCCCTACCCCGCCTCCTGCCATGCCTGCTACCTAGCTCTCGAACCGGCTGGAACTTTCCATGCCTTCCTTCTCCTCCCGGGCGGCGGGCGAGTGAGTGCCCGCCAGTGCGCGTGCGCTGCGGTGCGGTCTCGTCCGTGCGCGTGCCCCTCGCCCGCGACTCCCCGGAGCTAGGGACCTTCGCGGCGCAAGGCGGGGTCGCGGCCGGCCCGGGGGCTGTGCGGCCAACGGCTGCTCGCAGGGGTTCTGGAACATTCCCGCCCGGGGTCGGTAGGGGGGTGCAGCTCTCGCCCCCAGCCACAACTCTCAGGTCTGACGCGGCTGACCAGGCCCCCTACCCGGCGAGGAGCGCGCTGGCACAGGCCGTGGGCCGCGGCGCGCGGGCTCGGGTCTGACTCAGTCCCTTGGCACTGCGTGACCTTGGGCCTGCTGCCTGTGCCGAAAGTGGGGACCCGAGTGAGTTACTGCACGTTAACCTCCGAGGACGGTGCCTGGTACACACAGGCGCGATACGGGCATTTGTGGTGTGCCCCTGACCTGCCCCCACGTGTTTCAGCGGAGGGCAGGCGAACACCTTAACTCTATCTCATTTCTTTAAATGTTTCCTCCGCTTTCACTTAAAGGCTAGGCTGAGTGCCTGGGAGACCCTTTAGCAACTGTCTAAGGTGGGCAGGGGCATACGTTCTGCCCTTGCCATCCCTTTACACCCACATGGTTCTCCGCCCTCCAGCCAGGGGCTCTGCAAGTGCAGTTTTCTCCAGCGCCCTTCCTTAGAGGTTGAGTACCCTGCAGCTGAGGCCTCTGCCCCTTGTTTGCCCCATTAAAAGCTCTGTACGTGGAGTGTTTGTCAACTTAAAGTGCTTTAACGTTAATAGGTAAAGTTTAGTGAACACTTACTCTGCATCAGGCCCCATGCCAAGGCTGGTGGATGTGTCTCCTAAAATTCTCACAACAGCCCTGAGGTGACAAAGATTCTTTGCTTGGCCAAACTTTAGTCAGGCTTCTGAATCTCATGCTAGGCCCATCTGTGCACTTCCTTGTAAAATCCAGTTCTAGCACAGAACCCCCATCCCCTCATAGCAGATCAGGTTCCTCATCTTCCTCTATCCCCCAGTCATGTCTTTTCACCCTGGCCTGAGTTCTACAAGAATCCTTTAGATCGGTTGAGCCAGAATCCCTCTTCCCCCGATGGTTACTCTTAGTGATTTTACATGGCCATAAATTTCTACTTGCCGACGCTGCATTCAGAATTGGAGCCCACTCTCTCTCCCCGGGTTTCCCTGATCCCTGTACCCATCGCGTTGGTCCTGAATAAAGTCTTTCTTACCATGCTTTAGTAAGCATCACTGAGTAATTTTTTTAAACAGAGGCAAGCACTGTTAACCCCATATTAGGGATTAGGAAATGTAGGCACAAAAAGTTTTGTAACTAGTCCAAGGTCATACAGTAATAGAAACAAAGTACTTTTAGCCGCCCCTCTACCCTTCTGACCTCCGGTTCTCCTACCACACAGATGAAGATGCTGATTGTTATTCAGTGGATTAACCGTGTAGTCCACGTAAGCCAAGATTAGAGTACCTTTGTCACCTTACCCAGAGGTTACCATTTCACATCCCATGCGTCTATTTGTGACATATGGGAGGTAGGAGATGGAGATGAACCCAAGTTTTTCTGAGATAGCTGGATTTTAACATTTTCTATTTTTAGACTTGTCTACAACCCATACCTGTGTGAAGCCACACAGGTAATCCAAATTGCCTGGCTAAGTGTCAATTAACTTCATGTTTGGTTTAAATAAGTAGCGTACTATAAATAACAGAAGGAAACAAGGAATTTCTGGACCTTCAGAAGTGAGTTACAGGCTGGGTGCAGTGGCCCACGCCCGTAATCCCAATACTTTGGGAGGCTGAGGCGGGTGGATCACCTAAGGTCAGGAGTTTGAGACCAGCCTGGGCAACATCGTGAAATCCTGTCTCTAATAAAAATACAAAAATCAGCTGGGTGCGGTGGCACTTGCCTGTAGTCCCGGCTACTCGGGAGGCTGAGGCAGAAGAATCGCTTGAACCCAGGAGGCGGAGGTTGCAGTGAGCCGAAATCGCGCCACTGCACTCCAGCCTGGACGACAGAGCGAGACTCCATTAAAAAAAAAAAAGTCAGTTACAGATTTTCTAGAATGGTCCCACCCCGACTGTCCCCTGTCTTGTCAATTACATGACCCAGTTTAGTAATGAGAAAATAAAGACCCCGTAGTAATATGCCAAGTCAAACACTGAGGCGGCGCAATGAGCTGACTTCAACTCAGAGCATTTCCTCTTGGAAGCTCTTTAGTTTTCCCTTAATGCCCAGGGATGAGTGAAGACCTGGCATCTTCTCTACTCCTTCTAACTTGACAAGTGGTATAAGGAAATTAACCTGACTGCGTAATACCTCACCACAGAGTCAGCATCCCCAAGCCCTCCCAGTCTGGTAGCCACCCACAGACTCATTCCATTTCTTAAAAGCAGAGAGAGGGCAGCTACTGTGATTTTCCCCCTTCAACCTTTTTTTAACAAGCACAGAAGCGGCCGGGTACGGTGGCTCACGCCTATGATCCCAGCACTTTGGGAGGCCAAGGCGGGCGGATCACCTGAGGTCGGGAGTTTGAGACCAGCCTGACCAACATGGAGAAACCCCGTCTTTACTAAAAATACAAAATTAGCCGGGCATGATGGCACGTGCCTGTAATCCCAGCTACTTGGGAGGCTGAGACAGGAGAATCGCTTGAACCTGGGAGGCAGAGGTTGCAGTGAGCCAAGATCGTGCCATTGCACTGCAGCCTGGGTAACAAGAGCAAAACTACATCTCAAAAAACTAAATAAAAAATAAAAAAGCACAGAAGCAGAATGCTTGTGGCTTCATTTAAAAAAAAAAAGATTTTTTTTAAATCACGAGGAATGCTGTTGCAAATTTAGTGTCTTCCTACTATAACTACAAACTTAAATTCACCAAAACAATTTTTAACTTTATACTATGTATAGTCAGCATAATAGAAATATATTACTGCAGCATTTGATATATTAATTTAAAAATGACTCTCTTAGATTCTCCAAAACATTTATTATGGTATGTGTTTAAGATTTGATTAACCAGAAGTTTGATTAATTTTCAAGTAAGTTTTTTTGAGGGGGAATAGGAAAGAAGAATAAGAACAGAAGTTGAAATCCAGCCCTATTTGTAAAAAAGGAACCTCAAGATATGCCCTGGGTCAGTTTAATCACCTTTACCTTCTTCTTTTATGTTGCTGTATAATGAGACTTGACCTTGAGCTTTCAATCGTTAATCCTCAAAGATGGCCATTATTTTTATTACTGAGTCTAACATTTTGAGCATTAACTATGAACCAGAACCTATTTTAAATTATTTGCATGTATTAACTCTCAGTTCTTACCACAAAGATATGTATTATAACTGCCCCCATTTTACATATAGGGAAAAGGAGACTTCATAAACATCTCAGCAACTTGCCCCAAATTATGCAGAACTCAGAGCCTGCACGCTTAACCCCAATACCATACAGCATTATGTTTACCAGCCAGCGCAAACTGAGCAACTATCTGTCGATCAACCAACTTTTATTGTAGTCCTACTCTGTCCTCTTCCCTGGGTGATGGCAGTCTCCCACTCCTTGCACCCATATAATGCCCTCCCTTAAGTGGCCAAATTCTCCCCTTGCACAGACTTCTTCCTGCTGCCATGAAGCATATATAGGTCTCTTCTAGCTAGGGGGAAGAAAAACCTCGTCATAACCCTGTTACCCTCTCAAGTTGTCATTCTTTTCTTCTTCTCACAGCCACATATCCCCAGACCCACTGCATCTTCCAGCCTTTGCACTCTGTGTTCCCTCACACTGTCACCACTGGCCTTCCATTTGTCCACCAAGTAGTTTCCCTGGCATCATCGTCAGGGACCTCTCTGCAGTCCTGAGGGTCTCTTCTTGGCCATCCATGATCCTGTACTCTTGGGGTTTTCCTTTGTCTCCTTGGTCCCTGTGTCTGGCTCCTTTTTCCCCTTCTGTCCCTGAATGCGCTGTTCTGCAAAGCAAGGAGGTGTCTCAGCAGCAAGGATTTAAGGCAAGACTTGCCCATAACATGAGTTCCCATGATCCAAGTGCATTGGAGTTTGGCTCTAAACAGCCTTAAACTGATCTTTCCTGCCAGAATCCCGGTTTACCCTAACAGTACAGGTGGGCAGTGGAAAGTGAATAAATGAGTGATCTCCTTGTCTGTAGATAAGGAATCTGATACAAAAACAAGGTACATTATTTATCCAAAGCCATAGAGCCCTGGGGTGGCACAATTCAAAGAAAAAACTTTTGCTTGCCATATTCTTCTTAGGCATGCACTGCGTGCCATGATGCCATGATGGCAGTTTTACTGTTGCTAATGGATTAATCCATTGTGAGTGTGATACTCCTGTATTCTAAAAGGTGAGTTCTTTTCTTTTTTTTTTTTTTTTTTTTTTTTGAGACAGAGTCTCCCTAGTAGCTGGGATTACAGGCACCCGCCACCATGCCCGGCTAATTTTTCTACTTTTAATGGAGACGGGGTTTCACCGTATTGGCCAGGCTGGTCTTGAACTCCTGACCTCAAGTGATCCGCCTGCCTCGGCCTCCCAAAGTGTTGCGATTGCAGGCATGAGCCACTGCACCTGGCCCTAAAAGGTGAGTTCTAACAGTCATTGGGAAGAGGTAAGATAAGCACAAATCATCATTCTGCTTAGGTAACCTTGTGTCTCTAAATACTGCCCCCAGAAAGTGGCGAAATGTGACTGTTTCCAGTTAATGGAGACAGTGATCCCAAGGTAGCACCAAATCATCTGTTAAGCTGTCAGTCATCACTCTCATCAGCCTGTCATCTTCTCCTAGATAAAAGTGAGCCTCCATTCATGGTAAAGTATACTCCAACTCCCCAATTTTGCATCACTAAGTCCTGGGATTGTTCCCTAACTGACTCCTAGGACCTGGGCCTGTAAAACCCCATTTATTTGCCTTGCTGCCCTGTATGTATCTGTGTTCCTCAGCCAATGGCCCAAATGCAAGTCACATTTCAAATGTATTTCGTTTGTAACTTTTATCAGTGAAACCGCTGGTATTTCCTGATCCCCCTACACTCACCCTCACCCACCTTTCAGACCTTCTTGGCCATGCCCATTTGCTTTGATTCTTCTTTTTCTTCTCCATAAGCCCCCAGGTGCTACATAGGCTAATTTGTACCTCTCTAACTCTGTCAGCTTGTAAGTGCTATTGGTTGTGTTCCTTGCACAATGGAATACTGTATGGAACTTCTTAGGGCGGACATTTGGAGAGCTCTTTAAACATTTTCTTTCTTTTAATCCACCAATTTCATGATTATTTTTCTAACTTTCATCAACGGTGGGGGTGTGGTTCAACTTGGGCTCTACTTATAAGAAAAAAGGTAAAGGAAAGATTGCCTAAATCTCATGTTCTCTTATTCCCAGCCCCATCTCACCCTATCCTGCCAAAAAAAAATTATGGGATGTTTTTGAGAGATATTCTTCTACTACAATATCTTTTTTAAGAAAGAGAGAATTTTTTTAAAAACTCTTATGACTTTAAAAAGACAAAATACTGCTTGCATCACTGCTTGCTGAAAGAGTTTTTCCTAATAACAAGATTGTAAAGTGTCCCCCAACAGGCCCACAAGTGTTCTTAATGTTAAATGTCAATGAAATTGGAGGTATTAAACAGCCTCATGTTCTTTCTCCACGACTGCAAAATCAGAAGAACACATGTGGAAGCATTTTAGATTTAGTAAAGGGAACAAAGGCCAGGCACCAGAGACTGCTGCGGTGGGCAGGGGTCTCCAGGGGCTGGGCCTCCCTGGCCAGGCGCTAAACAAAGGTCCTCGGGAGGACCCCGCAAAATCAACTGGGGGGCAGTCCTCAGGGCCAGGCGGGGAGAGCTGGGTGAGCCAGGCCCACTCAGCATGGAGTTTTAAGGCTGGAGATGAAAGGACAGAAGGAGATGAGGCCCAGAAGGCTTCAAAGGGGGCAAGCGTGCCTGCTCTGGAATGCAGAGGAGGGCGTTGTGGTGGCTGCAGAGAGGAGCGGTGGAGACCAGAACCACAGGGCTTGGCGACTGCTGAGATGTGTGAGGGGCAGCTCATGGGGCCAGTGTCAACTACGGTCTTGGGTTTCTTCTCCAGAAACATTCTTGACCAACTAGCCTTTGTTCTGGCCACATGCACCTTTGGTATTTCCACAGCTCCTAATGTAAGGCTTCTATTACACTTCAATTCATTAGCATTTCTTCTTGGATGTTTTATTTTCATCAGTCTTCATAGCAACATGATCATCTTCTGAGGAGCTGAGGTAGTAACTCTTATTTCTCTAATAGTCTCTTAATTCGGGGCTTTAACCAAGAGGAGGGGGTCAGTCCCAAAACCTTCACTGGGTCCCCACCTAAGTGTCATGACACTGCCAGGCAACACTTCCTGGTAAGACAGTCAACATGCAGGTGTCATCTCAAAGTCCAGCCATCTGTGAGGCTCATGCCACCCCCTGTTGCTGGGACTGACTGGACATGGTTCTGTTGATCTACATGGGAGAATGCCCTCGTGATCATCAGCCATGGTTGAAAAGAGACCCAGTAAAAGAAAACAGAAAACAACCCATTTTTTAAACATTTTAAATGAACAGACACTTCATCAAAGATGGGCCAATAAGCACATGAAAAGATCTTCAACATCAGTTATTAAGAAAATACAAATTAAAACTGGAATGAAATACCACTGCATACCTATTAGAATGGCTAAAATTAGAAAGACTCAAAACACCAAGTGCTGGTGGGAAGATGGAGCAACTGAAACATGCACTGCTTATGGGAATGTACATTGTGTGATCATTTCGGTAATTTCTTGCAATGTTATACACAGACCTACCATGTGACCAGCCATTGTACTCCTAGATATTTATCTAAGATGAATGAAAGCATGTGCCCGCACAAACACTTGTACACAAATGTGCACAGCAGCTTTGTTTGTAATAGTCAATAACTGAAACAACTCAAATAACCATCAACAGGTGAATGGAAAAACAAATTGTGATATACCTATACAATGAAATTCTGCTCAGCAATAGAAGGAATGAACTGTTGATATATTCAACAATATGGATGAATCTCAAAATAATTATGCTTAGTGAAAGAAGCCAGACAGAAAAGAGTACATACTAAATGGTTCTATTTATATACAATTCTAGAAAATACAAACTTATAGTGACATAAAATGAATCAATGGCTGCTTGGGGTCAGAATGAAGTAGAGAGATTATGAAGTGGCATAAGGAAACTGAGGGCGTGATGGATATATTTATTATCTCGATTAGGGCAATGGTTTCATGGATTATATATACACATATCAAGTTGTATACATTAAATATGTATGGTTTATTATACATCAATTATACCTCAAAACTGTAAAAATATAAGTCATTCACATCATTATGCTCAGAGGAAAGTCATTTTGGTTTGTCTGATGTACATCTATCTTCATCTTCCTCTGTTTCCCCTTCCCCAAATTCCTGGATAAAAGGATCAAGATCACACCCACTTCTGGTATTCAAGTCAATTAAGACAAAACAAACAAAAAGTCCCATTAAGTTCTACAGGAGATGCAAAGAAGTATAAGAAATAGTTTACAGGAGATGCAAAGATGCGTAAGAAATCTAGGTAGCAAGAGAAGATATAAATGTGTTTACAGTTAAATTGTCCTAACAAGATTGAAATATCTATTCTAAAAAATAGAAAACATATAAAAAAGAGTGTGATTAACTGTCTAATCAAGATTAAGGGCAAAAATTTCCAGAGAGGGATTACTTTGAACTGGGATGGTTCAGGAATGTTTCATGTATGATGTGGGACTTAAGCTGGAATGTGAAGAATGGATAACATTTTACAAATAAGAGGAAAGAGAATGAGCACAAGATGTTTTGGTGGGGTCAGAGGGTGGTGACATGGGGTGAATAAGTTTGACAGGAGGAAAGTTTTCAGTAAGAGAATCACGGGACTCAACTCTACAAAAGTGAGACCAAAGTGGGAGGGACTTAAGCGCCAGGCAGTGTCTAAACTCCCAGCCTTGATTTCATCTTCACATGAGGAAGAACTTGGGAGATAGTCAGCCTTTCATCACCAGAATCATTCAGCAGAGTGTGTGCGCATGTGAGGGAAGTAGGAAAGGAGCTAACTGTTGAATAGACAAGTCCTTCCCAATTCTGAGCCACTGGTCACAGATTCATGGGCTTCAAAAGCATCTTTGCAGGTAGCACAGGACATTTGTCTCATAGCATCTTGGTTCCTCTTGGAGGTGGTGCCTGACTCTCATACCAGAGTCAACAGAGCCAAATTTTCCCCTTTCCTACCCTACATTTAGTCAAGGAAGGGAAGACATTCAACTGCGGCCAATCAGACTCTTCCCCCATGCTTTTGAATCCTGAGTGGACAACATGAGGAACAGTTAGAGTCACTCATGATGTTGGCCAGACCGTTGCTGCTCCATGCCTGTGGCTTCCAATCTTCCTGGTTACCAGCCCTCCAGAGTGCTTTTGGCTCCTGGCCAGTCCCCTGGTCTCTAGTCCATTCTGTGATTCCCCCAAATATCATTTCAATAAATTTCTTTTTTGCTTTACACAGAGTCTGTTTCTGTAGCTCATAGCCAAGAACCCTGACTGACAGAACTCTTTGGGTCATAGCACTTCAGTTTCCTGCATAACCTATTGGTCTTAGTTCAGACCCCTGGGGCCGTATGGCACAAGTCTACTCCCTCTGTCACATGAGCTCCTGTGTCTGAAGACAGTTTTATAGTCTATCCTGAGCCCTCCCTTCTCTGGGCTAAATGTTCCCTTGTTCCTCCACCTTGTGAGATGGGTACTCCTCATCTCACATGGGCTAAGTTGTTTCTGCAGCCTGGGTGCTTTTTCCAAGAGTGCACAACTGCCCACATTTAGACCATTTGTGACTCAATAAAAGTCATTCCTTTTTTGTTTTCCCATGCAAAGACTATATTATAGCCAGGGTACTGGTTCAGCTACTGAAACAAAAGTCAAAGTAACAGTGACTTAAACAAGACTTTGTCTCTCGTGGAAAGATCTGAATGTAACCAGGGCATGGGACTCAGGCTTTTTCCAGCTTGCTGTCTATTTACAAGACATGGCTTAAATCTCATGGTTCTTTATGGCTGTTCCGCTCCCAGCACCATGTTCACATTCCAGGAACAGTATGGCAAAATAGAAAAAAGACTTGAGTAATTCCCTTTAAAGAAGTGGCCCAGAAGTTGAACCCATCACTTACACTCATATTCCATGGATCAGAACTTTGTCCTTCCTGTGGACCTGCCTTGCCTTCAAGAAAGGCTGGGAAATGTAGCTTTACGTTGCAGAGTACGGTAAACTAGCAGTCTATGCCATAGACCATATAATGCAATTTGGATATCACCCTATAAGTTATTCTAAGTATAATAAGATGTTATACAAGTCAAAAATGGTTAGTTGCCTATAACTTTCTAACACTCAGTCATTGTTGGGTATTTTGCAGTGATTATCAGGCTAGAGTTACTGAAAGAGTTGAGTTTTAGGTAAGCTTGATTTTTTGGGCTTACCAGGGCACATGCCTTGGATCAGTCCCTGTACTCTGAAACCCAAAGGTCAGATCTGCACTGGAATTTTCCACTAATTGAGACAACTAAGTAGCTCTCTCGAAAACAAAACTCACAAGATTGCTTTACACAATGAGTTTAATATATTTTCAGGCGTATTAGGTAGAATTCTGTGGGTTACAAATAGTAGAAACTGACTCTAGATAAATTATTATAAGTGTACCGGATGTCTCCCAGGACTCGAGGCAATATGCAGCTGACAGTCTCAGGAACTGACTAGAACCAAGATGCTCTCCACATTTTTTTTCTGTTTCTCTGCCAGTCAGCTTTCTTCTCTCTCTGAAAGGGCCCTTTTTCTCTGCTCTCCCATCTGCACAATAGATGATAGCCATTCTCAGCTCCTTGGTCTACATATAATCCCTCTAAACACCAAGGGATACTCCAAGGCTCTCCTTCAATTGGCACTTGATTAGCCTAAACTGGTTCATTGGTCCACCCTTGGGCCAATCAGCCAGGTCTAAAGAGTAGATCAAATCATATCACTGTGGCTGCTAATAACTACCTCTGAACCCTACAAATTTGGGAGGTTATAGCTAAGGAGAAACAGTTTGCAGCAAAGGGGAGGCTAGACAGGCAACCAATGGGTACCATGGGTGTCTCCTCCATTCATGCATGTGTTGAGAGTTGTCATAATTTTAGAAATGTAGCTGTGAGCTCTGTGACACAGAGACACATAGAAACATAAGGGGGTTGGAGGAGAAACTGTCTTCCTCAGGGTTTTTTGGTCATAAGTAATAGAAACCTGTCCAAAGGTTCTGCTATGGTTTGAATGTGTCCTTTGAAAAATTCATGTGTTGCCAATGTGATAAAAGGTGGGGCCTTTAAGAGATGATTAGGCCATGAGGGCTCCTCCATCTAGAATGGAATTAGGTGCCCTTTTAAAAGGGCTTGATGGAGTGAATACACCTTGCTTGCCCTTCTGCCTTCCACCATGTGAAGACACAGCATTCCTCCTTCCAGAGGATGCAGCACTCAAAAGCACCATCTTGAATGCAGAGAGCAAACCCTCACCAGACAACTGAACCTTCCAGCATCTTGATCTTGGACTTCCCAGACTCCAGAACTATGAGACAATAAATTTCTGTTCTTTATTAAACTTCCTAAGACATTTTTAGTGCATTTGAAATTAAAATATATCTGATTCTCTAAAACACTTCAACCTGATATGGCAAACTCATAAACCTGACAAGATCTTTCTAAGCCTTTAAGCGATTATTGAAATTTAATAAATCTAGGGAATGAGCTTCTCTTAAGCTTCATGGTGGATAAGTATCGACTGTTTTCTAGTGTTAATTCTCCCCTCTTTTCCTTTTAGCTAAAACCCTTAAGCTTTAACTAGTTGCATGACCACACAACCACAGACTACATTTCCCAAGCTCCTTTGCAGCTGGCTGTCACCATGTGACTATGTTTGGGCCAATGGAATATGAGCAGATATGATGTGTGCTACAATGAGCGCATCTCCTTAAAGACACTTGCCATAGACTTTCTTCTTTCCCACTTCCCGTTGATGTGGTAGTGAGCCACCATCAACCATGCTTATGAAGATAACACCCTAGGCCAAGGGAGAACCAAAGGAGAGAAGGAACCAATTCCTTAGAAGACCTCAAATCACAAGGCTGCTTGGCCTCCAGCTCTGGACCATTTCACTACTGACTGTTAACAAAAAATGAAATAAACTTCTATCATCTTTGAGCCATTACATTTTGTGGTTAGATTGTACCCCAATAATACAACTTCCAAAGACTGTCTACAAATTCAATTAATTATATCCTCTTAAATGTTTCAAATTAAAATTGCAAGTGTAATATGCCAGGCTGTCTACTATGTTAGATTTTCTTCCATGTTCCAATCTCTTTAAATAACCAAAAGATTATAGTGATGATTTAAAAATTATTCCTAACCTTACCACAAAAAGAGTGTGTCTTCCTCCATTTTTTGCTGCTATAACAGAATGCCACAGACTAGGTAATTTATAATGAATAGAAATTTATTTCTCACAGTTCTGGAAACTGGGAAGTCCAAGATCAAGAAGATAGCACCTGGCAAGGGCCTTCTTGCTGTGTTATCCCATGGCAAAAAGTGGAAGGGCAAGACAGAGGCCAAGGGGGGGCCAAACTCATCCTTTTGTAAGGAACCCACTCCCACAATAATAGCATTAATCCATTCATGAGGGCAGAATCAAAACCAGAGTATTGTCATATTTTATTGATTCTCATATTGAATCACCCTCTCATTAGGCCCCACCTCACAACACTGTTGTATTGGGAATTAAGTTTTCATCACACTTTTTTTGGGAGAGACAGTTAAACTAACTAAAGCAGAGTGCTATATTTTGTTGAATCTAAGATATAAGATTCAACTTTTTTTTTAGGATATCACTAAGGTAGAAAAAACACAAACATTTATAATTTTTTGGAAATTTTCAACTTTTATTTTAGATCACCATTTATAATCATATGGTGCCATTGATTTCTTTCTTTTCTTTTTTTTTTTTTTTCCAGACAGAGTTTCACTCTTTTGCCAGGCCAGAGTGAAGTGGCACAGCCTCGGTTCACTGCAACCTCCATGCCGCACCCCCCAGATTCAAGCTATTCTTCTGCCTCAGCCTCCTGAGTAGCTGGCATTATAGGGTGCCCACCCCATGCCCAGCTAATTTTTGTATTTTTAGTAGAGACAGGGTTTTGCCATGTTGACCGGGCTGGTCTCAAACTCCTGACCTTGGGCGATCCACCTGCTTCAGCCTCCCAAACTGCTGAGATTACAGGTGTGAGCCACTGTGCGTGGCCTGATGCCATCGATTGTAAAATGCATTCTAATTCCCAAGATGGTAAAATGTAAAACACTGTGCACCTTAGAATCAGTAAAATATGATAGTATTCTGGTTTTGATTCTGCTCCTCATTGATTCTACACTAGTCTCTACATTTTCCCAGGGTTGCAAAGTCCCTTACCCAACTGAGGGGAAGAGAGTTGCTGTCTCCAGTGAACTGAGTCTACTGGTGGCAGATTCAGGACCTTGACTCAGTTACAAATTCAAGTTCTTGGTAGAGAAGTAAACACCAAATCTGGACACAGGTGCTTTGTACTTCCAGAATGATTTTGCCTGAGCAGCCATGAATACTGGAGTTGGAATAGTAGAGTTGGAACTTGTCAGCTGTGTCAAGAGAGTCCCTCTGTGCCCACATCTTTGCCCTGGGATTTAGTTTCATAACAGTGTATCATGTGTTTTCTGGGTGGCTTTCAAATTTCACCTTATGTCAATCTTAATTGAAACCTCTGTCAACTTTTCATCACCTGATTTGAGTGGGCAGATCCTACAAATACATGCACACTTTCACCCATACATACACACACCAGGCTAATCTCTTTGCTGAAAGATTAGGATTCGTTGAATGAGTGCTATTTGCAACACTCTTTATATTTTCGCCAATCTCATTGGCCATCATTTTGTAATTATTACATTAAAAAAGTAAAAACAAGGATGTATCAAAGGACTCAAGAGTGCATCCTAGAATCCAGTAACAGAACGTACATCCAGGGCTCCTGGGGAACTAGACAAGACATCCTTGGTTTCTCTGGGACTACATGTATCTTGTCTCTGCTCTGCTCATGAAGTGTCTGACATCACCCCACCCTCCCCATGCCATCTTGTCTGTTTGGAGACAAGCACTCTCTGCCTCTACATGCCCACCATGGAAGATGGCTAGCCCATAGCCCAGGTATCCTGAGGACACACATGCCAAGTTCAAGTGACAGCAGATACCACCATCTCTGATCAGGAGGAGGAATCTCACTTGACATCCATCTTCAGATCCATCTGAATCCACGAGAGTACAGTGATGGCATACAAATTCTTGCTTCCAAGAGAAGAACTATCCAAGAGAATTGTAGGCAGAGCAGGTCTCACCAAAGGTGGCTAGTTGGCAGCAGTACAGCTTGGTGGTCAAGAGCATGGAGCCAAAGCCAGACCGCCTGTGTCCAATGACTGTGTACCCTTGAACAAGTAACTGAACTCTGTGGTTCAGTTTCCTCATCTGTAACATAATCAGACCTAAGGCATAGGGTCGTGTCCAATATACCACACACAATACACGGAAAGTACAGTGCAGCCTGCAGTGTGGGAAGTGCTTAATAGCGGTTTGCCATTATTGCTACAAAGGCCCAATGCTTTAAAAGAAAAATTGATTCAGATCACCAAGCTCTGCTTGACTCTTATTCCCCAGATGTCCCCTCTTTCCACAGCTGGGGAAACCTGACTCCACTTGAAGGCTCAGTGGCACTCCAGGAGCTGAGAAGAAGCAGATCCTAATGAGCAGAAGGGATGTAAGGAGCTCTAATTTGGCTCTAACACAGTGCCCGGCTCCATCAGTGTTAGCCTGCAGCACATAATGGGTTTGCAGTGCCGTGAGGCTTCAGTAGAATGTAAGCTCCAGAGAACAGGGCCTTGGTCTAATCATGGTAAGGTCCTGGCCCCTGATACAATGCCTGACACAGAGGGTGATGAATAGATATTTGCTGGCAGAATAAGGTAGGAATTTCCTCTAGATCAAGCTTGTCCAACCCATGGCCCATGGGTCGAATGCAGCCCAGGATGGCTTTGAGTGTGGCCCAGGATGTCTCAGTATGGCTTTGAATGCAGTCCAACACAAATTCGTAAACTTTCTTAAAATCTATGAGTTTATTTTGCAATTTTTTAAAAAACTCATCAGCTATTGTTAGTGTTAGCATGCTTTATGTGTGGCCCAAGACAATTCTTCTTTCAGTATGGCCCAGGGAAGCCAAAAGATTGGACACCCCTGCTCTAGATGGTGGGCTGTCCCCACTTAACTGGGGATATCAACCTCTGTGCCCCCTCTGAGGGTGGTACCTGAAGCCTTTGGCTAGGTTGAGTTCCCAGGGAGGGAGATGAGGAAAAAGGGGGTCTAGCTGGAGGCTTGAGGAGCCTCAGCCTTGGAGCCATGGGTTCCATTTGGGACATAGGTCTCTGCCATTGCTGCTCCCCCCACATCCTCTCTCCCTGGAGGTGCCTTCAGCATGATCCCCCTCAGAAGGCCTGAAACACAAACAGCTGGGGAGGAATAGAAGACAGCGGGAATCTTCTAATCTAGAGTAGGGCAGGAAAGGGTGTCCTTCTCCTTTTCTGGGTCCGCAGCTGTGCAAAACAGTAACATTGCAACACCACTGGCATTTTTCTCCCTCCTCAGGTGGGAAATATTTACCCTGCCTAGAGCAGCTACAACACACACTGGTGACCCATCCCTGTGCCCAGGTCCCTATCTTACCACGCCATCCAGTCCCAGTCTCCTTTCCTGTCCTCTTGTTAGCAGACCTCCCGAGTACCAGGAAGCTTACCCCACCTCAGCCAGCGTGCCCCTCTGTGCCAGCTTCTGAGTTTTTCCTGAGGGGATACCCGTGATGCCATCGCTCCGGTCTTGATGGTGTTATTTCCTTGTGGCCTGGAAGTCTCTTGGCCTGCGCTGCTCAGCCAGAGCGTCCCACAAGAGGATGCATACCTCACTCCCATGAGCCCCACCCCGGGATTT
Organism: Homo sapiens; assembly: GCF_000001405.40. Lineage (NCBI taxonomy): Eukaryota > Metazoa > Chordata > Mammalia > Primates > Hominidae > Homo > Homo sapiens. The sequence goes on along the minus strand of NC_000021.9, from coordinate 34,058,050 downwards.
TCATAGCTACTGTCAGGGACAAGTCGTGGGAAATGGGCCTCAAATGCTTTCCAGAAGCTTCCTTGCTCACTGCATGTAAAGCTTTAAAGCCCTCATTTAATTGTCTTCTTCCCACATTTTAAAAGTCAACACCCCTGAGGTGGGGCGCGGTGGCTCACACCTGTAATCCCAGCACTTTGGGAGGCTGAGGCAGACAGATCACTTGAGGCCAGGAGTTAGAGACCAGCCTGGCCAACATGGCAAAACCCCATCTCTACTAAAAATACAAAAATTAGCCAGGTGTGGTGGCACATGTCTGTCATCCCAGCTATTCAGGAGGCTGAGGCATGAGAATTGCTTGAACCCGGGAGGCAGAGGTTGCAGAGATCTTGCCACTGCACTCCAGCCTGGGTGACAAAGTGAGACTCTGTCTCAAAAAAAAACAAAATAAAACAAAAACACACACACACAAAAACAAAACCAGAGAGCCTTGGCTGCCCTACCCCAGGGAGGGGGTCTGGTTCCGCCCAGGAGGCTGTGCCCACAAGCTTCTGGCTAGCCTCTGTAAAACCTCCCCAGATCAATAGATAAGCCAAGAGGAGGAATCGAGTCATAGGGAGCAGGAAGGCCAGGCTGGGGACAGGACAGGGACAGCCCATGCTTGAGGGACAATTGAGAAGAGGAGGTACCTGTCAAATTAGGCTTCAGGGTTTTAAAAGATTGTTATTTGTATTTTGCTATTGTAAGATTACTGTAACCTTACTACGGAAAATTCAGGAAACAAAAAAATGCCCATAATCCCACAATCCAAGCTGAGCCACTGTTGACACTTTAGAGGTTTCTTTCTAAACTTTTATGGATATGTGTTATTTAATCAGACGGTACATATAATTTTATATTCCATTTTTTCATTGATATCTAATCATGAGCTTGTCAATGTTTTTAACTAACATTCATAACTGTTATTTAGACTTGCTGTGTTATATCCTACTCCAGGAAATGCCGGTGTCCATTTAATCTTTCCCCTGCTCTTGGATGTTTCAGGTGACACTTTTTCACTCTTCATTTGTATAGCAAATCCCTAGATGAACATCTTTGTTCTCTGGCTTTTTCTGCATTTAGGAATGCTTCCTTTGCTTGGCCTTCCAAAGCGGAATTTCTTGAAACTGATGGCTTCTTGGGTCCATTGCCAAATGTTTTTTTTCCAAATAGGGCATCAGCAGTGCTGAGCAGGCCTCGGGTTAGAATCAGAGCTAGGGGGCCAGGCTCGGTGGCTCACGCCTGTAATCCCAGCACTTTGGGAGGCCCAGGCAGGAGGATCACCTGAGATCAGGGGTTTGAGACCAGCCTGGCCAATATGGTGAAGCCCTATCTCTACTAAAAATACAAAAAAATTAGCCAGACATGGTGGTGCAGACCTGTAGTCCCAGCTACTCAGGAGGCTGAGTCAGGAGAATTGCTTAAACCTGGGAGGCGGAGGTTGCAGTGAGCTGAAATCACACACTGCAGTCCAGCTTGGGGGACAGAGCGAGACTCCATCTCAAAAAAAAAAAAAAAATCAGAGCTACGGGAAACTGAGGCCAGCAAGGATCCTGTGTTCTCAGTACCCGAAACACTGCAATAAAATTTCTCCAGGGCTAGGCCAGGAGGTCAGAAGATCTAAGAAGTGGAACTAGGGATGATTGGAAATGCCCGAATCATGTGGAATCAGTGCCAAAAGAAAGTAAGTAATGAGTCTAGACATGTAATTGCCGAAGTGCATATGGTGCCTCCAGCTGTACCACCCTGAACAGCTGATTGCTCAAGTGCTATACAGTAAAGACCAAGAGGTGGAAAATTACAGGCAAAGTACAGGTGAAGGCCAGGACCCCAGGCACATATTTTTAAAAGAAGCTCTGGCCGGGCACAGGGCTCACTCCTGTAATCCCAGCACTTTGGGAGGCCGAGGTGGGTGGATTGCCTGAGGTCAGGAGTTCAGGACCAGTCTGGCCAACATAGTGAAACCCTGTCTCTATTAAAAATACAGAAAACTAGCCAGACATGGTGACATGTGCCTGTAATCCCAGCTACTCGGGAGGCTGAGGCAGGGGAATTGCCTGAACCAGGGAGGTGGAGGTTGCAGTGCACCGAGATCACACCACTGCTCTCCAGCCTGGGCAACAGAGCGAGACTCTGTCTCAGAAAAAAAAAAAAAAAAAAAAAAAAGAAGAAGAAGCTCTAATCTCCTGGGTGGTGGCATGGAAAGTTACTCAAAGGCAGAAACCGCCTCATCCCAATGGTTCCTGAAAGCCACCTCACCCTGCACTTCGCCCAGGGAACCATATAAAAAGGGAGTTCCAGCATCCACTTCCTTCTTGGTTCCAAGCTGCCTGCCTCAGCCCATTCCTCCCACCTCATTCTATCTTGGATTTTATTTTTTCAGCTTCCAACCTGGGCATTCTTTCACTATTGCAGGTGAAAATGACAAGGTCCTCTTGCAGCTGCCATTGATTCCCCCAAACCATAACTTGTTCCACCCCCCCAAACCATAACTGGTTCCACTGCCACCAGCTAGCCAGCTTTGGGTCACCTCTGCCGATTCCTTCCATCTGCCCCCAAGACCACTGCTGTGCCCACCCCACAGGGCTCCCTCTCTGAGTGCTCTCCTCCTACTGTCTGGTTTCCAGCACTGCCCAGACCCTGCTGATGTCCAGACCTTCTTCCAGCCCAGACCTGTCTCCTGGCCCCAGGCCCAGGTTTTGGCTGATCATTAGACATTTCTACCTGGGTGTTCCAGGTGTCAGCTGAACCCAGTATCTTGCCTTTAGGCTGCGCCACCTCCAGTCTCATGTCCTGTGAATGGCCCCACCACATACCCAGGCCTTGTACCAGAAATCAGAAAACCTCCTAGAGGTGACCTTATTTCTTACTTCCATCCAGTAGGTCACCAAGGAGCTCTCAAATCCATTCCTTCCTTGCCACCCACCTCACTCCACAGCCCTCAAATGCACTCCCACACGCACTTGTTTACCTGCCTCACTGACCCGGGTCTTCCCTCTTCTACTCTCGGGCTCCCAGAGTGGTCCTTCTCAAACAGCATGTTGATCAGATCACATTTCTGTTTACGTAAAACTCTAACTGCCTCCTGGAACGAGGGGTACTGGGGGTAACATTCCAAATCCATTCATTCATTCACTCATTCAGGAAATATTTACTGAGGGCCTTCCATCTGACAGGCACCACACTAGCACTGGGAACCCACTGGAAAATAAAGCAGACATGGGTAAGTGATGTCCACTGATATCAGGGTCATCTACGAAGGGCTGCACCATGCACACCGAGATTGATCCCTCACCACATCCCAGCTGTATTCTCCACCGTTAAACTCACGACCCTGCAGCTCCCGAAGCATGGTGCTTCCCTACCCAGAACAAGTTGCTTCTCCAGCCCTATTTACGCTTCCCTATTCTTTCTTTGGATAATCACTATTTGTTCTTCCCAACTCAACTGTATTCTCAGCTCCTCTCGAAAGCTTTGCCAACACCCTTCCTCATCCCCCTTCAGATCTACCTGCCCTTCCCCTATGTCACCAGCACCTGTGTTTACCTCCATAATTGTATTGACCACACAGTGTAGTGACACTGTTTACTTGCTTATATTCCCTTTCCCACCCACTTCCTACACACACATACACACACACACACACATTTATGAGCCCCTTAAGATAAGGACCTGGGTGTTTTTATCACCGGTGCCTAAAAACGACTGGTATATGGTCTGTATTTGGTAAACAAACCATGTGAAGATAACACAGATCATTCTTACTTTTGAGTTAATAAAATATTTGTTGACTACATTTATTTATATAGTTCATTATAAATGCAGGTTAATGTCTTGGTCACCTTGGATACATTTAATAAACTTTTCAGAGTAGCATGAAGTTCACTGGGCCAGATTTTTATTGAATGCCAACTATGTGCCAGGCATCATTTTGGCACAGGGAATATGGCAGTGAAAAAATTAAAGTCCCTCTACTCTTAAGGCTTCTATTCTAGTGGGAAAAGGCTGACTGTAAACACATAAATAAGTGGAAATCTCAGAGAGTGATAAATGCTATGAAGAAAACATCATAACGGGAGGAGGAGGCATTCTTGGAGGTGGGAGAGCAGCCTCCACATTAGCTGGAGTGATTTGGGAAGCCCCTCTTTCTTTTTTTTTTTTTTTTTTTTGATATGGAGTCTCACTCTGTCACCCAGGCTGGAGTGCAGTGGCACGATCCCGGCTCACCACAACCTCTGCCTCCCGGGTTCAAGCAATTCTCCTGCCTCAGCCTCCCAAGTAGCTGGGATTACAGGTGCCTGCCACCACGCCCAGCTAATTTTTGCATTTTTTATTAGAAATGGGATTTCACCATCTGGGCCAGGCCAGTCTCGAATTCCTCACCCCAAGTGATCCCCTCACTTCGGCCTCCCAAAGTGCTCCTGACCTCAGGTGATCCGCCCACTTTGGCTTCCCAAAGTGCTGGGATTACAGGCTGGGATTACAGTGAGCCACTGCACCCGGCCTGGGCAGGCCCCCCTTAAGCCCAACTTCCTCATCAGTGAGTTGGGAATGATGACGGTACTGAGGTGCTTGGAGACTTAGGAGGATTACATGAGAAAATATGAATACAGCACCAACACTTAATAAAAATTGTCCTTATTGCAGGGTTTTTGTTCGGTTTTGTTTTGTTTTTGAGACAGAGTCTCGCCCTGTTGCCAGGCTGGAGTGCAGTGACATGATCTCGGCTCACTGCAACCTCCACCTTCCAGGTTCAAGTGATTCTCTTGCCTCAGCCTCCCAAGTAGCTGGGATTACAGGCGCGTGCCACCACGCCCAGCTAATTTTTTTGTATTTTTAGTAGAGAGGGGGTTTCACTGTGTTAGCAAGGATGGTCTCGATCTCCTGACCTCGTGATCCGCCCGCCTTGGCCTCCCAAAGTGCTGGGATTACAGGCGTGAGCCACCATGCCAGGCCTATTGCAGAGTTTTAAGCAAGGAAGAAAGATTATCTAATTTACACTCTTTTTTTTTTTTTTTTGAGACAGAGTCTTGCTCTGTTGCCCAGGCTGGAGTGCAGTGCCACAATCTTAGCTCACTGCAACCTCTGCCTCCTGGGTTCAAGCAGTTCTCCTGCCTGAGCTTCCTGAGTAGCTAGAATTGCAGGCACACACCACCACACCTGGCTAATTTTTTCTATTTTTAGTAGAGACAGGGTTTCACCATGTTGCCCAGGCTGGTCTCAAACTCCTGTCTCCAACTCCTGTCAAGCGCTTCACCCGCTAAGCCTCCCAAAGTGCTGGGATTATAGGCGTGAGCCACTGCGCCTGGCCCCTAATTTACACTCTTAAAGGAGCATGCCAACTGCAGATGGAGAATGAATGGTAGGGGTGGTAGGAGAGGGAGGCCACCCCCGGAGGCTGTGGCGATGGAAAGAAAGATGAAGCTTCTTTCTGTTTCTAGAAGCAGATCTAGTCAAGTATCAGAGATTTACTGACATGTGCCACTGGAAAGGCCAAGTTTAGAAGATAATCTCTTGGACACGAAGAGCACATTTGTGCCTGATGGAATGTGTGAAAACATGCCTGTATTTCCTGCCACACACATGTCCTGCATCAAGTTCTACCATGATCGTCACACCTGGGCCATCGTTCACATCTGCTTCTAAACGACTGGTACAACTGTGTGTCTCTCTTTCTACTGTGCCTGGGCTGTCTCCTTGGGGTTTCGTTTTCATCTCTAAGTCTATTAAATTACTCCTTAAGGTTTCATGAGTATTTCCCCTGCAGTTTCCCAGAGTCCTACAAGCTGCTCAGCCATTGTTATCTTTTGAGACTTTTAAAGCTTTGATTAACTTAATAAATAAAAACACAGTTCTTGAGACAGGGTCTCACTTTGTCACTCAGGCTGGAGTGTAGTGGTGCGATTTAGGCTCGCTGCAACCTCGACCTCCTGGGCTCAAGCAATCCTCCCACCTCAGTCCCCAACCAAGTAGCTGAAACTACAGGCAGGCACCACCATGCTCAGTTAATTTGTGTTTTATTTTTAGTAGAGATGGAGTTTTGCCATGCTGCCCAGGCTGGTCTTGAACTCCTGGACATAAGCAATCCGCCTGCTTTGGCCTCCCAAAGTGCTAAGATTACAGGCATGAGCCAATGCGCTCAGCCTAAACACATACAATTCTAAACACTCAGAAATGCACACAATTCTTATAAACATGATCTACCCAGCACCTGTTCATGGTGAAGATTTTGAATGTTATTGGAGCGAGGTTTTCATGTGATCATCAAATGTTGGCCCACTCGGTGGCTGGACTGAAACACGAAAACTCCCGAAAGCTCTGCCTTAGGAAACACAATAATATATATGTTTGTTGAATGAATGAGTGAATGAACAAATTCTTAAAATTTATGGCAACCCCAAAAGTGGAAGTAGGAAAGAAATGTTCAAGGAACATTCTAGATGAAGCTGCTCAATACCATCTCCATTGTGATCTTGGGGGGCCTGGCTCAAAATTCTAGGTTTGCTCATCTCTTCTTCCTTCCCTCCCCTCTTTCCTCTCTTCCTCCTTTCTTTCTTCTTCTTTTGTTTGTTTTTTTTATTTTTAGTTATACCAGTCATACGGATAGCCCTCTCAGCAAATACTCAGTCCCTTCTCTAGAAGTAATCACTGTTTTTAGACTGGATGTATGCCTCTGAAATTAATTCTATGTACTTCTATGCATGATGACTGTGCTGTATATGTAAACATGTATAGCATTGTTTTGATATACATGTATTGCATTGTGTGCATCATTCTGCAGACTGTTTTATTTTCTCAGTGGTAATGGTACAGCTTCAAAAACTCTCCAAATCTCTATGTATAAATCTACTTCATGTTTAAAGACTGATACTCAGCATTTCGTAATTTACTGTACTTAGTATATGTAACCATTCTGTTTTTTCTTTTTATAATTGTGTGTGCGCATATGTTTGTGTGTGTGTGTATGTCTGTGTGTGTGTGTGTGTATGTGTGTGTGTGTGTGTGTGTTAAAACAAATATAGAACAGGGAAAAAACAAAAATGTATCGCTCAATGGTTTATCCCAAAGTGAACATCCATATAACCCTATTCAAGAAATAAAATATTACCAGCATTCCAGAAACCTCCTCTGTATTCCAATCACCATACCATCCCTCTCTGATTAAAGTAGCCACTACCCTGATTTTTATGGAAGTCATTTCCCTGATTTTTTAAAAGACAGTTTTACCATCACAACTTGTATTCTTAAATATTAGAGTTTAGTTTTGCTTTTTGAATTTCATATAAATGGAATCTTTCAGTACACCTTCTTTTGTGCTTGGTTTCTTTCACTCAAAATCATTTTTGGAGATTTCTCCATGTTGCTCCATGCAGCCAAGGTTCATTTGTTTTCGTGGAGTTTCTACCTTGTTGCCCAGGCTGGAGTGCAATGGCGCAATCTTGGCTCACCGCAACCTCCGCCTCCTGGGTTCAAGTGATTCTCCTGCCTCAGCCTCCCGAGTAGCTGGGACTACAGGCATGTGCCACCACGGCCAGGTAATTTTGTATTTTTTTAGTAGAGACGGAATTTCTCCATGTTGGTCAGGCTGGTCTCAAACTCCTGCCCTCAGGTGATCCGCCTGCCTCGGCCTCCCAAAGTACTGGGTGTGAGCCAGCTACTGTATTTTATTCAGTAAATACACCACAATTTATTTATCCATCCTACTGTTAAGGACAATTGGGCTGAGTAAATTCTGAGGCTGTTGGGAGCAGCTCTGCTTTAACTGTTCTTGTCCGTTTCTTGGTGCCCACGTGCATGCATTTCTATTGGGCACATATCTAGGAGTGGAATTGTTGGGTCATAATATACGCATATCTTCTACTTTAATAGAGAATGCTAAACTGTTTTCTCAAAGTGGCTATGTCAATTTATTCTCTTACCAGCCATGTATGAGAATTCCCTTTGCTTTACATCCTCACCAACAGTTATTATTATCAGTCTTTTTAGTTGTAACCATTATGATGGATGCATAGTTGAATCTCATTGAAACTATAAGTTCTCTGATTTCTGATTTATAGGTTTATTAATCTGGATAGCCTGTTTTATGAAGTACCCATCCCAGTGTCTTGTCCCTTTTTCTACTGGGTTATCTTATTCTTACTGGCTTGTAAGAGTTTTGTGTGTGTGTGTGTGTGTGTGTGTGTGTGTGTGTGTGTGTGTGTATTCTGAATAGTTGCTTACCTTTTCACCCTCTTACTGTCATCTTTTAATGAACAAAAATTCTTAATTTTAGTGAAATGTAATTTTTTTAATAGTTAATATATTTTGAGCCCTGTTTAAGAAGTCTTTATGTACACTAGAGTAGGAAGATATTATACTACGCTATCAACTAGAAGTTTTATTTTACCTTTCACATTTAGATCTGCAATTCACCTGAAATTGAATTTTACATATGGTGTGAGATAAGGATCAAGTTTAATTTTTTTCCATATGGATATCCAGTAGTCCCAGCACTATTTGTTGAAGAAAACTTTGTGAAATATCGAGTGTCAAAATACGCATGAGTCTGTTTCTAGATTTCTCCCTTCTCTTTGATTGATCCATTTATCTACTTATGCATATATATATATATATATATACTATGTAAATGGCTGTGGTTTTATGATAACCTGATATCCAGTAGAGCAAATCCTTCCATCTTTTTATTCTTCTAAAAAGTGTTTTGCTATTTTGGGCCCTTTGAATTTTTATACCTGTATGTTCTTTTGGATATTTTACGTATACTATGATACCATCTATGAATAATGAGTTTTATATTTTCCTTCCCACTTCATATATCTTTCATTTCATTTTATTGCTTTTCTTCGTTTGTCTAGGAGATTCAACACAATGTTTAATAGGAATGAGAGTGGACATCTGTATCTTATTCTCATTTTCAAAGAGAAACCTGTCAACATTTCACCATATGTTTGCCATAGGTTCCCCCAGATAACCTTTATAAGATTAAGGAAGTTCTCTTCCATTAAGAATATTTTTTATGAACGACAAATTTTATCAAAAGCTTTTTCTGCATCTCTGGGATAGTCATAGTTTTCTTTGTTTTGTTAATATAGTGAAATGCATTGATTAATTTTCTAAAGGTATTCTTGGAACAAATTTAATTTGGTCATGATATCTTTTGCATAGCTAGATTTGGTTGGCTGGTGTTTGTTTGGGATTTTTGCTTCTATGTGCTAGAGTCTGATTGTCTTGAATTTTCCTCTCTTGTAATATCTTTGGCAAGGTTACGCTTTCTTCATATGTCAGGTTCTGGGGAATTTATTTTTTTCTTTTTTCTGGGGCTATTTGTATAAGACTGGTGTTATTTCTTCCCTAAATGTTTATTATACTTCGTTGCTGAAGACTTCAGGGCCTGGTTTTTTGTTTTTTGTTTTTTGGGGGTTTTTTTAATAATTAATTTAATTTCTTTACCAATTATTCAGATTCAGATAGTCTGTTTTTCTTAAATCTATTTTGATAAGTATTGAGTTTTTCAAGGAATGTCCCATTTCATTTTTTGCATAAAGTTTCAAGATCTCCTTATCTTTTTGATACCTATTGGATCTGTAGTGATGTCCATCTTTGAATTTCTGACTCTTTGTTCTACTTTAAAGATAATCAGGCCTGAATCTTTACTGTCACACAAAAACCCTTTCCTTGTTTCTCTCGTCAGTAAAGCCAGACTTCACTTTGCCGCCTTTTCAAGCCACACGCATCCATCAAGGCTCTGCACAAGGTTTCACAGTCTCCATGTATATTTGATGACTATCTCATCCCTCACTTATTTCTCTCTTCTCTGAACATCTATTATTTTTATCTCTGCATTCTAATTTTTTCTTGATTATATACTTTTAAATTTTATTGCTTTGTCCAATCAAACTATATGTTTTCTGAGGGTAAGGACAAATATGACACTTCCAAATTTCTCATAGCACATGAATGGTCATAGTTACACAGAAGAACTCAGTCAAGAATGCTGATAGAGCAATAATAGATTAATCCTACAGTACATATAAACTCAATATTGCAGAAATGTCACAAAAAGAAGCTCTGAAAGGTTTGTTGATAAAACACTAAGATAATATCCTAAGATAGGAAAAATCAGGGCACAACTGAAACTGTTCACCAGTCAACCCTTGAATAATAAAGAAGTATTACCCTTTTATACCAGCCTCCATTGTAGTCTCTGCTGTTATAAAAATTAAGGTGTGCCAGCCGGGTGCGGTGGCTCACACCTGTAATCCCAGCACTTTGGGAGGCCAAGGCAGGCAGATCACAAGGTCAGGAGATCCAGCCCATCCTGGCTAACATGGTAAAACCCCGTATCTACTAAAAATACAAAAAAAAAAAAATTAGGCGAGTGTGGTGGCGGGTACCTGTAGCCCCAGCCACTCAGGAGGCTAAGGCAGAAGAATGGCATGAGCCCGGGAGGCGGAGCTTGCAGTGAGCCGAGATCGCACCACTGCACTCCAGCCTGGGCAACAAAGCGAGACTCCATCAAAAAAAAAAAAAAAATTAAGGTGTGTGGTTGGGCATGGTGACTCACGCCTGTAATCCCAGCACTTTGGGAGGCCAAGGCGGGCGGATCACCTGAGGTCAGGAGTTCAAGACTAGCCTGCCCAACATGGTGAAATCCAGTCTCTACTAAAAATACAAAAATTAGCTGGGTGTGGTGGCGCATGCCTGTAATCCCAGCTACTTGGGAAGTTGAGGAAGGAGAATTGCTTGAGCCCGGGAGGTGGAGGTTGCAGTGAACCGAGATCATGCTACTGCACTCCAGCCTGGGCAACAGAGTGAGACTCCGTCTTTAAAAAAAAAAAAAATTGAGGTGTTAACTTAATATACGTACATATTAAAAGTGAAACTATGAAGTCACAGAGTATTTATAAAAACTGTAGAGAAGGAAACAAGCAAAATGAGATTAAAATAGAGAAGAAAACTACTTTTAGCAGGACCTAAGAAAAACCCCACCTTTTGTTACAAAGTCTGACGAATATTGTCCAGATATAGTGCAACATGCACTAACTTGAAGACAACTCCAGGAGCCCCTATACAATTCTACAGTGAACAAGTCTAGTGCAATGCGACAGGTAAACCCATTTGGAGAGCCATTGGAAATAGAAAGACATAAAGACATTGGGAATACTGCAGAAAACATGAGGAAACTCAAAAATTCCTAGTTTTCATCCTTATTTATTTTTCTGAAGATTTTACATTCAAAATGCAACTTGCTATGCACATAGAGAATATCTCTCAGAAAAAAAATTCTAAAGTACATCAAAGCAACTTCAATTGGGGCACTGAAGAGCAAAATGAACACTTCTGAAATTCAATGTACAAATAACTTTTAATGTACAAATAACTTTTAAAAATTCTCCAAAAATGCAAACCAAAGAAATAGATATTTTAAGACTAAGATATGAGACATGAGACGCGATCTAAGAGTCAGCCACTTAAGTGAGTTTCAGTAGCAATGTCACTTAGAAGAGAAGCCATAATGCAAAAAATAATAAAAGAAAATTTCCTTTCACTAAAGAAAGGAAATAGCCGGGCACAGCGTTTACATCAAAAGGACCCACCAAACACTCGGCAGGAATACTAAAGAAGAGAGCCAACAAAACATGTCATGGTGAAATTCCTGAATCTTGAAGATGAAGAGAAAGTTCCATACACTTCCAAACAAAAACAAAGGACTACGTATTGAGAACATTGACCAAATTCTGAGGTAATTCTAGAAATCTCTTCCCATCCAAACTGTGATTCATGTGTGATTGTAAAAGGGAGACAGGTTTGGACATATAAAAATGAAGATTACATGTTTCTTCTGAAGAAGTTACTTAAACTTCTAAAAAGTTCTGAAGTTACTGAAGTTAAAGTTCTGAAGTTAAACTTCTTCTGAAGAAGATTACGTATAAAGATGAAGACCCCTTGTTTCTTCTGAAGTTACTTAAAGGGTAATCCAATAGAAATGCATCAGAGTAAGAATAACCAGAAAGGGAAGGTTTTGTGTATTCTAAATATAATTATTAGTTTGGTGCAAAAGTAATGGCAAAAACCATTATTTTAATGGCAAAAAACTGCACTTACTTTTGCACCAACCTGATAGCTCACATTTATTGAGCATTTACTATTGGTCAAGCATGTGATAATCAAAGAAAAAGACTTGGAATGCAGGAAAATAGAACATTCATTATTTTTTACCCTTTCTAAGAATAACCAAATTAAGAAAGAAGAAGCAGAATAAAGACATCAAGGAAAAAAGTCCAGTGTGTAATTGTAATAATAATAGCCAACATTTATTGTGGATTTACTCTGATTCAAGTACTATTCTGAACAAATCTAGATATAGTGTCTCATTTAATCACTCCAACATCACCATGGAGTAAGTATTATTATTATTATCCCTATTACACAGATTAGAAAACTGAGCTATAATAATAATTTGGCCAGATGCAGTGGCTCACGCCTGTAATCCCAGCACTTTGGGAGGCTGAGGTGTGCGGATCACCCGAGGTGAGGAGTTTGAGACCAGCCTGGCCAATACGGCAAAACCCCATCTCTATTAAAAATACAAAAATTAGCCGGGTGATGGCGTGTGCCTGTAATCCCAGCTACTTGGGAGTCTGAGGCAGGAGAATCGCTTGAACGTGGGAGGCAGAGGTTGCAGTGAGCTGAGATCATACCACTGCACTCCAGCCTGGGCCACAGAGCAAGATTCTGTCTCAAAACAAACAAAAAAAATAGGAAGGCCAGTGTGGCTGGAGTGAAGATAATGCAAAGAAAACAGTGAGAAGTAAAATGGGAGTGGTGCCCAGGAGCCAGATCGCCTAAGGTCTGCAGACCCCATGTGATGAGAAACTATAGCAAGGATCACTCGGTCTTCAGTTTGGAGACAAGATGATAGGGAGGCAAGAAGGAAAGAATCAAGACTGGTCAGAGCCTACTGTGGTATTCCACAGAGGTTGCAGTGAGCCGAAATCGTGCCATTACACTCCAGCCTGGACAACAAAAGTGGAACTCCATCTCAAAAAAAAAAAAAAAAAATAGCCTACTGTGGTATTCCAGAAGTGTGGTGGTGCTCTGGGCCAGGACAGTATTAGTGAGGAACTGGAGATGTGCTTGAAGGTAGAACCAACAGGATTGAATTTGGAGAGCGTGAGAGAAAGAGAGGATTCAAGTTTGATTTTAAAGTTTTCAACCTGAGTAACTGGGTGAATAGGTGCCATTCACAAAGATGGAGAACACTGGAGGAAGAGCAAGTCTGGGGACAGAATCAAGAGTTTGATTTTGGACATGTTACGTTTGAGATGCCTATTGGACATCCAAGTGAACATGTCAAATTGACAGGTGGAGTTTAGGAGAGAGGTTAAGACCGGAGATACAAATTTGAGAATTATCTGCAAAGGGTGCTGTTCAAGGCCATGGGACCAGATGAGATCACCCAAGGTGTCAGGTAAGTGAAAAGAGAAGCACTCTGAGGACTCAGTGTTGGACACCCCGATATTTAGGGGTGACGAACAGGAGGACAACTAAGCAAAAGAGAATGAGAGGGAACCTCCAAGAGGCAAAAGAACACTGAGATTATGTGGTATCACAGAAGCTACAGAAGGGGCTTTAAGAAACCAATACAAAAAATTCATTGACAGAGTAGTTGTACCATTTAATTTAAAATTGTTTAAAGGAGGCTTAAAATAGAAGACATAATGTTTTTAAAAATCCCTAAACAGTCTGAGAGGTAGTTTGAGGTAGTAGTTAAGACCTTGGGAAAAATAAGATAATGCTTATAAAATAAACATGATACATGGTACTTAACATTCAACAAGTAATAATTACAGATTCTTTTCATCATCATCATCAACAAGAAAATCTAGATTGTAGAGAGGTGACTAGGAGAATGAAAGCATGTTAAGTTTCTTGCGTTGCAGAGATGATAGAAGGGAAGGAGGGTTACATATGCTGTTTCAACCTTGATGTCGATAGAGAAATAAAAAATAGATTTGTTAAAAATTTAAGAATGCCTGATAGAATATAATATTTTCTTTTATTTAAAAAATACTTCATATTAAAAATTAAGATATAGTCATATACTATAAAATTCACCTTTTAAAGTTTACAATTTAATACATTTTAATATATTCACAAAGTTGTGCAAACATTATCATTATCTCATTTTAATCGCCGCAGAAAGCACCTCCACACCCATTAGCAGTCATCTCCCATTTTCCTGTCTCCCCACGCCCAGGTCCTGGCAGCCACAAATCTTTCTGTATCTATGGATTTGCCTCTTCTAGACATTTTATATACAATAGTTCCCGTTATCCGCACTTTCCATTTTCTGTAGTTTCAGTTACCCATGGTCAATCATGATCAGAAAATATTAAGTAGAAAATTCCAGAAGTAAAGAATTCATATGCTTTACATTGCACGCCATTCTGAGTAGCATGATGAAATTTTGTGCTGTCCCACCTGGGATGTGAATCATCCTTGGTCCAGCATATCCATACTGCATACACTACCTGCTTGTTAGTCACTTAGTAGCCATCTTGGTTATCAGATTGAAAAACATCGTATACATAGGGTTGGGTACTATCTGTAGTTCCAGGCATCCAGTGGGGATCTTGGAATGCAGAAAAGGGGGGGCTACTGTAAATGGAATCATACAGTATGTGGCTGTTGATGTCTGGCTTCTTTAATTTAGCACAGTGTTTTTAAGGTGCATTCCTGTTGTATCATGAATCAGTATTTCATTCCTTTTTATGGCTGAAAAGTATTCCATTAGATAGGTACACCACCTTTTGTTTATCTGTTCACTAGTTGATGGACATTTGGATTGTTTTTATTTTCTAGCTATTATGAATAATGCTGCTATGAACATTCACATACAAGGTTTCTTGTGGGCAAATGTCATTTCTTTTGAGTATGTACCTAGGAGTGGAACAACTGAGTCACATGAAAACTCTATGTTTAACTTTTTGAGGAACTGTCAAACTCTTTCCCAAAGCAGCTTCACAGTTTTCTATTCCTACCAGTAATGTATGGAGGGTTCAGCTTCTCCATATTGGCAACACTTGTTATTGACTGTCTTTGATAATAGTCATTCTAGTGAATGTGACATGATATCTCACTGTGGTTTTAACTTCCAGTTCCCTGTGACTAATGATATGGAGCATCTATTCATGTGCTCATTAGCCATTTGTATATCTTTACTGGAAAAATATGTATTCGACTATAGTGCCCACTTTTAATCTGGGTTGTCTTTTAATTGTTGAGTTGTAATAGTCCTTTATATTATAGGGGGAAGAAGAGAACTCTTCCCCCATCACCCTCTGAAGGTTTGCTGAAAATAAACTGACAAAGGCAGATTAATAGAAGAAAAAAGCATACAGATTTATTTTAACACATCACATTGGAATTGCAGGAGAATAATTACCCAGTAACCCAAAGGGATACACATGCTTATATATTCTTCTTCATAGGGAAAAAGAACATGGGGAAATGTGGCTGATTTGAGGGATAGTAAATGATTTTTAGGGGAAATGAATGGGTCTAATGCTCAGACAATGGTTAGTAAATAGTTTTCTTTGGAAATTGAATGGGACAGAGAGAAGACAGTGGTTTGGGACAAAGTTTGTCTGGTGTTTAATTTTCAATCTCTTCCTCTGTGTTATGAGTTTATTCTTCTCTAGTTAAATTTCAGGGAAGGCAATTGTGTTTCTCTTTAGTAGGTTCAGTGTCTAGGTAGATAAGGGAATTTCAGTGAACAACTACATTCTGTGCTTTGAGAGAGACAGAGGAATAGTCGGGTGCAGGGACCAGGGAGGTCAGAGAGACCTCGAGGTTGCTTCATGTCAAAGTGTCCTATTTGGGGGTAATGTTTTCTGAGCCCCAACAATATATTCTGGATACTAGACCCTTATCAGACATGTGATTCAACAATATTTCCTCCCACTCTGTGACTTGTCTTTTTCCTTTCTTGATCGTGTACTTTGAAGCACAGATTTTTAAAATTTTGATGAAGTCCAATTTATCTATTTTTTCTTTGATTGCTTATGCTTTTAGTGTCATAGCCAAGAAACTTGCTTAATTAAAGGTAATGATTATTTACATCTATGCTCTCTCCTAAGAGTCTTACAGCAAAGTCTTTGATCCATTTTGAGTTAAATTTTGTATATGGTGTAAGGTAAGGGATCCAATTTCTTCTTTTGTGCATGTGGATATCCAGTTATCTCAGCACCAGTTGTTGAAAAGACTATTTTCCCCCCATTGAATGTCCTGGCACTATTGTTGAAAATCAATTGACTATAAATATATGGGTTTATTTCTGGACTTTTAATTCTATTCCATTGTCTATGTCTATCCTTAGGTCAGAACCACACAGTCTTGATTACTGTAGCTTATGTTTTGAAACTGGGAAATGTGAGTCCTCCAATTTTGTTATTCTTTTTCAGGATTGTTTTAGCTATTGTGGATCCCTTGAATTTATATATGAATTTTAGAATCAGCTTCTCAATTTCTAAAACAAAACAAAACAAAAAAAAAGCCCAGCATCTGGAATTTTTATAGTGATTTCAATTTGGAGAAAATTGCCATTTTCCAGTCCATGAACACAGGAATGTCTTTCCATTTATGTAGGTCTTCTTTAATTTCTTTCACCAATGTTTGAGAGTTTTCAGTTAAAAGTCTTACACTTCTTTCATTAAATTTATTCCTAAACATTTTTGGATACTAAGTGGAATTGTTTTTCTTAATTTCATTTTTGTGTTGTTCACTGCTAGCTTACGGAAACAAAATTGATTTTTGTATATTGATCTTGTGTTTTGTGGATTCCTTAGGAGTTTCTGTATATGAGACATTTTTCCCTGTATAGCCACGGTTTCCTTTAGTTTTTTAGGGTTTTTAAAACATATTTAACATAGTTGATTTAAGTCTTTGTATAGAAAATCCAGTGTCTGTGCCCTCTTGGGGACAGTTTCTATTGAGTGTCTTTTTCCCTGCATATGAGACAGACTCTCTTGTTTCTTGGCGTGTTTCATAATTTTTGGTAAAAACTAGACTTTTAAAACAATATAACATAGCAACTCTGGAAATCAGATTTTGCCCTGGGTTTGTTGTTGTTACTATTTAATTGGTATTGTTTGGTTGGATGGTTGGTGACTTTCCTGAACTAATTCTATAAAGGTATATTCTTTGTTTTGTGTGGCCAGTGAGTCTCGACCAGTTAGCTTAGTGGTCATTTAATGATTCAACAAAGACTTCCTTAGATGACTGGAACCAATAAGACTCTCAGTCTTTACCAAGAAGTTCTGCGTGTGTTTCCTTCAGCATTCAGCCAAGCACCTTACAGCTCCATCTTAGCCTTCACTTCCTGCTTCAGCAGAGGCTCAAGGTTGGCCAGAGGTGAGAGCCAGGGTCTTCTTGGATATTTCCTGGGCACACACACAGCACTGGGTGTCCACACAGCCCTAAACATTTGTATGGCTTTCTATATTCCCAGGAATATTGTTAGAACTTTTTAAAGCGCCCACTCTCTCCAAGGACATCCCATTCCTCTGCTTTTTCTTTTATGTTTTTTGGTTAGCACATTGTCTATCCCACTTGTTATCCACTACCTCAGTCAGCTGTGAGGTTCAATAATTGACCCTACTCTCAAGGCTGCTTTTATTTGTGCTGGATGAGCTCTAAGTCAGCTCAAATAAAAACAGCCTTGCAAGTAGTGTGACCAGAGAGGTCAAATAATGACAATTCTCCGAGAATGGGCCTTGAGGAGCTCTAAGCCCTTCCAGTGACTGCCGGACTTTCCCCTGTGGTCACAGGTCGTTTTGCAGGCTGTTGGATTTCACAGCTAATGTGGTGCTGGGGAGGGTGGGGATGGGAATACGGCAAGTTAAAGTGCCACAAAGCTCCCTGTTCTTACCAAGATTCTGCTGTTTTCTTAAATAAATGTTTCCCAGATTGCTGCAAGCCTTTGGTTAATTTCCAAAGTTCTGAAAACGTTGATTCTGACATTTTTTGATAATGTTCTTGTTGCTTTTATGGAGGAGGGAATTTTCGGAGATCCTTATTTGCCATTTTGGCTGGTGTCCTAGAATACAATTTTAATGGAAACTTTGAACCCTCTAGAAGTGCACCGTGTAGTGCAGCAGCCACTACTAGTACACGTGGCTGTCAAACCCTTGAAATGTGGCTGGTGCGAACTGAGACGTGCTCTAAGTATAAAACACACACTGGCTTTCAAAATACACTCTCTCTATATATATATCCATAATCATTTTTACTCCAAATATATTTTGAAATGATAATATTCTGGTTATATTAGATCCAGTAAAATGTATTGTTAAAATTAATCTGGAGCCTGATGCAGTAGCTCACACTGTATCTCAGCACTTTGGGAAGCTGAGGCAGGAGGATTGCTTGAGCCCAGGAGTTTGAGACCAGCCTAGGAAACATAGTGAGACCCTGTCTCTATAAAATAATAACAACGCATTTTTTTAAAACTAATTTTGCTTCTTTAAACCTTTTTTAACGTGTGTGGTAAGCAGGATTCTAAGATGATCCCCAATGAGTCATGCCTTCATGGCTGCTAGAAAAGTTTAAATCACAAATGTGGCCTTGATATACTTCTGTTGAACAGGGTTGATCCAGGAGGAAAAGAAATACAAAGGAAACTATTAATCTGTTAAAATGAAACAAAATTAAATCCATTAAAAATTAGAAAGAAACAAGAAAGAATAATAAACAGAAAATATCAAACATGATTATAGGAATGAGACTCAACATATTGTTTGTTAGATTCTATATAGTGGAATGCTTGAAGATGTCAACATGATGAGCATTGTGTTAGACTGATTCCTGGGGAACATCTGAGTTGGAGGTTTGTGGGCTGGCATTTTACTGGGAAAGGCCTTCAGTTACAATGAATACCTGAGGGAATGAGGGCAGCAAGAGGGGACAGAAAGAGAAGTCAAACTGAGATGCAGGTGGAACGGGGGGTCTCAGCCGATCCCACAGGAAACTCTGGAGCTGGGGAGCTTCTCAGAGGGAAGACTGAGCCTCTATGCTCCACATTGGCCAAACATTGGATGTGAATTGTCCTCTGGAGAGAAGGTGTAACCTTGCCAATGGCAAATCCTGAGAAAGGGCTTACCTGTGACCCATCACCAGTCAGCTTCCTGACAGCCGGGGAATGAGTGCCTTCACTCTGAAGCAGCATCTGAGAGCACACCATATCATCTGCTACAGAAGTTGTCTGCCATACAGTAAGTGAAAAGAAGCAGATTATAGACACTATATGTTAAGCATTAAAATATAGGTTGATATATAGGCATTAGAAAGGCCAGAAAAGGAGCACATGAAATCATTAATGAAGGTTCCCTTGAGGAGGATGAGGGGAAGGGTTAGTGGTGGCTGAGATGGGGGAAAGTATGTAACATCAGGTATTCAAATACTTTGTATTGATCACATATCACCAGGAAAAAAATACAGAAACTAATGCGAGGTTTCCAGTATGGGCATGCCTATGGTGATCAACTGTGGGTTCAGGATTGAAAACCTCAGAATTAGAATTGCTTTCTGAATTTTGCCTTCAACATCTCCCTAGACTGTACAAATAGACAACAACCCCGGGCAGTTCTGACATTAATGAGAATGATGCCGCCATCACTAAATTCCTCCTGGGCCAGATGGCATCTGCCTCATTGTACAAACTTCATCTTTTTAAAGTCACATATCTACTTATTTTATCTGGTTGAATTATTCCAGTAACTTTCTTGGCACCAGAAAAAGAGATAGCAAATATTAATTCTGCTCTTTTTATCACGTCAACGGAGTTTCTTCTCCACACTTGGTTTTCTCAATCACCTAAACAAAAATAGCAGTTGGGGCCTCCTTGCATCCTGAAAGAGTCATGGGGAATTTTCCAGGGAAAGGAAGGCATGGCATCTGCCACCCCCTTGTTGGGAGAGGATTTGTTTTAATTGTTCCATAATCTGGGGTGTCAACTATTCAGCAATCAGTGTAATAACAGAAACTAACCAATTAGAATGGACACAAGCCCTTGGGGAGGTTGGAAGGTATCCAGGCAGTGGTTACTTGACAACCAGTGTGAAAGTAGTTCAATATTTTAACAGGTCGAGATGTACCTGCCAAACACCAGTGCAAATGCAGGCACATGGTGGGTGAGGGATGGGTTGATGAAGCTCACTGAGTAAATGAATGGCTCCAAATTGGCCTAAAACTCCACCATACTTAACCTCTGCAACATGTCAGCTGGATAGGAAAGCACACCACAAATTCATCTGGCTCCGACTCGCCCACTTCTTCCCATGACCCAGCCTGAGTCACCGGCATCTGTAGGTTTATCACAGCACTCTACTCCAGGAAAGACAAAGGTACACAAAACAGAGGAAGAGCCGTCTCCCCTTGATTAAAAGTCCGTGTGTGTTCCGCAGTCTTCTCCAGAACACCAAGAGTGGGAGGCAGGAAAAGGATGGTGGGTTTTTTATTACACTTTGAAATGCCACCAGACTTGTGGTAAATTGAAACATTGTTTTAAGGAATTATAGGTATTTCCAGGCAGGAGAAATGTGAGCTCCATTTGATCACAGTAATGTTGACTTTAGGCTTCCTTGGGCAGAAATCTAAAACCAACATGGATAAATGGATGCTCTAAAACATCTAACGTGGGCAGGGTACTGAAGATTTGTCCATGCCTCTGCTTTTTTATTTAAATGTGAAAAATTGCACAAGTCACCTCTATCTTATTTGACCTCTGCCCGTAGTCCGCTTCACAGCCTAAATCAGGTGATGAGACTCTCCAAGGTCCAAACTCCTTACTAGGTCCAACCTCCCCGCTGGTTACAACCTTCCTACTGGGTACCAGTCTCCCAGTGTGCAGCAAACTCCCTACTGGGTACCAAGCTCCCCCCGGGTGCCACCTCCCCACTGGTACCAATCTCCCCAGTAGGGTACAACCTCCCCCCTGAGGAAAACCTTCCTCTGGTACCAGTCTCTCCAATGGGTACAGCCTTCACCCTAGGTAAAACCTCCCCCCTGGTACCAGTCTCTCCAATGGGTACAGCCTTCCCCCTGGGTAAAACCTTCCCCCTGGTACCAGTCTCTCCAATGGGTACAGCCTTCCCCCTGGGTAAAACCTTCCCCCTGGTACCAGTCTCTCCAATGGGTACAACCTTCCTCCTGGGTAAAACCTTCCCCCTGGTACCAATCTTTCCAATGGGTACAACCTCACCAATGGGTGCTAGTCTCCCCAGTGAGTACTAATTTTCCCACTGGGTACCATCATCCTCCCTGGATACCAACCTCCCTGCTGAGCACACCCTCCCCCTTGGGCGCATCCTCCCCACTGGGTACCATCCTCCTTCCTGAGTAACAATCTCCTCACTGAGTCCCCACCTCGTCAATGGGAACCAGCCTCCACATTAGTACGACCACCTCTCTGTATACCACCCACCTTGCTGGGTGCTAATCTCACTGGGTACCATTTTCTGCTAAAGACGAGTACTCTCATGTTGCCTGAATGAGTGTTACCTTCCCAACCAAGAGCAAGAATCATCCGTATCTGTATGCCCCTTGACAGTTGACAAAGCACCTTCATTCTCACGGTCCCCTTTGACCTTTGATCCTCACCACTGCCCGGGATTCACATTCACATTCTTATCATTTTACCCAAATGTCCTGTTCTTTTCATGATGCTAGGCTGCACCATGGTACCCATGGGGTGTTGACACCTGTGCAAACTGGCTCAACCTGAGAGGACAAGCCCATGCCCATACACCCTGCTGCTGTCATATCCCAGAACCACAGGGTGCAGATTCTCTGGATGCCTAGCTTGGAAGGCGATGGGGAAATGTAGGCACTTGGAAGAAGTTGCGCTGCTGTTTCTGCACCTCCCTTCCAAGTACGGTGACAAGATAAAGTGATGACGTAGGTCAAGCATGTATTGTCATGCCTGGCACAACAAATGTCTGGGGCTGGTATGAGTCCAATATAGAAGGATACCTGGGAGAAAAGTCTCCTTTACACCCAGGGCAGCACTTTCATGCCAAGGTGGGTTAACTGAGTAGTTCTACCTCTTGCTTGGCATGAAAGCTGAGGGCTTGTCCAAATAATTTCCTTTGCAAAGCAATGCACTGTCCCTCCCATGAGGTCTCCATGTCTGTGCAAACTTGTTCTAAACCTGCAGAGGACCAGGCATGTGCCTATACCACATGCTGTGCCCACATTCCAGAGCTCTTAGTTCTGCACAGCAGGGAGAGGACTTGTACCACCGTGCGCAAAGAGGGCTCCCAGGCCAACATCCAGCCAGGCCTGGCATGGGAGCCCGTTCAGTCACTGCAAAAGACAATATCATTGAGCTCGACTTCAGGACTCACAAATGGATGGGTCCAGCCCCACTGATCTTGTACAAGACAACTGTCCTTGGCTCCAAAGGACACCTGGGGTCTTTAGTTTCCAACACTCTCAGTGTGGCTAGTGGTCTACGAGAGTACATCAGGATTTCCATATAGACTCAGCAGTTCCAAATGATGTACCACAATATAACACAGCTCATATGGAAGGAGGTGTGCTTAGTGAGCTATGCAAGGTATTACTACGCAGGTGTTATAAACGGAAGGAGATGAGAGGAGCTGATAAGCCATTTTGTTTTGAGAGATCTATGATCTGAACAAGTTTGAGAAATCTGGGGGGCAAGGGGGGACAAACCAGCTGATTTCCAAATTCCAGACCCTCTTTCGGGAGTCAAAGCTTGGCTCACCAAAATTGCACCTGGAAAACAACCATCTCTTTGTCCTTGAGCTTAACCTCAGAAGACTTCTGGAATCTAGTGGGATCAGAATTGGAAGGGGACCTGGCAAATTTTCTTTAGGCGAAAAAAAAAGCAAAAATAACAAAACGGCTCCCTGCTACACCCCACCCAGGAACCCCCACCTCACTGCCCACCAAAAAAAAAAAGAAAGAAAGAAAAAGAAAAAGTAAAAGAAAAAACAAAACAAAACAGATCCAGGGAGATTTTCCTCTTTCTCCCTGCTTCCTTTTCTTTGAGTGTTTTATCAACTACTGCAGTGGGTGGCATCTGAGCTACTGGTGTTTTCCTACTTAGAGGAGAAAGAAAATTCCATTAACTGAAGAATAATATGGTTGACTGCCCCACACGGCAGAGGCATGCAGCACACTGCAGACTTGTTTTCTGTGTCGTTCTCAGGACTCTGAGGTCTAGACTCACTGGCTCCTGTTCCCTAGGTTGTCCAGGTCTTTGGGGGTGTGACTACCGCCCACAGGGAAAGGACAGTGCGTGCTGATAGGAAGCACAGGAACACGGGAGGGAAGAAGAGGATGAGAGCGGTGTATCAGGTGAACCATTTCTTGTTCAAGAAAGAAAATAAAGAAAAACTAATCTAGGCATAAATCTGTACTACAGCTCATGCTGAGACTCTGGAAGTACAGTCAGGGTCTAGAATCATCCAGAACACACACACGGATTGACTCCCACCAGTCCCTTACCCTTTGGGGTGAATGACCCCAACCTTCCTGTTTTGTGTGCATGTGTTTTTTAAGATGGTCAGGTCTCATACTGTTAAGTATAAAATGGTAAAACTAATTGGGAAAACTGAAAGTTTCTTATACCGTTAAACACATAACTACTGTATGCCTCTGAAATTCCATTCCTAGGTATATTTACCCAAGAGAAATGAAAACATATGTCCACACAAGGACTTGCATAAGAATGTTCCTAGCAGCTTTATTCAGAATAGTTCCAGACAGCAAATAACCCCACGTATCAAGAGGTGCATGGATAAACAAATTGTGTTTAAAATTATATTAGTTTCCTATTGTCACTATAACAAATTACCACAAAATTAGTGGCTTAAAACAGGCCAGGCGTGGTGGCTCATGCCTGTAATTCCAGCACTTTGGGAGGCCAAGACAGGTGGATCACCTGAGATCAGGAGTTCGAGACCAGCCTGGCCAGCATGATGAAACCCTGTCTCTACTAAAAACACAAAAATTAGCTGGGCACCGTGGTGGGCACCTGTAATCCCAGCTACTCGGGAGACTGAGGCAGAGAATCCCTTGAGCTGGGAGGCAGAGGTTACAGTGAGCTGAGATCACACCACTGCACTCCATCCGGCCTGGGAGGCTCTGTCTCAAATAACAACAACAAAAACAGTACGAATTTATTCTTTTTCAGTTCTAGAGGTCAGAAGTCTAAATTCAATTTCACTGGGCTAAAGTCAAGGTGTTGGCAGGGCTGGTTCCCTCTGGGGGCTCTAGGAAAGAATCCATTTCCTGGCCTTTCTGTCTTCTGGCGGCCCCCTACGCTCCTCCAGTCTCTGCCTCTGTGATCACATTGTCTACTCTTCTTCTGTAGTCAATCTCCCTTGGCCTTCCTCTTACTTGTGATGACATCTAGGGACCACCTGAATAATCCGAGCTAATCCTTCATCTCGAGATCTTTAATTCAGTCGACATCTGCAAAATCTCTTTGGCAGCATAACGTTCAAAGTTTCCAGGATTAAGACCTGGATATCTTTGGAGCCATCATTCAGGAATATACTAACTAGGAATAAAAAAGAATGAGCTGTGATACACACAAGATAGACGAATCTCAAAAACAGAATGTGGAGCCAAAGAAGCCAGACCGAAAAAAAAGAGGCCAGCCATGTGATTCCATTGAGATGAAGTTCTAGAACAGGTAAAACTAATCTGTGTTGATAGAGATCAGAACACTGGTTGTCTGGGGGGCAGGTGATTTACTGGAAAGGAACACAGAGAACTTTCTGAGGTGATAGGAATGTTCTGTATCTTGATGATCTTCATGGGAGGGTTGATTACAGGGGTGTATACATTTATCAAAACTCAGGGAACTGTACGCGTTACAGCTGTGCATTTCATTATATGTACATTTTTCTCCAATGGGAAAATAAGTGTTGGGGGAAAGGTAAATAACAACAAACAAAACGGAGAGAGAGAGAGAAGGGAGGGAGGAGAAGGAGAAGGTAGCAGTGGAGGGAGGCAGGAAAATAAAAAGCAAAGCTCAATCTATTTGAGGAACACATTGATCATTTTCCTCTCTTATTATGGAAGGAGCTTTGACTCAGAAGAGAGAAGGACTGGACTCTAACCTGCTTGAGGTTAGCTATTCCCCAGCCCCTTCCAGCACTTAAGGCACCTAACCCAATTAGCCCACCTTAGATAAATGTACAAAACAAGACACCCAAAGGGAAACCTGAAATATATTGAACACTTCCTTCCTCCCACTAGAAGTGAGAAAATCATCATATTTTTAATGTATCAACTGTTTCCACTTCTCACACTCCCTTCTAGAATCCACACATATTTCTGTGTATTTTTTAGAGTGTTGTTATCATGGCAGAGGGATCACTTATCTTCTGTCTTTTTCATTTAACATCAGACAGACACATTTTCCCATTTTGCTAGGGAGGCTTCATAAACAACCCTTTTGACCATTGGATAATATTTCACCAAATTGATTGATTTGTTATCATTTACTTAGCCTTTTCTGTCATATTGGACACTTAGGCTATTTCCTTTTTTTCCCCCCATGGAAAAATAATAGAGTAATGACTATGTGCATACACATGCTTTTGTTCTTTTTTTTAAATTATTTGAGACATGAATACTGAAATAATAAATAAATAAGGGGAAAAGGAAGCAGCAAAGAAACCCCTATCATAGAATTTAGGGTTCGAGACACCTCCAGAACACCTGGTCTAAAGCCCTAATTGTACAGAAGAAGAAACTGAAACCAGGGCGTGTTTGAACTCACACGCCCAAGGTCACAGTGTGACTAAGTCACAGATCTGCGACTCAACTGAGGACTTCTGAGTGAGTGCAGCGCTCTCTAATCCAAACAAAATAAGCACAAGCCATGCCATCTGCCTCACCTGCACAGCCAACACCAACAGGAATGAATTACTGCTGTCTAACCTTGTCATAAAACTGCGTCGCCCAGCTCAGTTATGAGAGAAATCACTTAAACTAAGAAGAACAGTTGGTCGAGCCCGTAGTGTTAGCATGAGATTCGATTTTAAGCTATCCTTTAGCTCAGCCGCAAAGATAAATACCTCATCTGGAAATTGGAGAGAAAATTCCATTCTTTGCATTTGTGTGTTTGGGAGATGCTCTGGGTACATGTGAGTGAAAATGAAAGATTGTTGACTCTCAACTATCTTCACAAATAGCAGAAAACCCTGTCATGGATCATCCAAAGAGAAACTAATCCAAATATAATTTGCAATGTGCTTTACATAATTTTCTGGCAGTGGATTCACTTTCTTAACTGTTTACCATAAAATTTGAGTTTTTAGAGTATTCATCTATTGAAACGACTTGATCTATATAACATACTGGAAGAAAGACCGCTATTTACAATGGGCCTGTTTTGTGCCGGGCCATAAGCTAGACACTTTACATATGCTGTCTTGTGGATTGTTATCCTCAATAAGTAGGAATCTGAGGCTCAGATAGATTAAGGAACTTCCCCAAAATCACCTAATGAGAGTTATAAAGTCAAAATTCCATTCCAACACTGTCTAAACCCCACTCATTTTCAATTCTACCAGGAAGATCAGATCAAACTTCATTCAACAATTTATTTATTTATTTATTTTTTGAGACAGAGTCTCACTCTGTCACCCAGGCTGGAGTGCAATGGTGTGATCTCAGCTCACTGCAACCTCCACCCCCCGAATTCAAACAATTCTCCTGCCTCAGCCTCCCAAGTAGCTGGGATTACAGGCTCCCGCCACCACAACCGGCTAATTTTTGTATTTTTAGTAGAGATGGGGTTTCACCACATTGGTCACACTGGTCTTGAACTCCTAACCTCAGGTGATCCACCTGCCTCGGCCTCCCAAAGTGTTGGGATTACAGGCACGAGCCACAGCGACTGACAACAAATATTTATTTATGTCCCATCTATGTGTGGAATCCTGTTTGCTAGGTAACACGGGTATAAAAGTAAATAAGAGAAACACCTCCCTTCAGTAGTGCACAACCTAGCAGATGAAGATAGAAGCAATCGCATGTAGAAGGTCCTACAAAAGTACTTGATAAATAAAAGAATGAAGAATTAGAGGTTTGTAAAGCAGGTCACATATTTACGGTCAGTCAATGACAGACTGCTTAAAATGCCAATCAGCACGGTCATATTCTTGATTGTTTCTTACAGGATGTAAATGTCATGCAAATATTCAATTCTACCCCAACTCTGAGACAAAAAGTATTTTGAATCCCCTTTCCCACTGGGGTCAAGAATAAACAAGCTGAGTTTCCTGAAATCTAAGCAATAAACTAGATACTGTTCCACTTCTTCCCTATGATGAAATATAATACTCTAAGTATAATAAGTTGTTTAAGTAATGTAATTAAATTAATGGTTTTTGAATGATGCCAATTGTGGTTGTAAGTAACCAGAAAAATTTCCAATTCAAAAAAATTTGGCAGTAGAAAAAAATTATCTGTCCTTAAAAAAAAAAAAAATCTACAGAAAGGAAAACCCCAGGCTGATTACATCAGCTGCTTAACGACGTCACCAAAGACCCAGGTTCTTTGCATCTTCCCCCGCTTCCATCCTCAGATGTCCGATTAGTTGCCCTCATGGTTGTACCATGCTGCCATAATTCCAGGTATCACATGCTGAGGCAGAGACTTGCGCTGTGCTGACCACGTCATTCTTCCACCTCAGCATGCAGGAAAACTACATTTCCCAGCTTCCCTTGCTGTTAGTTGAGGGCATATGACTGGGCCTGGCCAATGAGATGTACACCAAAGGGATGAGCCTAACTCCGTGTGAATGACCCACCCTCTCGCTTCTTCTGTAAGTCATACATCTGGCAGCATCACAAGGTGAAAGGAACCTGGGTCCCTGAATCTGCACTTGAGGAGAGATGCTGACCCAGTGAACAATAAATAAATATGTATGAGTTTAGGCCACTAAAATCTTGGGGGTGTTTGTTACAGCAGAATTGCCAATATCCGGCAGAAAGAGAGAGGGGCTACCTTCTCTCAGTGGTGCATTCCTGACCCTGGGGCTTAGTCAGCCAGGAAAAGTGAGTGCGTAGGAGGGGCAGTCAGAATGTCTGCGGAACCCCGCTTCCATCTGGGCTACGTGTGTCTGCCTCAGAATCTTCTGTTTACCTTGTCAGCTCTCCCATTCTGGCCAGTGGACCACTTTGTTTTCACTTCTCAAGCCCCCCAGTTGACCTGCTCTGCCTTCCTTTAAGTTGGCCTTACACTCGGGCTCCCAGAGAGCTGTCCGGCAGGAACCAGCTTTGCTTCCTGCAGCCAGACCTCCAGACCCACCTGTGCACCCCAGTACTCTACTCTGGATCCCGTACTTACCCCTTTTGGACACCTCGCTCACTGACAGATTCTTCCTTTTTTATTTTTATTTTTATTTTTATTTTATTTTTTTTTTTTGAGACAGAGTCTTGCTCTGTCGCCCAGGCTGGAGTGCAGTGGTGTGATCTCGGCTCACTGCAACCTGCGCCTCCCGGGTTCAAGCGATTCTCCTGCCTCAGTCTCCCGAGTAGCTGGGACTACATCTTCCCTTTCTTATACAGTCAAGTGCCGCATAACGACGTTTCAGTCAACAACGGGCTGTGTATACCACAGCTCCCGTAAGACCATAATGGAGCTGAAAAATTCCTATCGCCCAGTGACGTGCTAGCCATTGTAATGTTGTAGCACAATGACTTCATGTGTTTATAAATTTAGTGTAGCCATACAGTGTTCATAAAGTCTATAACAGTGTTTATAAAGGAGTGGGCAGTAATGCCCCTCACATTCACTCACCACTCACTCAGAGTCACCTACAGCAAACTCCAGTCCTGTAAGCTCCATTCATGGCAAGGGCCCTATACAGGTGCACCATTTTTTATCTTTTACACTCTATTTTTAATCTTTTATACCCGATTTTTACTGTACCTTTTCTATGTTTCGCTATGTTTAGATACACAAATACTTACCATTAGGTTACAACTGCCTACAGTGTTCAGTACAGTGTCATGTTGGACAAGTCTGTAGCCTAGGAGCAGTAGGATACACCATACAGCCTAGGAGTGTAGTGCCTTATACCATCTAGGTTTGCGTAAATACATTCTACGATGGTCACACAATGACAGAATCACCTAACAATGCATTTCTCAGGACATGCCTTCATTGTTGGCCAGGCATGGTGGCTCATGCCTGTAATCCCAGCACTTTGGAGGCTGAGGCAGGCGGTTCACTTGAGGCCAGGAGTTTGAGACCAGCTTGGCCCACATGGTGAAACCCCATCTCTACTAAAAATACAAAAATTAGCCGGACGTGGTGGCGGGTGCCTGTAATCCCAGCTACTTGGGAAGCTGAGGCATGAGAATCGCTTGAACCCAGGAGGCGGAGGTTTCAGTGAGCCGAGATCGCACCACTGCACTCCAGCCTGGGTGACAGAGTGAGACACTGTCTCAAAAAAAAATAAAAAAAGAAAGAAAGAAGGAAGGAAGGAAAGAAAGAAAAAACAACAGCAACAAATATCTCTCTTGTTAAGTGACACATGACTGTATTTTCAGAAAATGTTTTCCTCTCCAATGGCTTCCCATCAGCATTTAAATCTGATCAAATCTTTATATGAAAAATAAAATCTCATCAGGGAAATGTGAATCAAAACCACAATAATATATCACCTCACACTGTCAAGATGACTATTGTCAAAAACAGCGGTCCTCAGCCTTTTTGGCACCAGGGACCAGTTTCCTGGAAGACAATCTTTCCACGGACCAGGGTGGAGGATGCTTTGGGGATGATTCAAGCGCATTCCATTTATGGTGCACTTTATTTCTATTATTATTGCATTGTAATATATAATGAAGTAATTATACAACTCAGTATAACGTAGAATCAATGGGAGCCCTGAGCTTGTTTTCCTGCTAGATGGTCTCATCTGGGGGTGATGGGAGACAGTGACGGAGCTTCAGGCATTAGATTCTCATAAGGAGTGCACCACCTAGGTTCCTCGCATGTGCAATTCACAGTAGGGTTCGCCCTCCTAGGAGAATCTAATGCTGATCTGACAGGAGGCAGAGCTGAGGCACTAATGTGAGCAATAGGGAGTGGCTGTAAACACAGATAAAGCTTCACTCGCTTGCCTGCTGCTTAACTCCTGCTATGCAGCCCAGTTCCTAAGAGGCCATGGACTGGTACTGGTCTCTTTCAGAGAAAAGGAAACTCTTGTACACTTGGTGGAAATGTAAATTAGTACAGCCGCTGTGGAGAAATTCCTCAAAAAACTAAAAACAGAACTATTATATGATCCAGCAATCCCACTTCTAGGGATATATCCAAAAGAAATGAAATCAATATCTTGAAGATGCATATGCACCCCCATGTTTATTGCAGTATTATTCACAATAGCCAAGACATGAAATTAAACTAAGTGTCCATCAACAGATAAGTAGATAAAGAACATATGATACATACATGTCACATACGAATACACTGGAATATTATTCAGCCTTAAAAAGAGAAGGAAATCCCAACATTTTGAACAACAGATAAGTCTGGAAGATATTGCGCTAAGTGAAATAAGCCAGACACAGAAGGATAAATATGACATGATCTCACTTACGTCTAAAAAAAAGTGGAACTCATTGCCGGCATGCCCACGCCTGTAATCCCAGCACTTTGGGAGGCCGAGGATCACCTGATGCCAGGAATTCGAGACCAGCCTGACCAACATGGTGAAACCCGGTCTCTACTAAAGATACAAAAATTAGCTGGGCGTGGTGGCATGCACCTGTACTCCCAGCTACTCGGGAGGCTGAGACAGGAGAGTCGCTTGAAACCGGGAGGCGGAGGTAGCAGTGAGCCGACATCGCGTCACTGCACTCCAGCCTGGGTGACAGAGGGAGACTCCGTCTCAAAAACAACCAAAAGAAAAGTGCAACTGATAAAAGCAGAGAGTAGCATGCTGGTTGTCAGGGGCTGAGGGGGCAGTGGGAGAAATGGAGAAATATTGGTCAAAGGGTACAAAGTTCCAGTTATAGAGGAGCAGTGCATTCTGGGGAGCTAATGTGCAGCATAGTGACTATAGTGAGTAATACTGTATTGAATATGCTAAATTTGCTAAGAGAGTTGATCATTAAGTGTTCTCACCACTTAAAAACAGACACAAATAGTAACTATGTAAGGTGATGGATATGTTAATTAGTTACTTAAAATAGGTAGGTAGTTAGAGGGATGGATAGATAGATAGATTATAGATACATAGGTAGGTAGATAGATAGATTAGATAGATAGATAGATAGATAGATATAAATAGAAGATAGATAGATAGATATAAATAGAAGATAGATAGATAGATAGATAGATAGATAGATAGATAGATAGATAGATAGATATAAATAGAAGATAGATAGATAGATAGATATAAATAGAAGATAGATAGATAGATAGATAGATAGATAGATAGATAGATAGATAGATATCGATAGAGGAGAGGGCTGGGCATGGTGGCTCATACCTGTAATCCTAGCACTTTAGGAGGCCGAGGTGGGCAGATTGCCTGAGCTCAGGAGTTTGAGACCAGCCTGGGCAACATGGTGAAACCCCGTCTCTACTAAAATACAAAAAATTAGCTGGGCAAGGTGGTGTGTGCCTGTAATTCCCAGCTACTCACGAGGCTGAGGCATGAGAATTGCTTGAACCCGGGAGGTGGAGAAGGTTGCAGTGAGCTGACATCACACCACTGCACTCCAGCCTGGGAAACAGAGTGAGACTCTGTCTCAAAAAAAAAAAAAAAATCTCAAGATAGATAGATGATAGATAGATAGATAGATAGATAGATAGATAGATAGATAGATAGATGATAGATAGATAGATCATTTGGTAGATCGTTCGATAGATTTCATTGACATCTTCTAGCTACTGTAGACTTCTCTCTCTCCCTGCGTAGCCAGGCTTGGGGAGACTTGCTTAGACCTGGTCTCCATTTCTCCCCCTGTCATTAGCTTTACCACCCTCTCCAGTCTGAGTCTCCCTCACTGCTAGACTGAAGCTAGTTTTACCACGGTTTCTTATGACTTCCTTGTTGCTACATCTGTGGATACTTTCCCTTCCTGTATTAGTTTTGTAGGACTGCTATAACAGATTACCACAAACCAGGTAGCTTGAAACAGCAGAAACATATTGTCTCACAGTTTGGGGGCCAGAAGTCTAAAATCATGGTGTTGACAAGGCCACGCTCCCTCTGAAGGCTCTCGGGAGGGAGACTTCCCTGCCTCTTCCTAGTCCTGGTGGTTGCCCTCCTTCCTTGGCTTTCCTCGGGTTATGGTGGCATCATGCCAAACTCTGCCTCTGTCTTCACATTGCCTTGCTTGTGTCTCCGTGTCCAAATTTCCCTCTTTTTATAAGATTAGGGCCCACCCTAATCTAGCATGACCTCATCTTTACTTGATTATATCTGCAAATTCATGACCTCTAAATGAGGTCACAGGTACCAGAGATTAGAACTTCCACATTTCGTTTTGGGGGACACATTTTAAACCCATAACACTTTTATATCTAACTTGACCTGGCAAGCCCTTCTCTCCTTGCGATACCATCTATTCCTGGTCCTCCTTAGACCCCCTCGAAATCTTTTTCCCACATTCCTTCTTGGGCTTCTCTCCTTCTGTCCATCCTTCTGCCATTAGTGTCTTCTGGGGCTTTTCCTAAGCCTACTCCTTTTCTCTCTTAGCTGGAAAATTCCAAACATCTATGGCTTCAGTTGCCATTTCTAGACTGACTCACACAGAAACGCTCACAAAACATACTCAGCTAAAAGTTCCACACTGAAAACTCATCATCTTCATCCCAAACTTGCTTCTGCTGCTGTCTTCCCCATGTCCATGAATGGACCACCACCCATGAGGTCACTTGAATTGCCTCCACCCGATCACTGAGCTTCCCTCACCTTCATTCCCCACTGCCAATCAACTGTCAGGGCCTGTCCCTTCCAATCCCTTCTAATCCCTCTCCCCATTGCCATAGTCCTAGTTCAGGTCATCATTGTCTTGCTCCTCGACTAGGAAAGAAGCTTCCCCATGGTCTCCCTGTCCCAAGCTGTGTGGAAACTCAGATCTTATCACTTCCATATTAAATACTTCAACTGTCCTTACAACCCTCAGAATAAGGTCCAAGCCCTTGAACTTGGCTTACAAGACCCTTCACCATCTGGCCTTACCTACTTCCCCAGTCTGATCTCTCCATATTCCACCCTCACATGTTAATACTCCAGCCAAACCAAGCCACCTACACTTGGCCTCCTGGTCTTTGCTTATGGTTTTCTGCTCCTGGAATATTATTTCCAGCTCTCCTGGCTGCCCAAATCACACTTACATTTTATATTCATTTATTCCACAAACATATCTTGAGTGCCTGCTATGTGTCATAACCTATCCTAGGCGCAGAGGATGCGGTAGAAAACAAAACAGAAAAATATCTCACTTCATGAGCTTCCACTTTGGTTAAGAGAGACAGACACAAACTATCAGCAAGTGAATACAGGGAGTGCATCAGATAGCGCTAGTGCTTTAAAGAAAAATAAAACAGGAGGGTAAGGGGTTAAGTTTTTAACTAAGCAGTACATGAGAGTCCTCACCGAGGAGATGGCATTTAAGCCTGGCTTGAACATTACTCCCTCCTGGAAGCCTCCTGGAAATTTCCCAAGACCAGGGTAGGCGTCATCTTTATAAACTTCTATGAAGCCTTTATTTACCCATCATAGCACTTACCGCACTTTAAAGGACTTTTGTGTTTGCGTGTGAGTGTCAACTGTAAACTTTGTGAGGACAGAGACTGAGTCTGTTATTTATTGTATATCAACAGCTCCTTGTAGATATATGTTCCTTGAACAAACGGATGCATTGACAGCCTACATTATTTACAAGTTTTATTATACAAAAAATTTATGTAGTATTTATTGTAATGTCCTGTGTTACAAATCACTTTCTCACCCACTGTCTCGTTTGAGAGATGTGGGTCTTATTGTCACCTTTTAACAGACACTCAGAAAAGTTAAGTTTCTTGCCCAGAGTGTCACAATAAAGGCTAAACCCAGCTCAATCACAGCTCTCACATCTTCAGACCCAGAGTGCTTTCTAGAAAAGCCCCCTGCCTTCCTGCATGTTCTAAGAAAACGCAAACCACTAACCCCAGGGCATTAGCCGTCCTCAGCCAATTTTTACTGTTCCTCCCTGAGTTATCATATTCTCATCTCCCCAGAAAACTTCCACCAAATGCTAAAGCCAACATTTAAATCCAAAGGTAAAACCTTCTGGAATTCCTTGATGTAGCCACTGCACAGGCTGGCCTGTGTTCTCATATCAGTTTTCAGAACAATTCTTGCCCTCCTGCAAGTCCACATTTAGCAGATCCACTCAGACAACTACAGAGTGGGGATCAATTGAATTCCTTTCCTAGCTGACACTTTTGAGCTAAGACTGTCTTTTCCATGTGTTAATTTTAAAATGTGGGTTTCATAAAAGCTGCAGGCGGAACAGCAGATGGGGGTCCGTTAGCAATCATTAATATCCTCTATTCGTTGCCTGCCCCCCCAATTGATAAAGTGTCACTCCACTTGGGCAAAAGGGGCCAAAAAGGGAGCGGGGCACAGAAACTCACTGTTCAACAAAAGCCCTCCCATGCAGTGAAGAGCTGGCCCCATCAGAGTGCCTGTGTCTTGCAGGATTTGGAGAAGGGAGCCTCAGCTACCCTCCCTTGAGCGAGGTGAAGTTTGTTGCAGGAGTGATGGGACAGCTCTTGGTAGTTTTCCACTTGCTACTCATGAGTTCTCACCCTGTTTGGCTCTTTGTCACTTGGTCCCATAAAAACACCCACTGCAGGATGCTTGCTCATGCCACCCACCCACCAAATGGCATGTGGCAAAGAGGGTCAGAAGTTCACACACTTCCTCTTTGTTTTCTTGTGTTTCTTTCTGCATAAGCACCTCTCAACAGGCCAAATGGTTGTTGTTGCCACATAGATTTTTGTATTGATGGTTTCCTGCCATCCCCTCATTCTCAAGAGTGGATGGGGGCAGAACAGGGGAGAGTTAACTATTTTGATGAAGAGCAGTTTATAGGATGAATAGGCACAGACAACAAAAGTAAGCCTGGATGCTTTGAAATGAGCTGCTTTGTATTGAAGAGCTTGCTTCTGCCCTGCAATACTTCCTTGCAGTTGAATAGATACTGCAGAGAGTAAACACACTTATCTCTCTCGAGAAAGAAAAAAAATTGTGTTCCCAGGAAGCTGGAAAATTCTCCCATAGGTATAAACATTTAGGAAAAAAGAGATAAGCCGCCTAATTCTAATAACTAGGAATAACCAATTAGGTCATCTGTCCTCACCTCTGTCACTTCTCTCTGAGGCTTGTGGTGTTCAAATTCTGCTACCCTTAACTTTCTAGAAGGAGGGAGAAACACCTCAATTCCTTTCCACTCTTCCGGTTCAGATGGTTCAAACAGCTGGACTTCTTTGACAAAAAAAAAATGACTTTAATCATGATAGAAACATAGTACTTGAAACACAGAACAAACAGAAGAGAAAAACATTTTCTGTGATAGTTTTCTCTTTTGGTTTCTGAAAAGTGAGCAAAATTTTTAATTAAAAAAACCCATAAAATTGCCTTAGGACACTCTCGACACAGATGAGAGAAGACAGTCATTAAAATAAATTACAGAATGGGAAATGGCACCATTACCATTCTCCACTGATTTTTTTTAGAAGTGTCTTTTACCAAAAACCTTTTTGACATTCTAATAAAAGCAAAATGTTTTAAGTTAGGAGTGGCTTTTCAGAGCAATATCCCTTTGCCTCAATGGTTACTAACCAAAATACATGGATAAGATAAATCTGAATAAAAGCAAGAACTAAACCAAACTGAATTAACTTCTTCTCAGCCAGAGGTTAATTTTAAAGCATTAAGCTGAACCATCATTCCTGATGATTGTGGAATGAAGTATTTGGAAGTATACGTTTCATCAACAACTGGGAGACACGGAGTGTGGTTAGGAGAATACCTTGGAATTACACAGTGCTGGGTTCAAACCTGAATTGAGTCATTTCCTAGTTGTGTTCTCTTGAGCAAGTTACCTAGCTTATCTAAACCTGAGTTTCTTCATCCATAAACTGGGAATAATAATAACTGTTTCATCTGTCACAAGGTTGTGAAAAGGATTAAAAGATAATACAAAATGCTTAGAGATACAAAAGGTGTAGTAGGGTGTCTGGTACCTTTTAAGCAAAGCTATTATTACTGTATGGAATATTCAGAAAAACTACTAACTGCTGCACAATGCACACAATTTTTTCCTCATGTGTGCAAGGACTTGAAACTAAAGAATAGAGTTTGGGATCTTCCTACATGGAAGCATGTTAATCATGGTCTCAAAACCAGATTGAACAATATTTGCAGTCAGCTTGCAAACTTTCACAGTATCAGGTCACATGGGATGGTTCTCAGGGTCCCAGGAGAGGGATTGAATTGTGTTGTCCTCAAAATTTATATGTTGAAGCCTCAATCCCCACAGTGAGATTGTATCTGGAGATAGGGCATTTAGGAGATAATTAAGGTTAAATGAGGTCAGAAGGGTGGGGCCCTAACCCAATAGAATTGGTTGCCTTATAAGAGGAGGAAGAGAAATTCCTCTCTCTCTCCCTCACTCCCAACTCCCACCCCAGCCCTGCTATATGCACAAACTAAGGAAAGGCCATGTGAGGACACAGCGAGAAGGCGGCCATCTGCAAGTCAGGAAGAGAGGCCTTACTTGGAAGCCAATCAGCTGGCACCTTCACCTTCCTGCCTCCAGAACTGTGAAAAATGCATGTCTGTTGGTTTAGCCACACAATCTATAGTATCTTCTTACGGCAATCTGAGTTGATTAATACAGAAGGAAAGATATCATTAATTTTACCCCACAACCAGAAAATCGAAAACATGCCTTACTGAGCAGAGAATGCTTCCTCTCTAGAATACCCCTGTCCCACTCTTGAGAGCTGGCCAAATGTACATAAAATTGATGGCTTTATCTGATTTTGAAA
Organism: Homo sapiens; assembly: GCF_000001405.40. Classification (NCBI taxonomy): domain Eukaryota; kingdom Metazoa; phylum Chordata; class Mammalia; order Primates; family Hominidae; genus Homo; species Homo sapiens. The sequence goes on along the minus strand of NC_000021.9, from coordinate 34,020,916 downwards.
GAGAAATACATCAAATCCCAATTTTTTTAAGTTAAGTAACTTTGACAGGGGAAAAAAATTCACCTCCCAATGGAGGGCATAATTTGTACAGTAGTCTGTTGGGGGATACATTTTGTTGCACAATTCAAACCTGTAGCCAGGATTGAGTAAGAAAGCAACTTCAATGATTTTGGAAGAAACTGCCCTAAAACCGGAAGCCTTAGTTCCCTTCTGAAATACATCTCTACAAGTGGTTCACAAGTTTAAAGACAGATGTTATCACCAGTTATTGAAATGATAGTTTCCCCAGGGAAATGGGCACTGCCCCAAGAGAGACAAAAATGTAGACAGAGAATGAATAAATCCTGAAATGTTCTAGTAATTTCTACGACAACACCTCCCCCTTCTTGCCAGCTCTACTCTAAGCAGATGCTGCTGAGCCCTCTGAACCTTAGAAGGGTGGCCTCTGCAGGGTGGAGGCAGAGGCACTGGCTGGGATTCCACAAATTTGCCTTCAAATTCGTTTATTTGCTTAACGGCTATTCATCAAGGACCTGTCATGCATTACAGGAGAGTAGTGAGGAACTGAGTCTAAAGCCAGACTGTGAGATCAAGTCCTGCTGTGCCGTTTACCACGGCCAGGTGGCCTTGGGCAAGTCAGTCCATCTTCCTAGGCCTTGATTTCCCAAGACAGATGGGCAGACTGGGAACAGCACTTGCATGTCATCACAACCCTGTGTGTGCTTGTGGTTATCACAGCTGCTCCCTGCCCCAAGGGTCTATTCCTGGTACTGGCATCAGCTACCCCTTTTCTGATATTCTGTAGCTCTGTGACCTTCAGCAAAACATTTAACTTGCATTTGCTTTCATTTCCTCATCTGCAAAATGGAAATGACAGTGCCTGCCTCACTGGATTATAGGAGCATTCAGTGAAACATATATGCAAAGTGCATGATATAAAATGGTTGCACAGGAATGTTTTTCTTATTAATACGGATTAATTGTTTTTTTGCTTCCATCTTCACCCCATACCCTTTTATTATATTTACATAGAGAGTCCTTCTCAGCCCTTGGCCATGGACAAATCCTGAGAATGCTCCTGGTGAAAGAGGCAGCTGTGTTTCTTCCATGTGAACTTTCTCTCATTGGTCATGTGGGGTCAGGGTCTTGCCCACACAGCATGTAGTGGAAGTTGAAGTAGTTATCTAAATCAGGGGTCAGCAAAGTTTTGCTGTAAAAGGCCAGATAGTAGATATGTTTGCCCTTGCAGGTCACACAGTCACTGTCACAGCTATTCAACTCTGCCGATGTGTGAAAGCAGCCTTGTACAATCCACAAATGCATGAGGATAGCTGTGTTCCAATAAAACTTTATATACAAAACAGGCAATGGGCCAGATTTGGTCTGTGATCTGCACTTTGCTCACCTCTGATCCAGATTCATCCATTCAACAAATATACTGCATGCCTTATATGTAACAGGCACCATTCTGGATGCTAGGAATATAGCTGTAAATGAAATAAAGCCCTCACCATAATGGAGTTCACATTATGTTATAAAGGTATTAATATTGGTTATTGTCTATTTCTCACACTGAAGACAGCAAGTGGAGACAGTTTTTCAAAAAGGGAGTAATCATTTGGGTGAAATGCTGCTGAAGTTTGGGTAAACCAAGGACTCAGAACTGGCCATTGCATTTGGCAACAAAAGAGTCACTGGTGACCTTGATGAGTGCACTTTCAGAACAGTGAGGACAGGCCAGGTGTGTGGCTGTAAAGGGAAGCACAGCAGTGAGAAGGGAGCAGGGAGGGGCTCAGCCTCAAGGGAGAAGGTTGTTGTGTTGTTAAGATGGAGAGGTTAGAGCTCATTTGCATAGAGAATGATCCAGAAGAAAGGTACAGTTGTATGTCATGATACAGGAGAGAGAGAAGTGGTTTTCCAGAGTGGCAAGAGGACACGGTCCCAGTGCCCTGGTGAAGTGCTCTCCTCTGCAAGGAGCAGGTCCAGTTCATCCCTGGGAACAGGAAGGAAGGCAGGGCCAAGGGGCAGAGATTCAGTTCTGAGAGAATAAATCAGTTCTCCTCCAATTGCTTCTATTTTCTCACTACAATCAATGAGAAGCAATATCATCAGATGGGAATGAGAAAGGGAAGGAGTTCTAAGGAGAGATGAGAACATTTGAAACAGCCATCTCAGAGGTAAGAAATTTTCCTACTAGGACCCTTGGTCAGCCTCTGGCCAGCCTTCAAAATGGGCTCTTTGTGTTGGATGTCCATTTTGGGTGCAACCGAGTCAAGGGATGGCCATGGAACATGCATTACAGCCTGTCCTCTCTGCATAACTGCCTAATTCTCCTTAGCCAGTAAGGAGGGCTATATGTTGAGTCAGATAGTTTTCCTACAATGATCTGTAGCCATAGACCCCTAGAAGGGGCAGAGAGAGGGAATACCAGTCTGAGGGTAGGCCTGGCCAGATCCACTTAGCATCAGATGACCTTGATTTTTCACATGACAATGAAGTCCAGCAGCTGTATAATATTCAGTGTCCAAGACACAGTGCTGCCAAATCATGCCCTAGTTTTGGTTTTGTTTTTGCTTTTTGAGACAAGACCTCACTCTGTCACCAAGGCTGGAGTGCAGTGGTACAATCTCGGCTTACTGTAACCTCTGCCTTCTGGGCTCAAGAGATTCTCCTGCCTTAGCCTCCTGAGTAGCTGGGCTTAGAGGTTCCCACCACCACATCCAGCTAATTTTTGTATTTTTAGTAGAGATAAGGTTTCACCATGTTGGCCAGGCTGGTCTCAAACTCCTGACCTCAAGTGATCCTCCTGCCTCGGCCTCCCAAAGTGCTGGGATTACCAGGCATGAGCCACCACACCCAGCCTGTGCCCTAGTTTTAAAACTTCTTGTACATAACTGCGCACCCTCTATCTGTATTGGAAGGCAACTTCAGTTTCGCTCTACCATCTACATCTAGTCAGTTGTTGGTATGTGTCAGGCACTGAGCTAATTAGCTCTTAAAATATATCAACTTATCCTTAAAACAACCCAGTGGTTAGTACTGTTGTTGATTCCATCTTACAAATGAAGCATCTGAGAAATGTGAGGCAGTATGTCCAAGGTCACATAGCTCAACATATCAGTAGGTCTGCCAGACCTCAAAGTCCATACTCTCAACCACTAGTGTAGACTGAAAATACCTCTGATTCAGTTAGATGTTGGGTTTGACTGCAAGTAACAGAAACTCCCAAAATATTAACTTACACAAATTAGGGGCTTTGCTTTTCTCATGTAAAGGGCTGCTGTGGTAAGCCATTCAGGATTGGTATGGCAGCTGCACAACAGTGTCTATAACTGATGTTTCTTCTAGCTATTTGTTTCCCTGCTTAGTTTGTGCCTTCGTGCTCACAGTCACCGCATGACTACAAAATGGCGACTCTGCCTCCAGCATTGCATCAGCATTCCAGGGAGAAGAAATGGGACAACAGATGATGAAAGGTGCGTGCCAATTTATTCCCCTGACACCAACATTTTTTTTTTTTTCTGTCTTCTTTTAAAGAGCTTTCCTGGAAGCCCCACCCTGTAACATCTGCTTACTTCTCATTAGCCAGAATTGCCAAAGGTCTCCCCTGACTACAAGGAATCTGAGAAATGTACAATCTTAGCTGAGCTTATTGCCACCCTAAAGAAAATTGACATTCTGCCACCCCTCCCTTTTTTTCCTAGCAACCCCCTTGACAAAATTGCTGAAGCAATATGGGACTTTTTAAGATTACAAGAGCCACGTGGTTAATATTACTGGAATGTTTTCATGAGTGTGAAATGCAGTTGTCACAGAGAAGCTTCTACTCATCATCTTAAGGCAAACACCAAAGTTCTTCAGAACAACTGATTCCCCCTACAAGGAGAAATATCCAAGGCCTTCATCCACCAGAACAGTCAAATCATTGAAATTTATCAGGCCTCGTGCAGTGGCTCACGCCTGTAATCCCAGCACTTTGGGACACCGAGGTGGGTGGATCACTTGAGGTCAGGAGTTCAAGACCAGCCTGGCCAACAGGGTGAAACCCCGTCTCTATTAAAAATACAAAAATTAGCTGGATGTGGTGGCGCATGCCTGTAGTCCCAGCTACGTGGGAGGCTGAGGCAGGAGAATCACTTGAACCTGGGAGTCGGAGGTTGCACTGAGCTGAGATCACGCCACTGCACTCCATCCTGGGTGACAAGAGTGAAACTGTCTCAAAAAGAAAAAAAGAAGGCCAGGCACGTGGCTCATCCCTGTAATCCCAGCACTTTGGGAGGCCAAGGTGGGCGGATCATCTGAGGTCAGGAGTTCGAGACCAGCCTGGCCAACATGGTGAAACCCCATCTCTACTAAAAATACAAAAATTAGCTGGGTGTGGTAGCACATGCCTGTAATCCCAGCTACTCGGGAGGCTGAGGTAGAAGAATCACTTGAACCCAGGAGGCAGAGGCTCCAGTGAGCCGAGATTACGCCAGTGCACTCCAGCCTAGGAGACAGAGCGAGACTCCATCTCATCAAAAAAAAAAAAAAAAAATTTCTTCCAGTGTCCCAGGACATTCCCCCAAGTATCTGGAATTTCACAAAGAGGGCCAGATACAATTCTATCCAGAATTCATTGCTATACTTGGAAGCTAGAAAGACCCCTCTTTACTATGGAGAACAGATGATAGAACTTATGCTTCTAATAAAACAAGATGCTCTTCAATCAGCATGCTCATGTGTCCAGGGAGCTGACCCCAGTGTGTTGGTAGTAAGGCTTAATAGCAAGAAGAGATCATGGGAAAGTCAAGGACAACCAGATCTGACAGTATACCTGGGAAAGGGCTCTAGTTGCTGTCCGTCAGGATATTAATTCAAATGCCCAAACAGTGATTGTTCATCAAAGGGCATTCTGACCTTCCCTAATTCCATTTTTTCAAAAGACATTTTTAGAGTAATTTTGGGTTCGCAGAAAAATTGATCAGCAAGTACAGAGAGAGCCTGTGTATCCCCACATGCCCTCACCATTTTCCCCTATTATTAATACTTTGCACTTATGTGGTACATCTGTTTCCATTGATGACACAATATCGATACATTATTATTAACTAAAGTCCATAGCCTACATTAGGGTTCCCTCTTTGTGTTGTACATGCGGTGGGGTTTGAGAATGTCTAATAACATGTATCCACCATCACAGTATCCTGCAGAATAGTTTCACTACCTCTAAAAATCCTCTGTGTTCCTCCTTTTTATAGTTTGGATTTGTGTCTCCACCCAAATCTCACGTTGAAATGTAATCCCCAGTGTTAGAGATGGGGACTGGTGGGGGGTGATTGGATCATGGGGTTGGATTTCTCATGAATGGTTTAGCAGTGTTCTCTTGGTACTGTCCTTGAAGTAATGAATGAGTTCTCACAAGAACTGGTTATTTAAAAGTGTGTGGTGGGCTGGGCGCGGTGGCTCACACCTGTAATCCCAGGACTATGGGAGGCCGAGGCAGGCGGATCACGAGGTCAGGAGATCGAGACCATCCTGGCTAACACGGTGAAACCCCATCTCTACTAAAGATACAAAAAATTAGCCGGGCGTGGTGGCACATGCCTGTAGTCCTAGCTACTCGGGAGGCTGAGGCAGGAGAATTGGTTGAACCTGGGAGGCGGAGGTCGCAGTGAGCTGAGATCGTGCCACTACACTCCAGCCTGGGTGACAGAGCAAGACTCCATCTCAAGAAAAAAAAAGTGTGTAGCACCTCCCCCTTCTCTCTCTCTTGCTCCTGCTCCTGCCATGTGAGACACCTGCTCCCCCTTCATCTTCCCCCATGACTGGAAGCTTCCTGAGGTCTCCCCAGAAGCAGATGCTTGTGTTATGCTTCCTGTACAGCCTGCTGAGCCATGACCCAATTAAACCTCTTTTCTTTATAAATTACCCAGTCTCAGGTATTCCTTTATAGCAGTGTGAGAAGAGACTAATACACACTTATTCATCCCTCCCTCCTTCTGAACCACTGGTGACCACTGATCTTTTTACTGTCTCCATCATTTTGCCTTTTCCAGAATGTCTTATATTTGGAGTCATATAGTATGTAGCCTTTTCAGATGGGCTTCTTTCACTTAACAATGTGCATGACAGTTCCTCTGCGTCTTTTCATGGCTCAATAGCTCTTTTTTATTGCTGAATAATATTCCACCATCTGGATATAGCACAGTTTGTTTATTCATTCGCCTATTGAAGGACATCTTGGTTGCTTCTAAATTTTGGCAATGAAAAATAAAGCTACTATAAACATGAACACAAATTTTCAACTCCTTTGGGTAAGTACCAATGAGTGTCATTGCTGGACCACATGGCAAGAATATGTTTAGTTTTGTAAGAAACTGCCAAACTGTCTTCCAAAGTGACACTGCCATGTTGCATTCCTGCCAGCAGTCAATGATAGTTCCAGTTACTCCACATCATCATAAGCATTTGGTGTTGTCAGGGTTTTGGATACTTTTTTTTTTTTTTGGAGACAGAGTCTTACTCTGTCACTCAGGCTGGAGTATAGTGGTGCAATCTCGGCTCACTGCAACCTCTGCCTCCCCGGTCCAAGCAATTCTCTTGCCTCAGCCTCCCTAGTAGCTGGGATTACAGATGTGCACCACCAAACCTGGCTAATTTTTGTATTTCTAGTAGAGATGGGGTTTCATCTTGTTGGCCAGGCTGGTCTCGAACTCCTGACCTCAAGTGATCTGCTCACCTCGGCCTCCATTCAACAACTATTTACTGCAAACCTACTTAATGGCATATGCAAGAGAAAGTCAATCTCTACCTCAAAGTCCTTAGAGTTTCAAATGTCTTTAGGATTCCAATGGAAAGTTGTGGACAATCCTGCAGCCTTTGGATCAATTGTTCTTGATATGGTTTGGCTGTGTCCCCACCCAAAGCTCATCTTGAATTGCAGCACCCCTAATTCCCACATGTTATGGGAGGGACCCAGTGGGAGATAATTGAATCACAGGGGCGGTTCCCCAATACCGTTCTCGTGATAGTGAGTAAGTCGCACGAGATCTGATGATTTTATAAGGGGTTTCCCCTTTCGCTTGGCTCCCATTTTCCTCTTGCCTGCTGCCATGTAAGACATGCCTTTTGCCTTCCACCATGATTATGAGGCCTCCCCAGCCAAGTGGAACTGTGAGTCCATTAAATCTCTTTTTCTTTATAAATTACCCAGTCTCAGGTAGGTCTTTATCAGCAGTGTGAAAACGGACTAATACAGTTCTTAAACTTTAGCTGGCATCCTAGTCACTCACCTGGAGTGTTTATTAAAACATAGATTGCAGTGGGCAGGAAAGAGGAGTGATGCCCAGCCCCAGAGTTCCTAATTAAGTAGATCTGGGATGGAACCCAAGAAGTTGTGTTTCTAACAAGTTCCCAGGTGACACTGCTGCTGCTGGTCCAGGGACCACACTTTGAGAATCACTGGCCTAGATGCTTCTCAAGTGAAGGAAAAACACCAATGGGGATAGTCATGCCCTCCCTCGGGTATTGGAAAAACCAATGGAAAAGCCATTCTATCTCAGGGCTGTAGGGCTGCCCCTCACCTAGTGTGTTAGGAAAGTTCATGACATCCATGCTTTGCCTGCTCCATAAAGAAGCTCTCAACCCTCTCTGAAGCAGCTCAGTTTAAGTCCTGTTTTCTTTCCAGAACAGAAAGCCCTGTGTTAAGCATATTTTCACCCTCTGAGGGAGCAGCTCTGTGGTTGGGTACCCTAGCAAGAGGACCCCTTCTTAATGTCAAGCAGGTTTTGATGGCAGAAACTATGTTAATGCATTTTGATGAGCACAAATTGTGACGACTGCATTTTGTTTTTGTAGCAGATGCCATACCTCCTGGTACTAGAGCTTGTGTTGAGCCACCAAATGCTAGGTGACCCCTAGGTCCTGATTGCTGACGGTTTACTTCTCAAGAGAAATGTCATCCGCAGGACAGACCTGTCTTTGACCCCAGGCATCAGCTCACTCCACAGCTACTTCCTTGACTCTGCCTTTACCACCCGTGTTAATTATATCCTCTTCTCCAACTCTGTCCTAGGAATCAGCTGGTACTCCAAAGTTAATTATATCCCAAGAGGAACACTGACTGTTGTCACCTTGTTGCTCACCAGCATTTGCTGTGCCTGGCTCTGCAGACACTGGGCTGGACATTCCACAAGTCCTCCCTTTCATCTTCACCAGGGCTTCTGGAGGGGCTTCCTTTTAGCATCACTGCCCCCCATTTAAGGATGAGGAAACTGAGGTTCAGTGCAGTTAAGACACTTGTTCCATCACATGGCTACTAAGTGGCAGAGCTAGGATTCAAACTCGGGTCAGCCTTATATTACAGACTCTGGAAGGGTAGATCTGAGCAGAGCTACCAAGACATGGACCTTGAGGATAGGAGATAAAGTCTAGAATCAGGAGCAAAGTCTCTTTCCACCTTTAAATACTCTGTAAGCTCTATTCATAGCTTGCAGGCAGCCCTCTTCTTGGACCATGGAGTAATAGAGTTAGTTGCACCTCATTTTTCTTGCCTGCCCCAGAGTCTTGCCCAAAATCGGGACTCAGAAAATGTGTATATTTAGTAAATGAATGGATAGATTAAAAGTGGCCAGGCTGCCTCCACGCATGGTGGCTCACACCTGTAATACCAGAACTTCAGGAAGCTGAGATGGGAGGATGGCTTAAGCTCAGGAGTTCAAGACCAGCCTGGGCAACATGGAGAAACCCTGTCTCTACAAAAAAAATACAAAAATTAGCCAGGTGTAGTGGTACACACTTGTGGTCCCAGCTACTCAGGAGGCTGAAGTGGAAGAATGGCTTGAGCCCAGGAGGCGGAGGTTGTGGTGAGGCGAGATAGCACCACCACACTCCAGCTTGGGCAACAGAGCGAAATCTTGTCTCAAAAAAAAAAAGGGGGGGGGGCCAGGTTGGACACATTTAGCACCTAGATCTTGGTTTCTAAAATGATTCTTTAGCAATGGCTTATCCAGGGCTCCCTGGAGAAATGGCTGATTCTAAGACTGGGGCATTTTGTAGTGCCAAAGTAATGACATGCTAAACAACTAAGCATACCAAAAAACCACAATGATGGGGAGTGTGTCAAATGAACAAAGGAGCCAACTGAAAGAACTCCTACTGACCAAAGCAGGAACCATTTGAGCAAAAACAAATAAATAAAGTACTATTGAATGATAACCCCAAATAGAAAATAAGTATTCATGAGTCCAATACTAATATAAATAAATGACCAAATATTTAAATAATAAATCGGGAAGAATAGACCAATCTCTAGTGCAGAGGAATTCCAAATAAATCATGTAGATATTTGCTCCTCAAAAAAGTAGAGCATCACTCAAAATGACTTCCTTCCAGCCAGGTGTGGTGGCTAATGCCTATAATCTGAGCACTTTGGGAGGCCGAGGCAGGCAGATCACCTGAGGTCAGGAGTTTGAGACCAGCCTGGACAACATGGTGAAACCCTGTCTCTACTAAAAATACAAAAATTAACTGGGCATGGTAACAGGTACGTGTAATCCCAGCTACTCAGGAGGCTGAGGCAGCAGAATTGCTTGAACCCAGGAGGCAGAGGTTGCAGTGAGCCGAGATCATACCACTGCACTCCAGCCTGGGCGACAGAACGAGACTCTGTCTCAAAAAAAAAGGCTTCCTTCCAAAGAGTACAGCATGGAAGGGATGGAGGAAGAGGAGCTTTGCACTAGATAAGTCTGACGGGCACTACCTCAGCCAGGTCATCAAGGTCAACATCAACAGTGATGAATCGTGTAGGTGTTATGTGGTGTGGCCTTCTTAGTGGCTGTCAAAGGCCTTCCAGTTGCATTTCTAATCCCCATTCCTTGACATGATTTACTGAAAATGACACTTCACCTCTCTGGTCTTCCCATAACTCCATAACCCCAGTCTAATCAACAGAAAAACATCAAACAAATCTCATCTCTGCATTCTAACAAATAGGTGACAGTGTTCCTTGGAACTGTCAAGGTCACCAAAGACCAAGAAAGTCTGAGAAACTGTCACAACCAAAAGGAGCCTAAAGAGGCATGATTAAAGGTAATGTGGTGTCCCCAGTGGGATCCTAAAACAGAAAACAGTACATAAACGACATTAGGAAAACCTGAAGAAAATACGAATCAAGTGTGGAATTTAGTTAATAATAATGTACCTGGCTCATTAATTGTGACAAATGGACTCTACTTACATAAGATGTTAATAACAGGAAACAGTGGATGTGAGGCCTATGGGAACTCTCTCTACTATGCTTGCAATTCTTCTGTAAATCGAAAATTGCTTTGAAATTAAATTTTTATTTTTTATTTTATATTTTTATTTTTTTATTTTTTTTTAAAGGCCAGATCATACCATTAAGTAAGTGACATTCCAGATTGATTACTGTCTGTATTGGTTGGGGAGGCAGTATAGAAAATGGAAAACAAAGCTATTTACGGTTCTCACCATGAGCTGTGTTTCCATAACAGATGCATTTTATAGATGGATTGTTATTCTAATAATAAGTACTATATTTTCTTGCCTATATTAGGTCATTATATCCTCTAAAGAGTATAAGTTAGTACAACTCTCCATAGGCAGAGGCTCTTCCTTGAGAAGAACCAATATGAGTTCATGAAGAGTCTTCAACTCAGTTTCCCAAGAACATCCTAGAGGAGAATTAACGAAAGGTGTGGCCCTCTTAGTGGCCGTCAAAGGCCTTCCAGTTGCATTTCTAACCCCCAGCAGAACCACAGCACTGCCCCAGGTAGTCAAGCACGGTGGTTTCTGATAAAGGTCTGCCCGTGACTTATCTGTGGTTTTCTTAACTTTCAATTTTTATTTTTTCAATTTTTTAATTATTTATTTATTTATTTTTTGAGACAAAGTCTCCCTCTGTCACCCAGCCTGGAGTACAGTGGCATAATCACAGTTCACAGCAGCCTCCAACTCCTGGGCTCAAGGGATCCTCCCACCTCAGCCTCCCAAGTATCTGGGGCCACAGGTGTACGCCACCACACCCAGTGATATATCTGTGTTTTAAAGGTCATGGATTATCACCCTCAAGCAATAAAATGGTTCAGATGAAAGCATGCCATGAAGTAGGTGCGTGAGGTGATGGCCAGAATTCCACTAGTTCAATGACTCCCACCTTTGTCAGCCAGGAGTCGGTCCTGCCGTATTCCTTACGGACCACTGAGCCAGTCAGATCCAGTGCTTCTTCCCCTGTGCTGGTCAGTGGGGCTGACCCATGCAGATGGTGTTTTCCTGGCTTCCAGGTGAGTTTGGCTAAGCGGGGCATTGTCAGGAGATTAAGAGTGGGAAGAAAGGAGAAGCCAGAGGATCTCTCCCCTTCTCTCTCTACCTCACCAGGTATCTCAGCCACTCCTGCAGATCCCATGTGACTCCAGTTCTTCCCAGACATGCCCACCGTGGGTGCTGAGTAACCCAGCTCCTGGCTCTGGCAACCTCCCCTCCTTTTGACTCGCAAGCCTAGAAACATAGTGGCTTCCTGCTGTTACCAACTTCTGGGTTCCTCCACTGCCCTTTGTTTGGCCTCTCAGAACTTTTATCACCCACTGAACCAATTCTTTGTAGCAAATGAAACCGCCTTTGCAAAATTATGACTGAGACAGTGAAAGAGATCTAACTCAATCAACTCCATCTTGCTTCTAACCTTCAAGCTGTCCTTGTTCATTCCTGGGTGTAGGCTGAATGAACTTTGGGAGAAACTCAGTTTATAGTTTATAGTTTAAAACAAAGATGATAACAGCCCTTTCTCAAAGCAGACCTCCTCCTTGCCTGGGGACTAGACTGCCTTTGTAGGACTAACATTAGCCACGAGATTAGAAAAAATTATTTAGGAGTCATGCAGCTGGAGGTTACAAGATTCTGACCCTCCCTAAACCACTCCTAAAATCAGTGCTTCAGATATTTTGCAGACTCTGCACTTGATGGATCAGCCGGCACCATCCAGACTGATAAGCTGGCTCATCTGATCCTGTGGCCCCTGCCCAGGTTACTGACTCAGTGCAAAAAGATAGCTTTGACTCCCTATGATTTCATCTGTGACCAATCAGCACTCCTGGTTCACTAGCCTCCCACGCCCCCACTCACCAAGATGTCCTTAAAAGCTCTGCTCCACGAATGCTTGGAGAGACTGATTTGAGTAATAATAAAACTCTGGTCTCCCGCATAGCTGACTCTGCGTGAATCACTCTTTCTCTATTGCAATTCCCCTGTCTTGATAAATAGGCTCTGTCTAGGCAGCTGGCAAGGAGAACCCCTTGGGCAGTTACATAAATACCGTCTGTTGGCCAAAGCGGTGGTTCATGCCTGCAACCTCAACACTTTGGGAGGCCGAGATGGAAGGATCACTTGAGCCCAGGAGTTCAAGACCAGGCTGGGCAACATAGCGATATCCTCCTTAAAAAATAAAATAAAAATTAGCCATGTGTGGTGGTGCCTGCCTGTAATCCCAGCTACTCAGGATGCTGAGGCAGGAGGAGCACCTGAACCCAAGACTTTAAGGCTGCAGTGAGCTGTGATTATGCCACTGCATTCCAACCTGGAGGACAGAACAAGACCCTATCTCTAAGTAAATACATTAAATTAAATTAAATACTCTCTGTTTCACCTGAGACATAGCAGAGTGTTTTCTAATACCCTCTTTTAAAATACTTAGAGTAGATTTCAATTTCCTTGTTAAACTCTGCTGTCTTTTTTTTTTTTTTTTTTTTTTTTTTTGAGACGGAGTCTTGCTCTGTCTCCCAGGCTGGAGTGCAATGTCACAATCTTGGCTCACTGCAACCTCCACCGCCCGGGTTCAAGCGATTCTCCCACCTCAGCTTCCCAAGCAGGTTGGGATTACAGGTACCCATCATCACGCCTGGCTAATTTTTGTATTTTTCTAGAGATGGGTTTCACCATGTTGGCCAGGCTGGTCTTGAACTCCTGACCTCAGGTGATCTGCCCATCTCGGCCTCCCAAAGTGCTGGGATTACAGGTGTGAGCCACCGTGCCTGGCCTCTGCAATGTCTTAAGACCTGATTTTTTTTCATTCTCCTACACACACACACAAACACACACACACACACACATTTTGAAAGCACTTTGCAATTGTCTTCCTGATTTCACGTCATAGTAGTTAATGTTGCTTAGGAACATGGGAGTTGAACAAGGTGGACCTTACCACTATGATTGAGCCAGGAAGTTGTAAGAGGACCTGGGAGAATGATCTAGAGGCATAGATGAACTCTAAATGAACTTCTGGCCTAACAACCACAGCAAAATCATTAGATGCATCTCCTCTAAAACTAACAAAAGTTTTGGCTACACACTTTTAAACTCTCTATGGTCACAGAATGAAGGAAGCAACATTTTCCTTTGGGTACTATGATGTCTCAGTGGGGGTCACCCTGGTATTTCTAGATTTACCAGGCAAACTAAAAAGAGACCCCGTTATGGATAAAAGATTCCATTGTTCATAAGAAGAAACATGTTCTGACTTTGGTTTAGCACTGGCATCTTCATAGGGTCCTGTTGACTTTATATTGTCCCTGGATGGAACAGTTTTGGGGATTTTAGAGAAGCGTTTTGTAGTGATTTAGGAATATTTGGAATATTTAGGAATATTTGGTTAAAGGTCCATTTGTTACTTGGCGGGTGGCTCATTTGCTTTCATTGCTGTCTAATGTAATAGACTTCACCTAAGTTAACCAGATAACCATAAAGTTTTAAACTAGGAAGTTTAAATTGTCCTAAAATAAGCAATTTAGATCCACCCAAATTTGTGAGAAGATGAACAAAGCTCTATTCAACTCTTGCTGTGTAGATCTAACGTCATTGTCCTTTAGGCAGCAAATGTCGTTCTAGATTTGTATACAGTGTAAATTCTGAAAACCACATACTTTGAGGACCAGGACACTCAGACTCTCTTAGGTGATAATGTGTGCATGAATTCGCATGTGAATACACAAGTACATATGAATCCTGTTCTGTAAGATGCTGAACAGTAAGTTCCACTGAATTGCTTTCTTATCACTCAAAAACTGTTTGGCTTCAAAGAAATGAGATATTCAACCAAATGATTTTATTGCTTTTCTTTTGCTTTTATCAACATGTTGCAATCACATGTAACTGAAGGACAAATTCTTCCCCAGAAGATACACAGAAACAACTTCTTAGAAATACTATTCTTAGGCAGATAATGACAAGTAACTGCAAAAGGACGAGATACACGTATCAATCTGCAAAAGCGAAGGCTTAAAGTAGTCCCTGTCTTTTGTGGTTCAAAGTTTCACTACCACAGACACACAATTAAATAAGTTCACATGGATGTGAGCAAAAGAAACCAATCTTATTGTCCATCACAGCTTGCTTTAATGGCTTTAAAATATATGAAGGGGGCCAGGTGTGGTGGCTCACACCTGTAATCCCAGCCCTTTGGGAGGCTGAGGTGGGCAGATCACTTGAGGTCAGGAGTTCAAGACCAGCCTGGCCAACATGGTGAAATCCCATCTCTACCAAAAATACAAAAATTAGCTGGGTGTGGTGGCTCATGCCTGTAATCCCAGCTACTCAGGAGGCTGAGACAAGAGAATGGCTTGAACCCAGGAGGCAGAGGTTGCAGTGAGCCAAGATAGCGCCATTGCACTCCAGCCTGGGAGACAGAGCAAGACTCCATCTCAAAAACAAACAAACAACAACAATTTTATATATATGTATGTGGTTTTTTACATCCAATGGCTCACAAACTTTGGGGTATATCAGGATTTCCTGGAGCTTGGTACAGTGAAAATTCTTAGCTCTAGTTCCCACGTATTTGGTAGGTGGTTTGGTCAGAAATTTGTAATTGAAACACGTCCCCTGATTCTGATGTAGGAGGGTCTCCAGACCATGCTTTGAAAAATGCTGGATGACACACTACTCAGGAGAAGACAGAGCCCCAACCCTAATATATAATATATTTTTACCTTAAAGCAAATGTCATTTTTAATTGGACAGGTGCCACCAGTTCTACAGTAGTTGGGTTCACTGCTTGAGGGCAGACATCCTACCACAGGGAAAAAATGTTTCTTTTTGTTCGTTTGTTCATTTGTTTTTGTTTTTGAGATGGAGTCTTGCTCTGTTGCCGAGGCTGGGGTGCAGTGGTTCGATCTTGGCTCACTGCAGCCAAGATCGGATCAATTGATTCCCCTGCCTTAGCCTCCTGAGTAGCTGAGATTACAGGTGCCCACCACCACACTCACTGCAACCTCCGCCTCCCGGGTTCAAGCAATTCTCCTGCCTCAGCCTCCCGAGTAGCTGGGATTACAGGTGATGCCTGGCGAATTTTTGTATTTGTGGGTAGAGATGGGAGTTTCACCATGTTGGCCAGGCTGGTCTCGAACTCCTGACCTCAGGTGATCCACCCGCCTCAGCCTCCCAAAGTGCTGAGATTACAGGCGTAAGCCACCATGCCCAGCCAAAAAAATGTTTCTTCTTTGGTCAATACACAGAAGCCCCTCAATACCTCTGCTTGTGTTAAACTCTTGGGGGACATCTGAAGCACATCTTGCACTTTTATTCCGGGTGCTCTTTTCCAAGGAGGGAAAGGTCATTTGAAGAACAAATCACTCGCCTGTCTCAGCCAGGGTCCCTGAGGAGATCCAGCCAGTGTTTTTCAGAGCCTGGCACTCTGCCCAGGGCTTAGAGGCACCTTTTGACTTGGTGCTCTGGACAAGATTTGACAATCTGGGCCAAATCTGGAATGGGTTTCCGAAAGCCAATATTGGAGCACTTGCGATTGAGACCTGCCAAATAATGTGTCAGGAATGTCCAGTTCCTTTCCCATGCAGAGTGGCAGTGTTTAATGAAAAAACACAGCTCCGAAAAATGAGATGTTTTGTGCATTATCCATATTCATTAAAACTGGAACCCAACCCCAGAAAATACAGATGCCTTCTGTCATCAACACCTCACCTTTTTTCCTGTGGTTACTTAATACAAATGTCACAGAAGCTATTCTATAAGGACATGTCACGTGGCAGCATCTGCAGGCCAGTGTCCCTTTTCTTCTTGTCCAGCCTGATGCTAGGCAGTGGGAGGGGAGGTATGGGGGTGGTGAATTAAACAAAATCTTTAAAAACAAGACTCTGGCTCTGACTTCCACTGCACAGATTACCAAGCGGATAGGCATTTTATTTTGCTAAATGAAAGGGCTAGTTTATATCTTCCCTGGATCATTTTCTAACCTAACTGCAGTGGAAACATTCTCAGAAAGAAAGGCTTTCTTGTTTGTTTGCCCTTTATATAGCCGCTGGTCATCCCACTTGGAGAATTTGGGCAGTAACCTGCTGCTTCTGCTTGGGGCCAGGCCAGCTAGCAAACTCTTCTATGAGTTGGCCAACACAGCGTTTTGTCAGATGATCACAGCCAGCTCAGAAGCCCTCAGTGGCACCATGTTGAAAGGTAGACCACATTTCAAGCCCATCTTTGGTGGATGGAAATGGCTCATCTCACTGGCTCCTCTAGGCAGGGAACCACATCTGACCCAAATTGTCTACATTCCACAGACTGGTCTTTTTGTATGTTTGGGGTTTTGTTCTTTCTGTCAAGCATATAGCAGGAATTTTCCTCTGGAAGGAAGCCATGAAAAGATGGCTTCCCCAAAACGGTAGGAAATCCCTGTAGGATGGTTAATTTTAATGTGTCAACTTGACTGGGCTAAGGGATGCCCAGATAGCTGGTAAAAGATTATTCCTGGGTGTGTCTATGAGGGTGTTTCTGGAAAAGATGAGCGTTTGAATTGGTCGGCTGAGCAAAGAAGAGAGCCCTCAGCAGTGTGTGTAGGCCTCATCCCATCCATTGAGGGCCTGAATAGAACACAATGGCAGAGGAAGGGTGAATTTGTTTTCTCATCTTCAACTGGGACATTCATTTTTTCCTGCCCTTGAACTTTGGAGCTCCTGGTTCTCGAGCCTTTAGAGTCTGGAACTGACGCCAGTATCCTCCCACCACCTCCATTCCCAGGACTGAATTACACCACCAGCTTTCCTGGGTCTCCAGCTTTCAGATGGTAGATCAGATTGTGGGACTTCTCAGCCTCCATAATAATGTGAGCCAATTCTGGCGATGGATTGACTGACTGATTGACAGACAGAGAGACAGATAGATAGAGAATGGATAGACAGATAAATAGTTGATGGATGACAGATGATAGATTGATAGTTAATAAATAGATGATTAATAGATAAATAGATGATAGATAGATAATAGATGGCAAACAAATAGTTGATAGATGAGAGATGATAGTTGATAAATAGATGATGAATAGATAGATAGATGATAGATTAGATGATAGATAGATAGATAGATAGATAGATAGATAGATGATAGATAGATAGATGATAGATAGATAGATAGATAGATAGGAGAGAGAGAGAGAGATGACAGGCAGATAGATCCTATTAGTTCTGTTTCTCTGGAAACCCCTGATTAATACACCCTGCAACTGGTCCCTAGTAAGATCTTCTCTTGCAACCAAACCCCACAGTTTGCTTCTCACAAAATAAAGATAAGGCGATGGGGCTTAGCCAGCGTCCGCCTCTCCTGAGATCTGACAAAGCCCGAGCGCTAATTTTCCCCCTTTCCTCACTTTCTCCTTCCTCCCCTGGCTGCCATTTTGTGGCAGAAGCAGACCTACACTGCAAAGCATTTGAATCTCAGTTCTTCTTCTAAACCAGTTAGCAAGTTTCTAAGCCATTCTGGGCCTCCTTTCCTCAGTTGATGAAACAGTCATGGAGAATACTTCAAAGCATTTAGGGGTGAATTCAGTGAGACGAAGAACAAGAAGGGACCTGAAAGGATGGCAGCTCTCCCTTTTGGTTGTGTCTTTTTTCTTTGACAAGGGGAATCACTCGGGGATGGGAAGGAAGCGGCGTTGCTCACATGGAACTCAGAAAATCTCTTCATTAGTGAAATTTGAGGCTGTTCTCATTCTAGCCACAGCTGTAGTGATGCTGAAGTCATTTGTCTCAGAGGTCTGCCTCTCCCACTCTGAGCGCTGCACAGCCCTTCCAGGCAGTGGCTTTCAGGACAAAGACGATGAAACCATTTTCTGCGTAGTGAAACACAGACATGGTTCTCCCTTAAGTGATCTAATCTCACAGGGACATTCTTTATGTACATTTTGAATGTAAATGAAAAGTAACCTTTAAAATCATCATGTTAGGGTTTCACAGATGGGACTTTAAGCAGTCCATGATACCCCTGGGAACTGCATGAGTGTTCGTGGGTCTTGGTTATATAGTAAACTTCCAAAGACAGCCTCTACAGATGCATTGTTCAGTCAATACATAATGTGAGCCACATAGTTCATTTAAAGTTCTCTGGTAGCCACATTTAAAAATTAACAAAATTAGGCTAGGCCTGCTGTAATCCCAACATTCTGGGAGGCCGAGGTGGGAGGATCGCTTGAGCCCAGAAATTCAAGACCAGCCTGGGCAACATGGCGAAACTCCATCTCTCCAAAAAAATACACACAAAAAATAAACTTAGCCGGGTTCGGTTGCACACACCTGTGGTCCCAGCTACCTAGGAGGCTTAGGTGGGAGGATCTCTTCAGCTCAGGAGGTTGAGGTTGCAGTGAGCCAGGATCACGCCACTGCACTTCAGCCTAGGCCACAGAGTAAGACCTAGTCTCCAAAAAAAAAAATTACTTTAAGTAATATATTCAATTTAACCCAAAAGATCAAAAATATATTCAATATAAGAGATTTACTTTTTTTTTTTTTTTTTTTTTACTAAATTCACAGTTTAGTGTGTATTTTACCCTCACAGCACATCTCAATTCCAGTTAGCCCCATTTCGGCTGCATGTGGCTAGTGGCTACTATGACAAAGAGTGCACGTTTATAGCTTTTGTCAGCTTTTGATAACAAGTAGCATCATGACATTATAGAGGATAGTGAGAGATCATAGTACCAATAACAGTTCAAAAGTCTCCTTAGGAGCTCACAAAAAGCTTTCAGGTAGATTATCTCACTGTATTCTCATTTTTAAAAACTCACAAAGTGGACATGGCAGATGTCATTTCCTCATATGAGAACTGAAAAAAACTAAAGCTTAAAAAAAGTAAATAGGCCAGGTGCAGTGGCTCACACCTGTAATCCCAGGACTTTGGGAGCCCGAGGTGGGAGGATCTCTTGAGCTCAGGAGTTGGAGACCAGCCTGGGCAACATAGCAAGACCTCATCGCTACTAAAAATAAAAATTAAAAAATCAGCTGGGCGTGGTCTTCACACCTATAGTCCCAGATACTCAGGAGGCTGAGGTGAGAGGATTGTATGAGCTCAGGAGTTCGAGACCAGCCTGGGCAACATAAGAGACTCCTTCCTGTCTTTATAACAAATTAAAAAATTAGCCAGGCCTGGTGGTGTCCAGTTGTAGTCCCAGCTACATGGGAGGCTGAGGTGGGAGGGTCACTCGAGCCCGGGAATTCAAGACTGCAATGAGCTGTGATCACACCACTGCACTCCAGCCTGGGCAACAGAGTAAGACCTTGTCTCAAATAAATAAATAAATAATTGGCCTCGAGTCAAACAGCTGGAAGTTGAAGGGCCAGAAACGTCAACTGGGCCTTCGGACTCCAAATCCCCAGTTCTAGCTAGGAAAGGGATGGTCACATCCCACTGTCATCACAATGCTGTGGAAGTGGCCCTTTTTTATATCTTCTGCCAGGTAGTAAGGCCCAAGAGGGCAGGAATTGATCTACATTTTGTTCATTGCTGCATTCCCGGCACCTGACAGTGCCTGGCACAGAGCAGGCACACGATTCCTCCTTGATGAATTAAATTCAACTGAATGAGAAGAATGGGACACAGCAGACACCCCCATAATCAGAATCCAAGTCACTCCATCTCCAGGACCTTTTGGTTAAGCCAAAATCACAAAAGCCACCTTCACACAGAGGTGGCCTTTGTCCATCCTTTGACACTCTCTCCTTTCCCACCAGACACAAAAATATCTGCGCATCTTTTTCAGAGCAAATAACTTTAGCCACGCCTCTGTGTTAATGCTCACTTTGCATTTTTAAGTGGAAATTTACATCTCCAGTGCAAAATAGATCTTGAAAGTAGACTCAGTCTGGAGCAATTTGGATGCCAACCTCTGCCCCTCCTTCCACCCACCCAAGGCCACCTTGGAGGGGCCTATGGACCACCCCAAGAGGCTGTGAAGCTACAACATTAGTACGAGTGAAACATCATATTGCCCCTCCACCTTGCCAGCTGTGTTGGGTTGAATCATGCACATCTGGAAGAGTGGTCAAGTCTGACTAGCGAGATCAGAGGATGGCTTGAGGCTCGGTGGAGGCACAGCCCATTCCCAGCTGCCCCTGGCACAATCTGCTGCTGGCCCCTGGCTCACCTCTACACCCCTAGCAGCAGCAGCCTCCTCCAATGAAGGTCTCTTTGCCTCCCTGTGTGGTGGCCCTGGCATCCCACATCTGCGTTACTTTGCCAGGGTTTAGTGGAAACCTGGGCCAGGTGCTGAGAGCTTCTGTCTTCCCAGTGGTGTTAGGATGTGGGGGCAAGGCAGAGATCCAGGACCAGAACATCCTGCCCATGCCCTCAGCTGCTGCTTCTTGCCAGTTTACCACTGGGCACCCAAGAGGAATGTAGAGCAGGGGGCAGAAGCAAAAGCTGATTCTGAACTTTTTATGATTCCTCAAATCTGATTGGCAAACATTTCACAGCCCAGGGCCCCACATTTACCCTTACCAATGCAAACTAGAGTCCGATTGAGTCCCATGCTATTTCTGTCAAATGTATCTTGTTTTTGTAAGTTTCTCCATGAATAAGTTTTTCCAGAGGACACCCAAAATTGCTACCCATATTTTGGTTAGAGGAAAAACATCCTTTGTTAAATGAATGAACTGAGCTAAGTGCAGTGGAAAATTCAAGATTAATCCAATTAATAATCAAGGACCTCCTACTGCTGCAGGTCAAAGCTCTAGGCACTAGAGATACTAAGGTGACACTAAGAGATATAGAGTGGCTTGTAAAGTTTACAATGTAGTGGTAGGGGGTGAGGACAAGGGAAGAGAGAATAAATCAGAAAACATCAATATGTAAGAGAATTCTAATAGTCATAAATGCTATGGAGACATTAAAATAAGTTATGGGGTACACAGTCATTTTGGCATGAGAAAGACCACTTAGAAGGGAGGTCTTCCTTTGGAAGCAGTGACATTGAAGCTGTGAGATGAATGAAAAGAAGCAGCCAGCTACATGAAGAGCTGGGGAAGAGTGTGTTGGCAGAAGGAATAGTGACTGGGATGCCTGACACAGAGACTCACACCTGTAATCCCAGCATTTTGGGAGGCCGAGGCAGGTGGATCACCTGAGATCAGGAGTTTGAGACCAGCCTGACTAACATGGTGAAACCCCGTCTCTACCAAAAGTACAAAAATTAGCTGGGCATAGTGGCACACGCCTGTTGTCCCAGCTACTCGGGAGGCTGAGGCAGAAGAATCGCCTGAACCCTGGAAGCGGAGGTTCCAGTGAGTTGAGATCCTCCACTGCACTCCAGCCTGGGCGACAGAGCGAGACTCCACCTCAAAAAGAAAAAAAAAAAGAAAAGCAGAATAGTAACTGGGAAGGCCCTGAGGCAAGAGTGGGCTTGTTGCATGGGGAGAGGCCAGTGTGGCTGGAGCAGGGTGACAAGGGACAGTGGGGAAGGATGACATTGCAGGGTCATTAGGGACTAGATAGGATGGGGACGAGTATAGATTTTACTCCAAGCATCAAGCGCCTCCTTGGAGCGCTCCAAGCAGGGGAGTAAAACCCCTTAGGTTTTCTAAGGTCTGCCCTGGCCGCAGCTGGGGATGGGTGGTGGAAGGGACTGGAAGGAAAGCAGAGAGTCATAGTGGTTGCCCCAAAGATCTCAATCTAGAAAAGAAACAAAATACCTAGAACTCCAGTCAGGGTGACATACATTACAACAGAGCTTTAAACTAACGTCCAAGATAGCCACCAGTTGAGAAAAAGTTATTCCAGCTGAGGAGACAAGAGGGGACTCTTGAGGGTGCCGCTCAGGCCTCGGCTTAGGCTTCAGGTACGACCATCTTAAATTTGGTCTGCAATTAGTTTACGTTTTTCAGTCACCACATGAGGTTACTCTGATGCCAAATCACCATTCTTAATCTGCCCATCCCCACAGAGGACACAGTTAATATCTTCTAGAGCCTTATACTCTGGCCACAGGGCACAGAGCCAAGCTTTCAATAGGAGCAATGTATTAGTTTCCATGTGGGTAGCAGCAGCAGGAAGGCATCTGATTTCTTTGACTTGAGGAGTTCAGAAGATGCTGGAAACCACAGAGAGGGAGGCCTTATTTCCTGGTTAGATACTAAGAGGTGTGTCCCTGGGTGGAACCCACCTTGGCAAACCTGTGAAGCTCTCCTGGTTTCAGGGATCAGAGCAGTTCAGAACTGCAAAGGATCTCACCTGTCATCCAGTCTAGCATCTCCCAAGTCCAACAGTGGTCCTGAAACAGGAAGTGATGGAAATGCAATCTCCAGCCTTCCCAGGTCTCATGAGCCAGAATCTGCATTTTTCACAAGATCTCCAAGTGATGTGCATGCATATTGTAGTTTGAGAAGCACAACTCTGAAGATTCTCACCTTCAGTGGATAACAGATTCACCAGCATAGATTTAAAAAAAAAATACAAAACAAAACACGATAAGAGATGCCTGAGCCCTATTCTAGGGATTCGGTTTTAATTGGTCTGGGGTGAGCCTAGGCAGTTTTATGTAATTGTTTTTTTTTTAAGATCCCTGATCATGCAGGGACATTAATCAGAGAATCTCTTATGTAATCCAAAGTTCTTATTTTTACTGATATGAAGCTCTGGCTCAATAAATTGAAAAGATTCGCATCTTATTCCAATGCAGGCATCTTGGCAAAAGTGGGCCCAAGATTCTGCATTTCTAGCAAGCTCCCAGGTGAGGCCAATGCTGGTCCTCAAACCATACTTGGAATAGCAGGTGTAAGAGTTAATTTTACGTGTTGACATGACTGGGCCATGGGGCGCCCAGATATTTGGTCAAACACCATTCTGGGTGTGAGGTTGGTTTTGGATAAGATTAACATTTAGATCCATAGACTTTGAGTAGATTGCCCTCCATTATGTGGGTGGGTATCCTCCAAATAGTTGAAGGTCTGAATAGAAAGCAGTAAGACTGGCCTCACCTGAGCAAGAGAGGATTCTCCAGCAGATGGCCTTTGGACTTCATCTGCAATGTTGGCACCTCCTGGTTCTCCTGCAGACTGCCTTTGAACTAGAACTATAACTAAAGCATTGCTTCTCCTGGGTTTCCAGACTGCCAGCCTACCCTGCAGATTTTTGACTTGTCAGCTTCCATAATCTCATGAGCCAATTTCATATAATAAATCTCTTTCTATAAATATATACACATTCTATTTGTTCTGTTTCTCTGGAGAAGCCTGACTAATACAACAGGCTTACAAAGGTTGCTCTGCTGAGACTCCAATTTTTGCCAAGATGGAAAATTCACATAAACCATTATACGTCTTGCCCAGAGTCAACCTAATTGAGGTACAAAACACAAAATTCAGGAACTAACGGAAAAACTGTGAGAATACTGAAAGAGAAACTGTTGCATGTGTATGGTGGTAAGAGTGGTAAGGGTTGCAGCCTGGGATGAGCCAGCTGGTGCTGCTCTAGGAGGAGACAGTAGAAAAAGCAACTTGAGTTCCACTCTTCTCTTCCATCATTGCCTTGGGACAATCACTATCTTTCCTCGGCCTTTAGAAATTGGCAGTTGTGGCCCAGACTGCTGACACAAGAGTAAAATCAGGGCAGCCCAGAAGTCCCATTCCAGTGAAACCTTATAGAACTTCAGTGAAGGCTGAGTAGCCTCTGCATTCCCTGCCCTCCCAATCCCAGAGTTGGGGATGATAAACTGTGCATGCCTATTCCTGTTGCTGCTTCTGCCTGAGGATCTGAAGAGGAAGCTCTGGCCTCAGGTGTTGCTTGGTGGGTGATACCAAATGGGGGCATCCTATCTGGGGTTCTTTCCCAGGCTTGCCCATTCTCTCTCTTTGTTCATCCAAACATAGCAATATAAAACAAGAACAGGGAGAAAATACAAGGTATGGAAATTATATAATGGGAATAAAGAGCACAATAAATGGGCTTCGTGGTTGAATGGATACAGCTAAAGAATGAATTAGTGAATTAGAAAATCAGATTGAGGAACACTCCAGGAAGCAAGCAGGGGAAAATTCAAATGTAGAAAATATAAAAGAAAAGTTAAGAGACTTGGAGAATGAAAGTAAAACTACCAGCATCCAGACAAAAGGAGTCACAGAATAGAAAAAAATAAATAGAAATGAAGAGAAGAAAATAGATGAAGAATTCATGGAGATACGTTTCCAAGCATTAAAGATGAATATATTCAAATTAAAAGAGTGCATAGAACATCAAAAGGAAAGAGAAGAAAATTCCACATCTAGGCACACTAGAATCAAATTTAGGAATACCATGCAGAATCATGGAAATAATTAATTAATTAATTTAGAAATACCAAACTCAAAAAGAAAATTTTGAAAACTCTCAGAAGGAGCATAACACCTACTAAGGAAAAATAACCTTTTTCCTTTGTGAATATCATACTTTTTAAAAGTCACTTTAAAAGTGAATATCATACTTTTTAACCACAACAGTGAATGCAAAAACATAATGAAGTGTGAGTTGTAAAGTGCTGAATGGCTGGGAGCCATGGTGCATGCCTGTAATCCCAGCACTTTGGGAGGCTAAGGCAGGTGGATAGCTTAGTCTTAGGAGTTAGAGACCAGCCTGGGCAACATGGCGAAACCCCATCTCTACCAAAAATACAAAAATTAGCTGGGAATGGTAGCACCGCAAGTCCCAGCTACTTGAGAGACTGAAGTGGGTGGGAGGGTCGCTTGAGCCCAGGAGGTCGCGGCTGAAGTAAGCTGTAATCATGCCACTGCACTCCAGCCTGGGACACAGAGTGAGACCTTGTCTCTAAAAAGTATTAATCCATAAATAAAGTACTGAGGAAAGTACATTGAACCTAAAATTCCATTTCTGGCAAGATTGTCATTCAAATGTAAGGTGTGATGAAAATATTCTCAGGCATACAAGGCTTGAGGAAGTCTGTCATGCTACAATCCACATTTAAAAACACTTTTTGAAGAAGTGATATTCAAATAAGAAAAATAAATCCAGGAAAAGCCGCAAGAAATATGTGAAATAAGGCTGGGCGTGGTGGCTCATGCCTGTAATCCCAGCACTTTGGGAAGCTGAGGTGGGTGGATTCACCTGAGGTCAGGATTTTGAGACCAACCTGGCCAACATGGCAAAACATTGTCTCTACTAAAAATACAAAAAACTAGCCAGGAATGGTATTGGGCACCTGTAATCCCAGCTACTCGGGAGGCTAAGGCAGGAGAATCGCTTGAACCCAGGAGGCAGAGGTTGCAGTGAGCCGAGATTGAGAGCCACTGCACTCCAGCCTGGGCGACAGAGCAAGACTCCATCTCAAAAAATAAATAAATAAATAAAAATAAATAAATTAAAAAAAATCAATATAAATGGCCTAAATTTGCCAACTAAAAGACAGAAAATCATCAGATTGGATTTAAAAAACAAAATCCACCTACATACTATTTATAAAAGGTATATCTAAAGTATAAAAACATGAACAAATGTTGAAATTAAAAGAATGAAGAAAGATAACAACATATGTCAATATAGGATAAATATACTTTAAAAGAAAAAGCATATTTAGGGCTAGAGAGGATCACTGGATGCAGAGAAAAGGGTTCGTTCTCGAAGAAGACACGACAAAGCTAAATATGAATGCATCTAATGAACAAACCTCAAAATACAAAAAACCAAAAAATTGATAGAAATACATGGGGAATGCTAAATACATGACAATGCCAAATATGAATGCACCTAATTAACCTCAAAATATATAAAACAAAAAATGGATAGAAATACATGGAGAAATTGACAAATCCACTACCGTCGAGAGAGATTTCAATTATTGATAGGTCTCTATTATTGATGGGTCAGGCAGACAAAACAGCCACACAAATTACAAGCTTGAACTAACGACCATATATAGAATTCTGCATTCGACAATTAGAGAATGCCGTTTTCTCACACATGCATGAAACATTTATCTTTTTAAAACTTCTAATAATTAATAGAGATTTTAGTTGGTTTCCCAGACACCCACGTAAAGACTACATTTCCCAGCCTCACCTACCTCTAGGTAGGGCTATGTTACTAAGAGCCAACCAATGGGATGTGAGTGGCAGTGATATGTACAACTTCTGAATCAGGCCCTTAAAGGGCATCCTACTACCTGGATCAATAAATGATTGTGACCCACTGTGAGTCCCGTAAAAGGCAGCAACACCCTATAGATGGCAAAACAATATGGCAGAGGGAGCCTGGGACCCTGATACTAAGGGCTGCTAGAGTGCTTATTCTCAGTCTCATAAGAAGGAAAGGGAATTCTATCTTGTTTAAGTCTCTTCTTGAAATGGAAGAAGTCCCTTTTAGCTTTCTCTCTTTCAGGATCCCTAATACAGAGTATGTGTGGAACTGTCTACGCACCAGACTGACCCCAGAAACAGAAGACCTGGATAAGGAGGAAGGATGAAAAACCAGCTTTTGCCTTACAGCAAAGACCTTAAAATGCCGCTGGAGAATGTGAAGGGAGGCCTGAAATGATCAGAATCTTCGGCCAGTCACTAGGCAGCCCCTGGTGGGAGGATGTCCTGTCTGCCCCTGTGCCCTCAGAGGAGGAAGGGCAGAGAAACAAAGAGGAACTAGGGGAGGAAACACACGCTCCACTCTCATGAGGGCAGAATAGCAACTGGCACGGGGGAGCGGCCATTACTTCGAGGAGGCAGGCTTGTTGTGCCAAAACCATGTTTGTTTTAAATGGAATTGGAGGGAGGAGCACTCCTCCCTCCTTTGTAAAAATAACTAGTTTCTGAAGGCAAAAGGAAAACGGGGAGGCAGGTGGCAGGCTGAGGCCTCAGTGATAAAAACATATCTCCTCATCACAAATTAATGAAGATAAGCAACACAAGACCAAGGGGAGGGGAGCTAAAGATGGGGGATGACCCAGAGTGAAAGAACTTCTGTGGTGACCTCTGCAGAGTCACAGGGCCACCGTTTCAGGGTGCAGCCAGCACTTAATGACTCCTCCAGAGAAGCCCAGTGTTCCACAAGATCACACAGGAGTATGTGCCAGGAGTTCTAGATCCATATGGAGTGGAAAAGTACCGGTTAGATTGTTGTCCCATGGTTTCTTTCCAGGTATTTCCTCAGCAGGTGGGCATGCCCCACCCACAGCAGGGAAGGGGAGAAGCTGGAGATAAGCGTGCCTGAGGTCCAAGGGCGTGGGCCTGCATAGCCGAGACCCAGGTCCCTACTGCCTCTCTTCTGGAAGCCTCTCCTACCACCTAGATCTTTCTGTACCTTGTCCTCTGCTGTTTTGCCCCCTGAGGGCACCCAATGCTGTCATGCTCCAAACTCCTTCCAGAGCCTTCTTTCAGAGCCCACCCTGGGCCCCATCTCCCTACCCCAGACAGGCACACCAGTTCTGCTGCATGTCTGGCAAAACAGCCATGGAAAGTCTAGAGCAGCACTGCCTTCCCAGGACTACTTACATCTAAAATAGGGGTCCAGATAACACAAGTGAGGCTGGGTGTGGTGGCTCACACCTATGATGCCAGCACTTTGGGAGGCTAAGACAGGAGGATTACTCAAGCCCAGGAGTTTGAGACCAGCCTGGCCAACAAGGCAAGACCCCATCTTTACAAAATAAAAATTAAAAAATTAGCCTTGTGTGGTGGCACACACCTGTGGTCCCAGCCACTCAGGAGGCTGAGACAGGAGGATCACTTAAGCCCAGAGGTCAAGGCTGCAGTGAACCATGTTCGTGCCACTGCACTGCAGCCTGGGCAACAGAGAGACTCTGTCTCAAAAAAATAAAAAAATGAAAGAGAGAGAGAACACAAGTGATATGGTTTGGGGACACAAGTGATATGTGTCCCCACCCAAATCTCATCTTGAATTGCAGCTCCCATAATTCCCACATGTTGTGGGAGGGACTTAGTGGGAGATAATTGAATCATGGGGGCAGTTTCTCTCATACTGTTCTCGTGGTAGTGACTAAGTCTCATGAGAACTGATGGTTTTATAAGAGGAAACCCCTTCTGCTTCATTCTCATTCTCTCTTGTCTGCCACCATGTAAGACGTGCCTTTTGCCTTCTGCCATGTGAAACTGTGAGTCCATTAAACCTCTTTTTCTTTATAAATTACCCAGTCTCAGGTATGTCTTTATCAGCAGCATAAAAACAGACTAATACAACAAGTGAGCCTCCAAGTCAGTACCTCAACCCCAGGTAAAGCATCCAAAGCCCCCTGTGGAACTTTAGAAACTACAGAGTTTGCACTTCCTCTCCACATCCCAGTAAACAGAAAACCCAGGAAAGGGGCGGGGAGGAAAGCGCTGGGAACGTGCAGTTTTCAACCTTTTGTTTAAGGGTTTCTGCTGCCACCAAGGCTGAGAACCAGAGCACCGAGGCAAGATTCAACAGACGTTTTGGAGCTCCAAGTTCACTAAATTGCAAGGTATAAAAAATTAAAACAGGAGCACAAGCATGCCCAGAAGTACATAAGAATTTGGCTTGTTCTTCTTTCCAGCCATCTCCCACGTCTTCCTCCTCCTCCCTCTGCCCACCTGGACATGGAATCCAGGTTCTCAGTTTGGAAAAGGGAATGAGGGAAGAGAAAATGAGAATGGAAGAGGCACAGCTAATGCCCTTCAAAGCCATCAGCACCTGCACCTTTCTGCTTCTCCCTCCTCCCCAGAGACTGGCAGTAAATGTCTATTTTTAAAAAGCAACAGCTATTAATAATTTCTCTACCAATTCAGGTAATGTTTAATCCCTTATTGTCAACCACAGTGGTTTGTGGACGAAGGACTTCTGGTTTATTATAGTCATTACTGCCTTACTGTCAGTTTTCCAAAAAAGTATTTTCATTTTATTTTTATTAGGGAAGTGCGGACTCTTTAATTCCTTGGCAAACCCAAACTCAATCAATATATTTATTGTACTAAGTCTTCTAAAACCCAACAAATTACCGTCCCTCCTGTTAAGGTCCTTAATTAGTTTGCTAATGAGTATTCCCTGTTTAAGGACATGATCCTGAACAAGCACACAGAAGTCATCAACCTCAAATGTAATTTTCATGGAGTTACCTCCTCAACCTGGCTGTGGCCCCCATCATGTCTCAAATTAAATTAAAATCACAATTCCCATAAAGGCTCTCCACCATCAGCCTTCCCCTGCCTGACAGCCTTCTTTTAGTGCTCCCTTCCCCCAATAGATGTCTTCTCATTCCTTTTGCCTAGAATCTTCTTCCGCTCTCTCTGCTACCTGGCAAGCTCTCAGCTGTCTCTAAAGGCTGGCAGTCAGCATCCTTTCTTTCCTTCTAGGAAGCTTTTCAAATCCTCTCTAGCAAGATTAGCATATTTTTCCTCTGAGCCTGCTTCTACCAGACCTCAGTCATCCTGTTCCATAAAGTCTGTGCCTCCATGCTCCAGACTTTGAACTTCTCAAATAAGACTTCGTCATCTCTGTATCCCCAGTGTCTTGCATAAAATCTGCCCAGGGAAGATGGCCCATAAATGCTGGATTAATTGAACGAATGTATAAAAGAAGCAAGCCTACCTACAGTCCTCTACACAATACTCACTCTCTCCTCCATCTTTCCCAATGTTCATCCTTTTTCCAGAGTAACCTGAAAACCACACACCTACCATGAGGGCAGGAGACTTATCTGTTCTGTTCCCTATTGTATCCCCAGTGCCTAGAACCCTGCCTGATGTATTGTAGGTGCTCAGTAGACATTTGTTGACCAAATGAATGAATTCTTCAAACTTATCGTTCAAAACCCACTTCCTCTACCCAGCTCTCACCATTCCCAGAGGACTGTCCTCCATCTACTCCCCTCCTCCTTTCTGAGGGAAAACTGCTTTCTGTAAATCTCTACTCATCACACCATCCTGTCTTTTTTTTTTCCTTTTTGATTTTTTTGAGACAGAGTCTCACTCTGTTGCCCAGGCTGGAGTGCAGTGGCACAATCTCAGCTCACTGCAACCTCCGCCTCCCAGGCTCAAGCAATTCTTGTGCCTCAGCCTCCCAAGTAGCTGGGACTACAGGCACGCACCACCATGCCTGGCTAATTTTTGTACTTTTAGTAGAGACAGGGTTTCACCATGTTGGCCAGGTTGGTCTCGAACTCTTGATCTTAAATGATCCACCTGCCTCGGTCTCCCAAAAAAATATATAAAACTTTGCGATTACAGGCATGAGCCACCACACCCAGCCTCAACCTGTCATTATCAAGAATTTTGGTGCAAATATACCAGTTTGGGATTACATAAATTCTTCCCAATTTGATACAATCCAGAAATCAACCATGTACCATGACTCATCTTTTTCCCTATGTGCAAAAAAAAAAAAAAAAAAAAAAAAAACTGTCCTGTAAACCTTATGGGCCTACTTAACAATCAGATTTAGGTAGCTATTCACGTAGGCATGAGAACAGAGTA
Organism: Homo sapiens; assembly: GCF_000001405.40. Taxonomy (NCBI): domain Eukaryota; kingdom Metazoa; phylum Chordata; class Mammalia; order Primates; family Hominidae; genus Homo; species Homo sapiens. Next base: position 33,990,230 of record NC_000021.9, on the reverse strand, counting down.
TCCCGCTGTGTTCAACATTGTGGTCGACAGAGAATTGCAAACTGCAATTAACATCACTCATCCATCCCTAAGTTTCCAAGAATGAGAACACGGTGAAATGTGCTTCATGGTAAAAATCTACTGAGTAGAATCTAAACTTTCTTTGACGGTTTCTGGATCTACATAGCCCCAGGATTACTCTGAACATCAATATCTTTTTATGAAAGTTATACAGAAGCATGTCAGTCAAGGAGCCTGTTTGCAAGAGTCCTGTGTGTGTTGACTGGGGTACCCACCCCACACACTCCAGGTTGCTCTGTGCTGCAGTGCCCACCCATTGAGGATTTCATGTAATAAACCTCAGCGACCCCTCCTAACTGGCCTATTTGCCGATAAAACCAGCTGCTGAACTACCCCTCCAACTCTCCTACTTGCAAACTCCATCTCCTCCAAATTCCAGTGGGAAAGACAATTGTTTTATTTTATCTTAGTCTTTTAATTATCTTCTTCTTCTATTTACTTTTCTGAAGCTTAGAGCTATAAAGGACTTTGGGCACACCCAACCAGACATTGCTATATAAGACTATATATTTTATAGATATATATACAATTAAAAGTTAGAGGGTCATTACACTATAGGATAAAACAGCAATAAAAACTTTATACTTAGAGCTTAGGTTAATCCTTTTAAAAGCACCTGCTCTTTGGCTGGGCGCAGTGTCTCACCCCTGTAATCCCAGCACTTTGGGAGGCCAAGGCAGGCGGATCACCTGAAGTCAGGGGTTTGAGACCAGCCTGGCCAATATGGCAAAACCCCATTTCTACTAAAAATAACAAAAATTAGCTAGGCATGGTGGCAGGAGCCTGTAATCCCAGCGACTCAGGAGGCTGAGGCAGGAGAATTGCTTGAACCCAGGAGGCGGAGGTTGCAGTGAGCCACTGCACTCCAACTTGGACAAGAGTGAAACTCCATCTCAAAAAAAAAAAAAAAAAAAAAAAGCACCTGCCTTTTGAGGACTGTATCAGGACTCAGGCCTCAAAAGCTGATTTGACCATCTGTGCTGGAGAGACATGTAAAAAATTAGAAGGTCAATCTAACCAGGCCTTACACATAGGCTTACAGTTCATGACCGAGGTATCATAACATGATGGGTACACCATGTTATGATTGCTATCACAATATTCCTAATAATAACATCTACTATAAGAATAATAAGGCTACCATTTTGTGAAATAGGCATTAGTATCCCAGTTTTGCTGACAAGAAAACTGAGGCTGGGACAGGCTGTATATCGCCAGGACTGAGAGATAATAAGTGAAGATTGCTGGTCCTCAGACCCATCTGTGTGATGCCAAATCTCATTCTCTTAACCACCCTGCTCATCCCAGCCCTGCCCTGTACATACACACACACCCTAACGTAGAGAATATTTGTAATTATCCTGGCTGCCCAGCATCTGAACTCCCTTCCTGGGTTCAGGGAATCCTCTATTTATGTATGAATCGTGTAGGAGGCAGGGCGTGGAACCTCCTAGTACAGAAGCTGAGCCCCTTCACTCCTGCCTTTTCCAGCCTCCCTTGCTGCCGGGGCTGCTAGGGCTCAAGCACATGACCTAGGTCCAGCCAATCAGATGCACCCTCCTGGATTCTAACTCAGGAGCTGGTGGGGGTTAGAAGGGGGCCCACAAGAAGCCCTTCTAGCAGCAGGGGCAGCCTGTTCTGTGTGCTTGTTCAGGATCATGGGGGCAATTTCTCATGGTTGAGCACATCCCCTCGGTGCTGTTCTCGTGACAGTGAGTGAGTTCTCGTGAGATCTACTTGTTTAAAAGTGTGTGGCACCTCCCCTGCACCTTCCTCCTGCTCCAGCCACGTGAAGTGCCTCACTCGCCCTTGGCCTTCCACCATGATTGGAAGCTTCCTGAAGCCTCTTCAGAAGCAGAAGCCACTATGCTTCCTGTACAGCCTGCAGAACTGTGAGCCAGTTCAACCTCTTTTCTTTATAAATTACCCAGTCTCGGGTATTTCTTTATAGCAGTGTGAGAACGAACTAATAAAAACATGTTCATGAAAAGACCTAAGGGAGAGCTGGTAAATGTGCCTTATGAATAGTCCTTAGCGGAATCAACCATCCCAAACATTCCAAAGACGATCCTAGTCTTTCTTGGTTTCAGATGCAATGCGCAAATCCTCTCATCCAAGCTGGGACAGTCAACACCACCTTTTCCCCAGAAAAATCAGCCATTAGAGAACCACAGACTCCCCGCTTCCCAGGAACTCCAGTGATCTTGGGCTGCACCCACCCTGTCCCCTCCCCTATGCCCTTGCCAATCCAGCAGCCTCTGCAGAGGGTTTCTCTGCAAGGACATCAGATGCGCGTCCTCTCTAAAGAAGCTGCCTCCACCCAGAGGCTGAGTCAGGTTGGGAAATGAGAACTGAGTTTGCATCCAGAAGAACTGTGTTCAGTCTCCCTCAGATGCTTTCTGACTGTGGGATCGCGGACAAGTCACAGAGGGCTCTTTTCCCAGCTCTAAAAGGGGAATGGCATCTGCCCAGTCCTGCAAGGGAGCAGGAACCAGATGGGACAATGCATGGGGAGGCATCCAGGAACAGCATGGAGTTCTACAGACGTCTGCAGCCTCCCCACTCCCATCCTGTCCTGCCTGCCAAGGTCCTACCTGTCCTGCAGGGCCATCTTAGCCTATGGGAGTTGGGGAGCAGGCCTGGGCTGTGTCCATAGGAAAGCTCGCCTGGCTCTGCTGTGGGGAAGATCCGTGAGACCAGAGCTATGAACCCTTTCATCCCAAGGTTTGAGGTGTGCAGGTGGGAACCCTGCCCTGATGTGCCATGAGCCAGAGGGGCTTTGAGCCATGGGCGGGGGACAGGAGCTCAAAATGGAAAGAAGAGTCCAGCTTGGCATCATCCTCTGGGTTTATTTGCATGAACTGCTGCACACCAAGGCTGTGGGGAGAATTTTTGTTGAGAGAGGAGAGTTTAGACGAGGAGGTTCTGTTGGCCCCAGTGAAGAGAAAGCAGCAAGAGCTTTCTATTTTCTAACGGAGGGGGTGGGCCAGGCGTGGTGGCTCGCACCTGTAATTGCAGCACTTTGGGAGGCTAAGGTGGGAGGATCGCTTGAGCTCAGAAGTTCAAGACCAGCCTGGGCAACATGGCAAAACCCCGTCTCTATAAAAAATACAAAAATTAGCCAGGCATGGTGGTGCATACTTGTAATCCCAGCTACTCAGGAGACTGAGGTGGGAGAATCACTTGAACCCAGGAGGTGGAGGTTGCAGCGAGCCGTAGTCACACCTCGGCACTCCAGCCTGGGTGACAGAGCGAGACCCTGTCTCAATAAAAAATTAATTAATTAACTAACGAATAGATGAGGTGTGGCTGAGGGTAATGGATGAGACAAAGGTGTCAGCGGGTGACAGAGATCAGATAAAAACCAAATCCTCCCATTGTACATTAGGACGATGCCACTTCAGAGCACCCCAAACTCAGGGACACTTTGAGTTGGTGGCCCTTTGCACTTAACTGTCGCCTGCAACCAAAAAGCTCCCTTCTCCCTCAAATTTTAATCAAGGCCCTCCTCAGATGTCACCACGTTCACAATGCCTTCCCCGAACCCCTGCAACAGGAGAACCTTCGTGCATACCCCTCCCCCATATCACTGGTTCAACCTCCTGAGAGGGCCACACACAGAGCCTGAAGACCCAAGTTCCAACTCCAGCTGACAGCGTGATTTTTGCACAAGTTACTCCATCTTTTTGGATAAAAATTCTCTCCAGACCTTTCTCTCAAGGTTGCTAGTTGTGAGGCTGGAATGGCTAATAAGCAGGAAAATGCTTTGGCAGCTCTGAATGGCCCCGGGCAATTGCCACTTCTGTCTTGAGGGCCAAGGGACAAGTCTCTGCTTACCTTTGCACTCCTCCTAATTCTGAACACCTGACCTGCTCCACATCCTGGGCACCTTGATCTCAGAGTGGAAAGCCCCAGAAGGCAGGGAGCCCCAGAAGCAGGGAGCATGTACACCTGCTGTGATGGGGTGAATTGCGGCCCCCACCACCCAAATTCATCCTTTGAAGTTCTAACCCTCAGTACCTCTGAATGTGGCTTTATGTGGAAACAGGGTCGTTGCAGAGAAAAGTTAAGAAGAGATGGTATAGGAGTAGGGTGGGCCCCCAATCCAGTCTGACTGGTGTCCTTATAAAAAGGGGAAATGTGGACACAGACACACACGGGGAGAGCACCCCGGGTGAAGATGAAGGCAGAGATCTGGGCGATGCTTCTAGAAGCCAAGGAACGCCCAGGGTGGCCAGCACCCCCAGCGGAAGCCAGGGAGGGCCTGGGACAGCGCCTCCCTCACAGCCTCAGAGGAACCCGCCCTGCCGCCACCTCCATCTGGGACACGTGGCTTCCGGAACTGTGAGGCAGGACATCTCTGTAGGCGCAGCATGCTTCATGGTGCTTTGTTACGGCAGCTGTGGTAAACTGTGACAGCCTGGGATTTACTGAATTTGCCAGGCAAGGAACTGGAGCTGCGAACCCTGGGAAATGCTGGTTCAGGCTGTTCCTCAGGGGCCTCCACTCCCTGAGGAGCTCGGAACACAGGCTTGCAGGGTGTGAGGTGTGGGGTGTGGTGTGTGGTGTGTGTGTACATGGTGTGAGGAGGGTGTGTGTGATGTGTGTGTGGTGTGTGTGTGTGGTGTGTGTGTGTGTTGTGGTGTATGTGGGTGGTGTGGTATAGTGTAGTGTGAAGTGTGTGGGTGGTGTGTGTGTGGTGTGGTATGTGTGCGTGGTGTTGTGTGGATGATGTGTGGTATGTGTAGTGTGTGGTGTGGGTGGTGTGGTGTGTGTGTGCGGTGTGGTGTGTGTGGTGTGTCGTGTGGTGTGGGTGGTGTGGGTGGTGTGTTGTGGTGTGTGTGTGTGGTGTTATGTGGTGTGTGTGTGGTGTGTATGTGTAGTGTGATGTGTGGGTGTGGTGTGACATAGTGTAATGTGTGGGTAGTGTGGTATGGATGTGTAGTGTGTGTGTTGTATGGTGTGGTGTGTGTTGTGTGTGTGTGGTGTGGTTTGTGTGGTGTGTCATTTGTGGTGTGGTGTGGGTGGTGTGTTGTGTGGTGTGTGTGGTGTGGTGTGTGTGTGGTATGTGTGTGGTATGTGTGGTGTGGTGTGTGTTGGGGGGCAGCGTGGTCAGGAGCAGGAGTGGTTCTGAGACACACAGCTCCCCCTCCTGCCCCGTCTCCACCCCATTCCCCGCAGGGCCCCATCAAACCCAGCTACTTGCCTTTCCCTTCCCGTCAGCCTGGAGCAGACTGGAAGAGGAGGAGAGGAGAAAAGAAGAAAAGCACGAAAGTACGAATCCTTCCTAGGTTCTTCTCCACGTCCTTTTCCTCCCCTTCCTTCCTGCTCCCCCAAGCCAGTGCCAAATGTCAACCGGGAGCATCAAGTTGACCTGACATTTTCTGAACTGGCAGTTCCCTTCTGGGCCGTGCAGCACAAATAGACATCTTCTGCATTGGCTGAAAACAAAGTTGGAAAGACCAGACTACATTAAAAAAAAAGAAGAAGAGAAGAAGAAGAAAAGAAAAGGTAAAAACAGATGACACTGCCCCTCCTACTATTTATGCCCCTCCCCAGATTGCTGTCTCCAAATACAAAATGCCGCCTGGAATCCCGGCCAGTGCTCCAGCACAGCCTCAGAGACCAGAACAGAAGTTACCTGAAAACGAAGGGCACGCCTGTTTCAGATCTGAGCTGGCACTAGGATGTATCCTTCGCCTCTGGAATCTGGAGCCCGCACCGACTCCACAGGCGGGGCAGAGGCCAAAAGTCAGGCCTGGAGGCTGATTTCTAAGCAGACAGCCCAGCTCTCAGCAGAACACCTAGGGAAGGGCGGCGAAAATTATGCAGCCTCACGTGCCACGCCAGCCTGGCTCATGCACTTGCATATTTTGGGCCTTCCCTCAGCTGATGGGGACTGCTTGCACGGAATGACCTGGCGCCCCTGGGCCAGGGACAACTTTGTTTTCGAAAACATTGTTTCCTGTAACAGCTCATGAAGAACTGAAAACCTCACAGATGGAATGCCCCCAGACGCCAGAAACTCTGCACACCATCTCCCAGTCAAAGATGATGATTCTCCTGACATTATAGTCTCCTCAACCTCTTCCTGTGACAGGTACCCGTCCCCAAAGTGGTTCAGGCCAGGCCTGCACTTCCAGAATGAATGGTGTTCTTCAAAGGACATCCCCCCATGAAGGGCAAGAGGGTTACTTGGTCATCCAAGGCAACTGTGGTAAATGGCAAGGTGACTCCAGGTTGTCACAGCGATAAAAATGCTGCCACGTGAAAGAGGGTGCCCAGGTAGAGACTCACCTAATCCATCACAGTGATCCAGAGACACGGCTCCACTGGGGTTTTATCCCATGTAAGAGGAGAGGGAACAGGGATGGGTGCCCCAGGTCACACCAGCAGACTGAGGGATCCTTTGACTCCCCATTTTTTCCAGCACTCCAGAATATTGAGAATAAATGACACATTTACTGAGACCATTCATTCAAGGTGGTTGCATGCAAATGAAGTTATTGTGGCTTACATGTGTGAGTTATTACGAGTTCAAGGCCATGTGTCTGAATATAAGCTGGGATGCCTTTTCTTCTCACCTAGGAGACAATAGAATGTTCCATGAGGATCAAAGAGCCATGAGGGCCAGGCCAATGTGGGAGAAGGAGTGTGGAGAGAGGTGTCTGGGAAAAGAGAAAATCGGCAGTACCACTAGGCGCATTAGAATAGAGTAAGGAGCTGCCAGAAGACGTGAGCTGGGAGTGGACAGCCCCCACAGGTGCAACGTCTCAGCCAGCAGCACCAGGCAAGAGATGGTGAGGAAGAAGGAGTTGATTCAGATCAAGTCCAGGAACCAATGGGAACTGTCTCCAGGCTGGCCAGAGCAATCCTCTGCTTCCACGACTGCCTGAGAGAGTCCAGTCACTGCACACTCATGTCCTCACTGCAGGATCAACACTGTGGCTCTGGAAGACCTGACTGAATGAGTATCCTTGGTGACCTCCCAGGAGAAGTCACTGAGGGGATCAGAGTGCGTAACCCACTGGCTGCACCCAGGGCCTCTGACCAAACAGGAAAGATGGAGAGCAAGCAGTTGGCTGGCCCAGGACACTCAGGCCAGATGCAGGAAGGGTTGTTGCATTTAATAAAAATGAGTGTTAAATCATGATCTGGGAGAAATTGGAAGCTTCATCACCACTGGTGGGAATGCAAAATGATGCAGGTGCAGCCACCATGGAAAACAGTTCGGTGGTTCATCAAGTTAAGCACAGAATTACCGCTTGACCCAGCAATTCCACTCCTAGGTATATACCAAAAAGAACTGAAAGCAGATGTTCAAACAAAAATGTATGCAGAATGTTCATTATAGTTCATAGCAGCACAATTCATAATAGCCAGAAGATGGAAACAACCCAAATGTTCATCAATAAATGAATAAACAAAATATGGCAAACCCACACAACTGAACACTATTCAGCCGTAAGAAGAAATGAAATACTGATACATGCTACAACGTGGGTGAACCCGAGAGCATTATGCTGACAGAAAGAAGCCAGACACAAAAGGCCACATGTTGTATGACTCCACTATATGAAATAGCCAAAATAGGGCCAGGAGTGATGGCTCACGCCTGTAATCCCAAAACTTTGGGAAGCTGAGGCGGGCGGATCACTTGAGGCCAGGAGTTTGAGACCAGCCTGGGCAACATGGTGAAACCCTGTCTCTACTAAAAAAAAAAAAAAATAGAAAATAAAAATTAGTCGCACATGGTGGCAGGCACCTGTAATCCCTGCTATTCAGGAGGCTGAGGCAGGAGAATCACTTGAACCCAGGAGGTGGAGGTTGCAGTGAGCCGAGATCACGCCACTGCACTCCAGCCTGGGTGACACAGTGAGACACTCCATCTTTAAAAAGAGAAGAGAACAGAAGAGAAGAGATCCAAAATAGGCAAATCTATACAGACAGACACAGATTCATGGTAGCCAGGAACGGGAGAAGGGTGAAGAGCCAGGGAGAGGCTGCTAATGAGTATAGATATTCTATTTGGGATGATGAGCAAATTCTGGAACTAGAGTATACTTAAAACCATGGAATTGGACACTTTGAAATGGTTAAATTGGCAGAGGGCCCCCCATCCCTCCGCCAAAAAAGATATCCAGCAATTTTCCTCCTTCCTAAGTTCACAGACTTTGATTTATTTGAAAAGAAACTTGATCCACAACAGATTAAAAGCAAAGTTTCAAGCTTTTAGTCATTCTCTGATATCAGATTTGCGTCATCTGGAAGCGACATTATGTTTGGAGACTCTGCTCTGAGAAGCTGGTCCTGAAGGAGGACAATGTCTGGCCATCCTCATCCAAGTCGCTGTCCAGTAATACCCCTTAGCTTTGCAGAGGACTTGCGAGACCTTTGCAAGACCTCACTTTTCACTTCTCATCCCCGCTTCTACATTGTGACAGACGGACGGGGCTATGGTTATTTCCTTAATACAGAGGAAGAAGCTGAGGTTCTTGGGGATGAGGGCCAGTTGAAGGTCATCACAGCCTGAGGGAAGCAGCATCTAGACTCTGTCCAGTGCTGCTTTCCCCCATGAGCACCTCCCTGGTTTTGACCTATCATCTCAGGCTAAAAACCTCAGAATCTTTGGCAGAGAACCACTGTGAAGCTCCACAGTGGGTTGCCTGAGCGCAGTAGTTACATCAGAGAGACGTATTCTTTCTCCAATTCTGCCCCTAGGGAGGCAGCTGGCCTGCCTGCAGGCAGCAGGGAGTGGTGAGGAAATGAAGTAAAACTCAGGGTCTTAACACCAATACTAGAGGTTTTTTTCTCTTTTTATTTCTTTCCCCAGGATTAGTCACCGGGCCATATCCTTTTATCGCAAGAACCCAAATACTCTTAGATTCAACCACGTGAAATCTGCATGTGTGTGGAAGTATAGTGAGTAGAATTTTGTCCCTCAAAAAGATATGTTGAAGTCCTAGTCCCCATACGTGTGACGATGGCTTTATTTGGAAACAGCGTCTTTATCAATGCAATCACATTAATATGAAGTCATACCAGATTAGGGTGGGCCCTGATCCAATGACTAACATCCTTATAAGAAGAGCGACATTTGGACATAGAGACATGGAAGCGACCCAGGGATGAAGGCACGTGGTGACCGAAGCAGAGACTGGAATGATGCAGCTGTAAGCCAAGGAATGCCAAGGAGTGCAGGCAGCCGCTAGAAACCAGGAGCTTTTCCTAGAGCTGTCTTTGGGAGCATGGCCCTGCTGTCACCTTGATTGATTGAAAGAATAATACCCTCTAGAACTGCGAGAGAATCCATTTCCATTGTTTTAAGTCACTCAGTTTGTAGTAAATAGCTCCTGTAGCCCCAGGAAATTACTAATATAGTAAGGGCAAGACTGTTGGATGCTGGTCCTTTCACATGCCACCATCTCACAGTGGGTCAGGAGCCTGTTATGGGTTGCTCAACTTCAGCCATCCACAAGATGCACAGCTGGCCCCAGGGGAAGAGGCAAGCAGCCTTGGCTTGCTGGGCCCCTGGGCTTTGTTGCTCATGGAGCAGGCACCATCTTGGCATCCTTGACGCACAGCAACGGTTACTGGCTCTTGACAGGCCCTGGACAGACCTCAGTCCATGCACTTCTCTCTTCTCTCATGACTCACTCTGCTAGCCAAGAGTTTGGCAAACAGCTTCTACAAAGGGAAGTACATTCACCTTTGTGGGCCACGTGGTCTCTGCCATGACCTCTGAACCCTGCTGCTGTAGTGTGGAAGCAGCCGTAACAATACCTAAATGAGTGAGCATGCTATGTTCCTATAAAACTTTATTTGTGGACATTGAAACTTGAATTTCATATAATTTTCGTGTGCCACAAAATGGTATTCTTGAAAAATTTTTTTCAAATATTCAAATATGTGAAAACCATTCTTAGCTTGCCAAGCAGTACAAAAACAGGCAGCAGTGGCCGGTCACGGTGGCTCATGCCTGTAATCCCAGCACTTTGGGAGGCCGAGGCAGGCGGATCACGAGTTCAGGAGATCCAGACCACAGTGAAACCCCGTCTCTACTAAAAATACAAAAAATTAGCTGGGCGTGGTGGCAGGCAACTGTAGTCCCAGCTACTCGGGAGGCTGAGGCAGGAGAATGGCGTGAACCCGGGAGGCGGAGCTTGTAGTGAGCTGAGATTGTGCCACTGCACTCCAGCCTGGGTGACAGAGTGAGACTCCGTCTCCAAAAAAAAAAGAAACAAAAATGTGAAAACCATTCTTAGCTTGCCAAGCGGTACAAAAACAGGCAGTGGTGGCCAGGTGCAGTGGCTCATGCCTGGCCAGCACTTTGGGAGGCCAAGGCAGGTGGATCACCTGAGGTCAGGAGTTTGAGACCAACCTGGCCAACATGGTGAAACCCATCTCTATTAAAAGCACTAAAATTAGCCGGGCGTGATGGTGGACACCTGTAATCCCAGCTACTCGGGGGGCTGAGGCAAGAGAATCGCTTGAACCCGGGAGGCAGAGGTTGCAGTGAGTCAAGGTCGTGCCTGGGCAACAAGAGCGAAACTGTCTAGGGGGAAAAAAAGTCAGGCAGCAGCCCTGTGGCTATAAATGCTAAATATATCAGATGATCCACAAATTCCTGTCTCCAACTCAGGTGTCTTCTGAGCTTCAAATAACTCCATCTATGTCCACTTGGATGTAGAATGTGTATTAGGTTTTTCAAACGTAACATATTCTAAATACCACTTTTGCTCTCCCTCCCCACCTATACCTATCCCATCCCTGTGGTTTTCAAACATTAGTATACCCCATCTCAGAATTTAAATAACCAATCAGGCCAGGTGCATGGCTCACACCTATAATCCCAGCACTTTGGGAGGCTGAGGCAGGTGGATCACCTGAGGTCAGGAGTTTGAGACCAGCCTGGCCAACATGATGAAACCCCGTCTCTACTAAAAATACAAAAATTAGCCGGGCTTGGTGGCAAATGCCTGTAATCCCAGCTACTAGGGAGGCTGAGATGCGACAATCACTTCAGAAGGCACCAGAAACTCTGCACACCATTTCCCAGTCAAAGATGATGATTCTCGTGACATTATTGTCTCCTCAACCTCTTCCTGTGGGCAGGTACCCGTCCCCAAAGGCGGTTGGATCCAGGCCTGCATTTTCAGAATTAATGGTGCAAGGAGGCAGAGGTTGCAGTGAGCAGAGATCGTGTCACTGCACTCCAGCCTGGGTGACAGAACGAGACTCCATCTCAAAAATTAAAAATAAATAAATAAATCAAAAACAGAATCTCCACATGATTCAGTAATTCCATTTCTGGGTATATATCCAAAACAATTAAAAGCAGGGTCACAAAGAGATAATCGTATACCCATATTTACAGCAATATTATTCACTATAGCAACCCAAGTGTCCATCCACAGGTGAACAGATAAGCTAAATGTAGTCTATGCGTACAATGGAATATTACACAATGTTAAGAAGGAAGGAAAATCTGACACATGCTACAACATGGATGAATATTAAGGACATTATGCAAAGTGAAATAAGTCTGTCACAAAAGGACACACACTGTGTGATTCCACTTAGATGAGATACCCCAAGTACTAACATTTACAGAGACAGAAAGAAAAATGGCGGTTGCCATGAACGAGAGGGAAGAGGAAATGCGAACTGTTGAAATGGCATAGAGTTTTAATTTTGCAAGATGCAGAGAGTTCTGGAGACGGGTTGAACAATGATGTAAATGTATTTAACACTACTGAACTGCATACTTAAAATGGTAAAGGTAGTACATTTTATGGTTTATATTTTATTTTTGTATTTTATATTTTGTATTTTGCCACAATCTTTTCCAAAAATCCAATTCCCTCCTCGTTCTCTGTGCCCCTCTGTGATCCGGCCCTGCCTCCATCTCTGACCTCATTTTCTATGCCGCCTCCTCTACTCCCTCAGCTCCAGCCATTCTGGCTTTCTGGCTAACACCCGTTAAAGCGTTTAACACCCACTAAGGCATTTCCACCTGGAATCTTCTTCCTCCAGAGAGTCTCGTGACTTACCCTTCCACTCCCACAGGATCTGCTCAAGGAGACCTTCCCTCACCACCCTTTCTAGAATGGCAGTCACCCTGACTTTGTTCCTTTTTGCCACACTTCCTAACTTGACATTAGGTTGTTTGTTTATTTAGAGACAGGGTCTCGCTCTGTGGCCCAGGCTGGAGTGCAGTGGTGTGATCACAGCTCACTGCAGCCTCAACCTCCCAGGCTCAAGTGATAAACCCGCCTCAGCCTCCCGAGGCCTCTGGTCCCGAGGGACCAGAGACTCATGCCATCACCCCCAGCTAATTTTTTGATTTTTTTGTAGAGACAGGGTCTTGGTTGCCCAGGCTTATCTTGAACTCCCGAGTTAAAGCAATCCTCCCATCGTCACCTCCCAAAGTGCTAGGATTCCAGGAGTGAGCCATCACACCAGGCTGACATTATAGGTGCAATTGTCTGCTTGTTTATTCTTTCTTCTTGTGAGAGCAGGAGTTTTTGTCTGCTTAGCTTACCACATAGCTCCTGGCACACAGTAGGTGCTCAATAAATACACTGTCTGTGCAATGAGCTGCTGAGAGAATAAATGTGAGCCCTGCAATACAATCTCACATAGAAAGACAAGGGTGGGGGACCCCAGGGACTTCAAATCACCCTCTTACTGCTCAGTAAATGCAACTTTTTCCCTGGACAATAAAGAATGGAATTGTATATGTAAAATACTGAGAGCTCTTAGAGAAAATAGTTACAAAATTCGTAGCAACCCGCACACAGCAAAGCTCAATATTCATGGAATGCAGATCTTTAGTACTGGCATGATTTTAAAATTCAAACATAAGCTGTTTTTCCACGTTCTTTAACCACAAATAAGGCTGCTGGTCTGGGGTCAGGATACCATGGAGTCAGGAGGACTCCTGGGTGACTAGTGCCACCACTCACTTGCAGTGTGACCTTGGGGAAGCCACTGTTCCCTCGCTGGGCCTCCGTTTTCTTTCCAGTCCTAATTAAGGACCAGGTTGCTTCCCATGGGTCACTTCCGACTTGAACATTTTTGCAACTTCAGAAAGTTATAGTTCATTCATTCTTCAAGATTTCTGAGAATTTAAGTTCATCTGAAACTGCTCATTGGTAAGTTTCCTTTTTTTGTCCTTCCATCAATTGGCAATGCAATACAGAAAAACAATTCTACCCAGGAGTAAAACCACAATGATTCATGTCATGTCAAACCCAAATGCAATGGGGAGGGGAGGGAATAGGGATATTTACTCATTCTTGGAATAAGAAGGAGTTTGAACTCAAAACTGCATTATTCACGGTAACATCATTCATCGTGACAAGCTGCTGTGTTTTTCATGAGGTTGTAAGATGTAATTGCTCAGGCATTCAGATGGTATTAGAACGAGGGAGTGTCATCCTATCAATAAAAACAGAACAAACTCTGTCTTTGGGGAGGCCAAGAGTGGGGCTTAAGGGAAGGGCACAGCGAGGGAGACAGAGGCTGGGGCAACAAGCACTGGGGCGGGGGGTGGGGTGGGTGCTGCAGTTCCCCACGCCTAGCCCGCCCTTCCTACAAGCCTGCCCTGGACTCACCATCAGCTGAAATGAAGCAGGAAGTGGAGCAGGGGATCTGTGGGCCCCACAAGCTCAGAGGAAGGAGGGCAGCAGGGACTTTCAGTGCGTGGCTATAGGAAATTTACCAAGTGGAACAGGAGACTCCGAAGAGTTCATGTGCTTTTCCGAAGAAGTGTCCAAAGGCACTTAGGCCAAAAATAGATGAATAGATGAGTGAGTGAGTGAGTGAGTGTACGTGTGTGTACGTGTGTCAGTTCTGGTAATCTACAAAGACAAGACTGGCTTTCCCCAACTTAATCCTCCCACCAACCCCCACACCCCCTTCCGTTCTTGCATGTCTGAGCCTGTCTGTCTGGCAGAGGGAGAGGTGGACCCAGCAGCCTCTGGGGAGAACTAGAAAGGAAGATAAAATAAGGCTAGGAAGTTTGGCCACCCCTGCTCCCCCGAAAAAAGCTGCTATCATCAAAGGGGAAGGGCCATTACACTGATAGTCTACTCTGGCCTCTGTGACCAGAATTTGTTCTTGTGGAATGTAGCCGGAGAATCTACAAGTGAAAACGCAAGGCGTTGTTTTCACCAAGATATAAAAAGCTGTGGCGCCAGCAGCATAGGTGCCCACCACTGCCACTGCTCATCCACCCCACCCCACTGTCACTCATGCACAGATGGCCCTGTGGCCTCGTTTCCTGAGAACCCCAGAGGATGCAGAATCACTCTAGCCCTCTGAAAACTCCTTAGCGCCTTAGCACTGTGAGCAAGAGTGGCATTAGTCATTTGAGGAAGTGGTGGTGACCAGCAAGAGACAACCTTCATTGAAGGCAAAAATGAGGTGATTTCACACTGTTCTGCAGAGAGCAGAGGCCTCTCCCTGAATGCAAATGTTACCATGACAGGAGACAAACACATGGCAGTTCACTGGGTGATAGTGAACAGGTGTGCCTTTGGGTATTCCCAGAAATAACTGGAGTTGGACATATTCAAAGACAACCAACTAAACATCCAGGAAAACATGACGCCATGAGTAGGGCTAGCAGACAAAAGAAACAGACTCACAGAGGTTTCAGATATTCAACTCACTATACACAGACTAAAACAATTCTAGCTACTCTTTTCAAAGAAATAGTCAACAAGTTTGCAAATTCTAACCAGGAACTGGAAACTATAAGAAGTGTCACAGAAGAACTTCTAGAGGTGAAAAGTACAATAACTAAAAATTAAAGAGCATATAAGTCGCTTTAACCACACTTTGAACACAGCTGAATAATTCATATACCAAAATTAAAGCAGAAGAAACACTGAGATTACAGTATAAGGAGACAGAAAGATTAAAAACCAGATGAGAGGGTAATAGAGTACACAGTGAGTCAACCTAACATGCATTTGATGGCGGTATCAAAAGAAGTAAAAGGAGGGAAGGCCCAGAAGAAAATATTTTAATAGGCTGGGAGTGGTGGCTCATGCCTGTAATTCCAGCACTTTGGGAGGACAAGGCGGGTGGATTACCTGAGTTCAGGAGTTCAAGACCAGCCTGGCCCACATGGTGAAACCCCATCTCTACTACAATTACAAAAATTAGCTGGGTGTGGTGGCGGGCACCTGTAATCCCAGCTACTAGGGAGGCTGAGGCAGGTGAATCGCTTGAACCAGGGAGGTGGAGGTTGCAGTAAGCCAAGATCACACCGTTGCACTCCAGCCTGGGCAACAAGAGCGAAACTCCATCTCAAAAAAAAAAAAGAAAGAAAGAAAATATTTTAATATATAATGATGGAAGAAGGAAGGAGGGCGGGAGGAAGGGAAAAAAGAAGGAAAGAGGGAGGAAGGGAGGATGGGAGAAAAGGAGGAAGACAAGGGAGAAAGGGAGGAAGAGAAGGGAGGAAGGGAGGGAGGAAGGAAAGGAAGAAGGGGGATGGGGTGGGAGGAAGGGAGGGAGGGAACGGAAACTTTTAAAGCAGCCTTAGGAAGAAAGAGATCACCTTTAGAGAAGCCATAAATAAACAGTCAACTGACTTTTTTTTAAAGCCACAATGGAATCCAAAAGAAAAGCCTAGATCCTCTACCCATGGAAAATATCCCTCAAGAGGGAAGATGAAATATAGACATTTGCGACAACAAGAAAAACCTACAAATAAAACTCCAAGAGCATTCACCACTAGCAGATCATCATCTTTTAAAAGGAAAAGGAGTGTGGCACCCACAGCTGTGTGGAATGCTGGAGCTGACAATTTGCTTGGAGCTTCCAACAGGGAAATCGCTGCTTGATGACTGGTGTAGACCCATGATCTAGCTACTCTATTCAAAGAAATAGTCGGCAACTTTGCAAATTCTAACCAGGAACTGGAAACTATAGGAAGTGTCACATAGTTGATATAAAAAATGAACTCAATGATCATGGACATCAGTGTGAACCAGATGGACCCCACACATGTCTTGGCACCTCAGAGGCCCCTGGAATGTGTGTGTGTATATATGTGTGTGTGTGTGTGTGTGTGTGTGTGTGTGTGTGTGTGTGTGTGTGTGTGTATATGCCTCCAGGAAAAACATTGGACCCCTAAAATGACATGGGAAAACAGGGGCTCGAAGCAGGAGGTAAATTCAGCTAGAGGATAATAAAGTTATGCTTCTTGTGGTGCACAGACTACTGAAGGCAGGCTTTGCAGAGAGCTTGGAAACCTCCAGAGTTGCATCTTAGCCACCCTTTTGAGTTACTAGGGGAGTCAAAGAACATAAGCCCTCTTAAAGCACCTGAAAGGCAAGGAAAGCCATACAGATTTGAGGCAATGATCATACTTGAAATCACTCCCTTAAAGTGACTGAAAGAGTATCAGTTGGGCTCAAGCAATTAAACAATTGTCAAATGCATCAAGCATCTGTGATATGAATTCACAGGCACATCTGAGGAAGAGCCCAACAGTAATTCCTCATCTTGTGGCTGGACCTTGGGAGGACCCTTGGAATTCCCTGGGAGAGCTCTTATCTAGGACTGGCCCCCTCTCCTGCCAGGAGCCACCTTCAGAGACTGAGGGACTGTGAGTTCCTTCTCCCTAGCTCCTCCCTCGTAATTCCCAACATCTCTGACCACTGGCAGCTCTCCCCAGAGGCTGGAGGGCTACTGATGATTCCACGGAAGTGACTGCATGCACCGATCCTAACCCCCGATAACTCTAAGGATGCTAGGTAGGAATCTCCTTCCCAGGATCATAAAACTTGGTGGAGAGGAGGGGTTTGAAAAAGATTAATAACCTGCTAAGGACGTGACCAGACTGCCTTATTGAAAACAAGGGACTTGTGTGTGTCTTCTCTTCCCATTAACATCCCAACTGCCTGGTGAACAACCAGCTCGAGGAAAAGAAAAAGGAGATTTGCTGCTGTTGCTAGGACTAGGGCCCCAAATACATTAAGGCCCTTGATGGGGGAGTTAAGCCTGCCACCGTCCAGCGTTATGGGGTAAGCAAGCACTATCAGGTCTCTAAGTGGTAAACATAATTTTCCCACATGGGAGACACTAATCCACATCATGCTGAAAGCAAAGTTATAAAGTGCGGCTGTCCCACCCCACCCACCCCACCCCATCTCGGTCATGAGCATCCAGGTGCCTTTTCTTTTTAGAGACAGGGTGTCATTCTGTCACCCAGGCTGGAGTACAGTAGTGTGATCATAGCTCACTGCAGCCTCGAACTTCTGACTCAAGCCATCCTCCCACCTGCCTCCTGAGTAGCTGGAACCACAGGCACATCCCATCATGCTTGGCTCAGTTGCGTTTATGAAGCTTCTTCCACTCGGCTCTGAGCCTTGCTCCTGGAGTCATCCTTCGGCCAGGGCTGCTGGCACCTGAAGCCACTCTGGCCCCTGAACATCCCCCAGCCACACTAGTCCTGGCTCTCTTCTTCACGATGTCCATCAGGCAGAGACCAGCCAATGGGAGGTCAGACCCACCCTCCTCTGAACTCAGTGACATGTATGGGCTTTCATTATGTGCCTCTTCACAAATTTTATCTTTTTTCATTTTTGTGTCCCTTAGGATAGGAATTCCTAGCTCTACTTAATAGATGAGTGTGGGGCCGGGCATGGTGGCTCACGTCTGTAATCTCAGCACTTTGGGAGGCCAAGGTGGGGGAATCACCTGAGGTCAGGAGTTCAAGACCAGCCAGGCCAACATAGTGAAACCCCATCTCTACTAAAAGTACAAAAAGTAGCCGGGCGTGGTGGCAGGCGCCTGTAATTCCAGCTACTTGGGAGGTTGAGGCAGGAGAATTGCTTGAACTGGGGAGGCAGAAGTTGCAGTGAGCCGAGATCATGCCACTGCACTCCAGCCTGGGTGACAGAGCAAGACTCCATCCAAAAAAAAAAAAAAAAAAGATGAGTGTGGTAGGCAGAATAAAGTCCCCCAAAGACGTACACAGCCTGACCCCTGGGACCTGTGAATATTTCCCTCTGTGGCAAAAGAGACTTTGCAGAAGAGACCAAGTCAAAGATCTTGAGATAAAGATATTATTCTGGATTATCACAGCTTCTAAATGCAACCACAAGTGTTCTTATAAGAAGAAGGCAGAGGGAGATTTGACAGTAAAGAAGGCAATGAAACAAGGTGCTGTTCTGCTGGCTTTGAAGATGGGGGAAGAGGTCAACAATCAAGGAATGCAAGGAATGCAGCATTAGAAGCTGGCAAAGGCAAGGAAATGGGTTCTCCCAGAGCCTCCACGGGGATCTTGGTCCTACCAACATCTTGATTTTAGCCCAACGAAATTGATGTCAGACTCCTGACCTCCAGAACGCTAAGAGAATAAATGCATGTTGTTTTAAGTCCACACGTTTGTGGTGCTATATTACAGAGGCAATAGGAAAGTCATAAAATGAGTAAACAGAGACACGTAATGACTTGCTTCAAGTCACGCAGCAAGTCAGTGGAGCTGGAATTCACACTCTGGCTTTTGGATTCTAAGCCTCATATTCTTTCTGTTACACCATGCTGCTTCTGAGACTCTGCAGCAATTGAGAGTGTAATAATCGGGGAACAGATAAATTAGGTAATCAGTGTGTGTGTGTGTGTGTGTGTGTGTGTTAGCAGGATTAGACAATAGGGTACGAAAGAGAACATGTCATTGACTTGTACTTATCTCTCAAACTATCCAATGGAAAATTGAGAAACACCAAATACAAATTATAAAAAGGTATCATTAAGCTCAACATTTTGCCTCTGTTTTTCTGGTCACAGCGCAGTTGGTCTTCATATTGCAAAATAGTGATGATCTTGTTCTGTCCACGTGTTCACCTAAAGCACTGGTCTTACAGAAGGGTTTGAAAGAAAACAAATGGGCCAGGTGTGGTCGCTCACATCTGTAATTCCAGCAGTTTGGGAGGCCAAGGAGGGTAGATCACTTGAGATCAGGAGTTCAAGACCAGCCTGGCCAATATGGTGAAACCCTGCCTCTACTAAAAATACTAAAAATTAGCCGGGCATGATGGCACACGCCTGTAGTCCCAGCTACTCAGGAGGCTGAGACAGGAGAATTGCTTGAACCCGGGAGGTGGAGGTTGCAGTGAGCTGAGATGGCACCACTGCACTCCAGCCTGGGAGACAGAGTGAGACTCCATCTCTAAAAAAAAAATAGAAAATAAAAGATAAATAACTGTTCCTTGTGAGCCCTAACAAATAACAGAAAGTGTATAGAATAGATGCAAGCCGGGACTTGGGTCCTGAAGGCCAGAGTTCAATGTTTGCATTTCCTAAAGGAAATCTAGGGCAATCACATCTCTAACGGACAGCGGTCACTTTCGTGCCAGAGATAAGCCTTGAGCTCTTGCTCACTTGGTACATGTTGCATTTTCTCCTTCATTTTTAACTCCTCAGGAACCCCTAGAATGGTAAACTGGGAAGTCACCTCATTTAACTTAACAAGGAATCTGGGGCCCAGAGAGCTTAGGGGTGCCTCAGATGCTACTGGTTATGACCACGATCTGATGGGTCATCGTTACTTGAAGGGGTGAGCAGAGGCTTCGCTTAACTTCCTTAAGGCTCTCAATGGAAGAACCGCAAGTGTCTGTCCCCTTGTCATTTTCTGAAAAAGCAATTTATCATTAAGTCCTCCCTGTTGCTGAGCTATTCAATACTTTTTTACCTGTAAAAACTCCACTCTGGTTAGTTACTGCTTGGACATGATACCACAGCATTACCTGAGAGGTCACAACACATTTTATGTCTTTGGTCAGAAATAGAAAAACAGAAGCACAAGACCCCTAGCCAGAAGATGACAGCATGCCAGAGCTTAGTGTCACCAAGCTTTCCTTTCTATTTTTGGAAGCTTTAACTTATTAGGCAAACGTATCATCCAACAAACACTGGGAAATGTAAGTTGGAAAGGTCCCGCTAGTTGATTAAATTCCCTCATTCTCTTCCAAGGCTCTCCCCCAAAACTGAAAGCCCCGTATCAGCTCTCATAAGAATAATAGGAGGAAACAAGCATTTTCTAAGTCTTTGATCCTACTCCTGCCTAACCTCCTAATTCAATCTTCACCCCTGGTTTTAAAGCCACCAACACCTCTCCTGCTCCCAGAACTTTTCTCTAGCTGGGACCCTGTCTGCTGCTTTAATCAGAAGACGTAAGTAAAGAGCTGTCTGAAGCCCACTTTGGGGAGTCAATGTGGAATCAGGGTAGAAGATTCTTGATGCCCAGGTGGCCATCCTCCACCTAAACAGGATCCTGCCAACATCATTGTACTGCCCAGCTTGCTACAGCACAGTGACAAGATGTGCTGGTGATATCTTTCAGTGGAGATTGTACTTTGCACTGGACAAGTCCTCATAGATGCCGAACTCATGTCAGACAATAAAGCAGGACTTTAAATAGCATGGCAGAGGCAATCTAGAGCTATCATTAACTCTAATTCTCAGAATCAGAGGACTTTGCTTATTTTGTCAATAACATCTACCGGCAGAGAACACCCAGGCCAGGGAAGCAGTGGGACTCCCCACAGGGAAGAGGAGCCACTGCCTACTAAACATGCATGGTTTGTCTTCACAGTGGACAGTTTGGTGGCCGCAGACATCATCTTCTACAACCACATCTACATCCTTGCCTTTCTGTTTCAAGTTGTTCTCTTGAGAAACTGTTCAAATTTTCAGGAGCTGAAAATGTACTGCCTTAAATCCAACTCATGCCGAGATTTCCAGGTTTGCTTTGAGGAATCCACTGCACTGATGGTGACTTGTTTAAAATTCTTCAGCTCTTCTATTATGTCCAATTCAACAAATAGTTACTGAGTGATTGCCGTAGCCAGTCTCTGCTGAGCTGGGCGTCTTCAGGTTGTCTCGGACCTCATGGAGCTCCCAGTCTATCTGGGAAGACAAAGTTAAGAAATAATGAGCATTGCAAAGTGTATTATAAATAGCAAGGAGATGTTAGTCTAGAGGGCCAGCTGCTGCTGTTGCCACTGCAGCAAATTGAAGCCAGAAAGAGAACCGGAGGAAATGCAGGAAATGTGCCTGGAAAAAAAATAATAACAGCATGGTGGCCACCCACAATGGTGATCAAGTTTTTTTCCAAGTTCTAATGAAACATCCATTCATTTTTATTTTGTGAGATTGAAGCTGTAATAGCTCGGTATACAAAGAATTTCCTGTAGATTAATATGAAGCTGGAAGGAGTTGATAGATTTCAGCAGTGATTTGGGCTATTAATCCAAGCCAGTCATTCATTAACCCTCAGGAAGTTTTCTGTGCCAAAGTCATTATTATTATTATAAACTAAACCCCAAGCCCCAAATGGGTGTATGGCTACTTTTCTCTCCAGGATCCTGAGTGTTTGAGTCAGCCAGGGAGCCTGAATCATTTCCTGAATTCCCTTCTGGTTCATGGGGAGTTAGACTTTGTACTATGCACTTGCTGCCAAGGGAACCCAGCAAAGAGCCCTTTTGAGAGGTAACTATCACTCTTGCCTTTTTTCGTGAGGTCCTAAGTGGCTATGGCAGGTGGCTGGTTGTCTCCCAATTTTTGTTTTTCTATACTTCTGTAGTATAAATTTTAGCTGGCAACATGGCTGCCTGGCCAAAGACTACATTTCCCAGTCTCCCTTGCAGTAGCCATGGTCATGTGACGAGGTAAAGCCAGCAGAAGTGATGAGGGTCACATCCTGATCTTGCCCTCAAAAAATTGGTAGTATCATCGACCCCTTGTGCCCAGTCCCTTTCCCCCTTTCCACTGCTGGAAGGAGAGGAGAAGAACCAGGGTATCTCCTTAGACACAGAAATGGAAAGCACGTATTAAGGATGTGGAGCTACCCCAGCAGCCCTGACCTGCTGACCTCCAGACTGTGACATGGAAACAGATCAACTTCTCTCTTGGTAAGTCACTGTACTTTGGAGCCCCTTTGTTACAGCAGTTAAGACTGTACTCCTACAAACACAGTGCCTACCAAGCAAACCCTGTGGCCCCAGCTCAGGGACTCTTCCATATTGTATGTTGATGCCTCAAGGCAGTGGCTTTTTTTTTTTTTTTTTTTTTTTTTTTTTTTTTTTTTTTGAAACAGGGTCTCAGGCTGGAGTTCAGTGATGCAATCTTGGCTCACTGCAACCTCTGCTTCCCAGGTTCAAGCGATTCTCCCACCTCAGTCTCCCGAGTAGCTGGGACTACAGGCAAATGCCAACCATGCCCGGCTAATTTTTTTGTATTTTTGTAGAGATGGGGTTTCATCATGTTGCCCAGGCTGGTCTCGAACTCCTGAGTTCAAGTGATCCAACTGCTCGGCTTCCCAAAGTGCTGGGATTACAGGCATGAGCCACCACGCCCGGCCTGCAGTGGCTTTTTAAATACATTGTCTCATTTAATTATCCCAATAGTCCCATGTAGTTGGTATTATTGTACCATTTTAAAAATCAGAAAACTGAGGTAGAAATAGATGAAAAAACTTGCTTCAGATTCCACAAGCAAGTAGGCGGGAGAGTTAAGATTCCAACCCAGCCATGTAACTCCCTGTTGCCTCTTCCCTTCCTTGCCATTCCCCTATAAGATGACTTGGTCACATCAACATTCTCTTTGTGGTCCAGGTAAATACATACCCTGGGTTAAACAAATTCCAGAAAATAGTCTAACTTGGCTCTGTGTGGGTGTAACCCACCAATCTTGCTTTTCTAAAGGCAATAACGATCGGTCACCCTCAAAAGCTCTATCTGGTGGTTCAATAGTTCAGCAGCTCCACATTGGTTGAATTCCTATTGTGTTCCCAGGCATTAAGTCTGACACTGGGGACATCAAAACGGATAACACATGGCCCTGGATCTCAAGGAACCTGCCGCCTGATGGAAAATAAAAGAGAGAGTCACACTTAAATGAATGATTTCAGCATAATGAATGTGACAAGTGATAAGATAAGGGAATGCATCCAGTATCACTGCTTTTCCAAGGCTTCTCGAGGGGTAAAAAATTACCCAGTGGGTATTTGAAGGAGAAAGTAAATAAAAGAAAATCTACCAAGAACTGTGCTATTTGGTAATACGTGTTATTTTATCTAATCCTTACCATAAAACTAAGAGGGGTATAATTTTATCTCTGTTTTGCAAACAGGGAAAGTGAAGGCCAACTGGACCTAAATTCCCAAGTTCCTACACTCCACAGGAGATGCAGTGTTGAAATCTAGGTTAGCCTGGGTCCAGAGACCACATTTTAGCTACTGTTCCCAAAATAAAGAAGAAGTTGATCCTCTCTCTTGGGAAATTTTTCTTTTCTCGAGTCTTTTGACTGGAACAGAAAACACCTGGAATTATGAAAACAGCTAAGAGAAAGGACTAGTTCTTTATAACACAGCGCTTTCTGTCAGTCTCAGGGAAAATGTCTCTTGTCAGCATGGAAAGAAAAGCAAGATTATAGGCAATTACTGTTTCTTTTTCCTGGGAGCTGCTTCTCCCCAAAGCTGATGGTATTGATTCTGGGGGTTCAGTCACAGTGTCTGGCCCCCTCAAGTTCTGGCTAATTAGCCCCCCATCCTTCCTGCTAAGTCAAAGGCCCAAGGGAGGGGCGTGTGTCCAAGTAAGGCCAGCCTGAGCTCATCTAGGATTTGACATGTGACTGCTGGGAGAAAAGAGAAGCTCCTTTTGCCCCTCTGGGCATCAAGCCAGGGAGGCCTGGAGGTGAGGCAGCGTTTTCAATCATAGAAGCAATCAAGCAATCATTCAATCAATTTTCCTGAAGTCCTAAGCTGGGTTGGGTTCAGTTTCTTTTATTTGCCAATGAAACCATCCTAACACTGTGGGGAAGGTCTGAGTACAAAAAGCAAGCTCACAATGTAATTTCAATACTTACATTCCTTATGTTTATTTCTGATTTTTATGTTATATACTTTATATATACAATATTTTCAAATGTATATACAATATATTATGTTACACACATAATAGACACACAATATATGTTACACACATAATAGACACACAATATATTATGTTACACACATAATAGACACACAATATATTATGTTACACACATAATAGACACACAATATATTATGTTACACACATAATAGACACACAATATATTATGTTACACACATAATAGACACACAATATATTATGTTACACACATAATATACAGACAACATATTGTTACACACATAATATACACACAATATATTATGTTACACACATACACACAATATATTATGTTACGCACATAATACACACAACATATTATGTTACGCACATAATACACACACAATATATTATGTTACGCACATAATACACACACAATATATTATGTTACGCACATAATACACACAATATATTATGTTACGCACATAATACACACACAATATGTTACGCACATAATACACACACAATATATTATGTTACGCACATAATACACACAATATATTATGCTACGCACATAATACACACACAATAATTATGCTACGCACATAATACACACACAATATATTATGTTACGCACATAATACACACAATATATTATGTTACGCACATAATACACACACAATATATTATGTTATGCACATAATACACACACAATATATTATGTTACGCATATAATATATTCATATATAAAATACATGAGTTTACATATAGAATACAATATTTATATATTTGTATATTTATTATATTTATTATATTCATTATGTATTATATTTTTATCTATTTCTTATATTTGTTATTTCAATGCATAGAGTTTTGACCAGGCATGGTGGCTCCCACCTGTAATCCCAGCACTTTGGGAGGCTAGGGTGGGAGTATCTCTTGAGGCCAGGAGTTCAAGACCAGCTTGGGCAACATAGTAAGGCCCTTGTCTCTACAAAAAAATTTAAAAATTGGCCACGATGGCATGCACCTGTAATCCCAGGTATTCAAGAGGATCCCTTGAGGCCAGGAGTTCAAGGCTGCAGTGAGCTATGATTGCACCACTGCACTCCAGCCTGGGCAACAGAGTAAGACCCTGTCTTAAGAAAAAAAAAAAAACTTAAGAGTTTTCTAAGTTCTGAGAGTTTCAAGCACCCCATCATTTTCAAATGAAACCACACAGACAAATGCTAAGGTTAAATGTTTGGAATCACCATCTTTTTATGTGGCTCCCAGAGCAGTGGTTGTTCATGCATTTCATAACTAATGTCTGGTCCTCATTTTTATTTGTAAGTTACAAAGGATGCAGACAGTAACTTCTGGCTTAGTCACCAGCCCCGCTCTACGAGATGTCAGCTGTGCATACTTGAGAGTTGTTAAATTTATGTTTCCTCCTGAATTGCCATCTTTGTCTAACAAAACCCATTCTATGATAAGCTACTTCCATTTTTTTCTTCTTCTAAAAGGTATTACTCAAAATGGATTTCCCCAGAATCTCACAGTTTTCCAGAATCTGTGACCAAAAGTGGGACTATTTTTCCATCTCTATACTGGGGGCCTGGCCTGAAGTATAGGCAGGTTTGGGGGTACCTATATGGGGTGTCATAGGGCTTTGGGGTTCCTGCCTCACTCCAGGGCTTTACCACCTGCTTTCTGAGCCCTAAGAGTCCTTCCCCATGGAGCAATCTCAATTAGAGATGCCTTCAGAATGTAATTCTGCCTGGGAGAGGTGACACATGGATAAATCCACAGTAAGAAACAAATAGCTGGAGCCGATTCTTTCTAATTCTGCAAGGAGAAAGGGTGAAGTGAGAAAAGGTGGGCAGAGGCTGCCTGATCCTGGGAGAAGCAGCCCACGAATGGGGAGTGAGGAGGAGGGATTCTGAAGGAGGAGGCTGAGAGTACAGGAGCTGCCCCTACAGCTCAGCCTGGCCAGCCATGGGATAATCCTGCCTGTGGCTTCCACTAGCCACATGACCTCAGGCAATGCCTTAACTTCTCAGTATCCTCATCTGGAAGTGGAGACAATCATACCTACATCACAGGGTGTTGTGTTCGTAAAATCCCTCACATCTATGGACTGTGCAACATGATGCATGAGGTTCACTATCAGTGGACAGAAATTTAATCCCTAAGGATGTCAGGTAAATATTTGTTGAATGTTAGTGAATGAATGAATGCGTGAATGAATGAATGATCAGCCCTCCCTCCATTCAGTCAACCACTCAGTAACCTCTTATCTCCCATCTGCTTTGAAAACCACTACATTCAACATTCATTCAAGAGATTATTTATTGAATGCGTACCATGTGCCTGGAAGTCAGAACCTGCTCTGTAATTTTCCAGGTCCAGCATAAAATGAAAGAGGAGGGTCTTGTCCAAAATTTTGTTAGAGTTTCAAAATAGAGACAGCAGGGCATGCAGCTGGCCACACCGTCAGCATTTTAGGAGTCAGGGACACAACGGTGACAAAATAAGCATCCCTACCCTTGTAGAGCTCACATTCTAGCAAGAAGAGATAGACCATAAACCAAATCATTTTGTTTATGCAAGACATATAAACAAATATATCAGAAAAATATATAGAGAATGTTAGAGAGTGATTAGTCCTAGGGGGAAATGGATGAGGAAAATGGGCAAGAGAGTGGAGGGGTGGGGTTATTTGATTTTAATGAGGATGGTCAGAAAGGCTTCACAGAGAAGGGGAATCTGAGCGAGGACGAAAGAGACAGCGGATGAGCTGAGCAGATAGCTGGGGAAAAGGCTTCCCGACAAAGGGAACAGCACATGCAAAGGCTCTGCTGGCAGCATGCCTGGTGTGTCCAAGGAAGAGCACGGGGCTTGGAGCAGCACTAGATGAAGTCAAAGAGGTAGAAGGTCTGGAGGACTCGAGCCAAGGCTCCCGCAATTGTGCAAGGACACACAGGGTGGCCTGACGCAGAGTGAGACAGCGAGGTGGCGAGAAGTGAGTAGATTCTGCATGTCTTTGGAAGGCAGGGCCAAAGGATTTGCCTACACATTGAATATGGCATGTGAGCAATAGAGAGGGGTCAAGAAAGCTCCAAAGTTGGGGGACTGAATAAAGCCCAAAGAAGAATCAAGCTGCCATTGCTGAGGAGGAGGTGGTGGGGAGGAGCAGCTCTGGGGGCATCACAGGGGCTCAGTTTGGGACACTTTAAGTCTGAGATGCCTCTTAGTGGTTCAAATAGAGGTACAGGGTAGACAGAGAGAGGAATTTTGGAGTTGGGGGAGGGGACATTCAAGCAGGAGGTACAAATGTGGGTGTCATCAACAGCAATGCAGGACATAAAAGGTGTCAACCTAAATAATGACAGAGAGAGACAGGATCTCCACAAAAGGAGCTTATTTGGGAATTGCAGGGGATTGCAACCTGGGAAACATGTGCTATGATGAATCATAGGCATATCCAAAGAGACTGGGGCTAAAGAAAACTTTTACAGACAAAAAAACGGAGAATTCCACATAAGCTGTTTAGAAACAAAGACCATTGATTACAGGAGTTCGCGATGTCTCATTAGTGGAGGCTGCCATTGCTGGGTAAGTGTCCTTGAGCAAATGGCTTACCTCGAATCCTCCATATGTGAGGAGTTCCTGGCATAGTCCCCATCATACACATATGTGCAGGGATTCCTTGTGACAAGTCCTGTTACAGGCACGCATATAGGCTCCAATTCGTGACCTCCACCTCCATTTTGTTAGGGTTTGACATAAGCGACTCCATTCTGATATTGAGAACCCCCACAAAGGAAAGGACCCCCAGGAGCTCCAGTCCACCTGGAGAGATGAGACACAAACAGAGGCTTCCTAGCAGTACCAGGCAGTCACAGATGAGTGCAGGCGAAGAGCTGAGAGAGGGCATCAGAAAATGGACTCCGAATATAGGGAGTGGCATGGGCCACATCTTGGTCAACAGGCTGCTCAAGAAGAAGCCACAGAAAGAGCTGAGCCTCAGCAGCTGAGCTCAGTGGACCCCAGAGCATCTTGCAGAATTCGCCTTTCCGTTCTACCTGCAGAAGAACTTCCAAATCAACCTGTTTCTCTCCAACTCCACTCCCAGCGGCCCAGGTTCTTCTGCTGTTGCTGAGACAACCACAGGTGGGCTCCCTTCTGCTCTCACTCCCTCCTGAGGCTTCCTCTTCACAGGAGCGCCTGTTCTTAGAATGTAAATCACATCTCATCACTCCCTTGTTTAAAACGTACCCATGGCTTCCACAGGTTTTGCACTCTGGCTAAAGAAAATCATGTGAAAACTTTTCAAGGAAGTGGGGCTCCAACAGGCTGTTGAAAATCCATTGGAGGGCGGCACTAAGCTTCAGTACTCCAGGCAAAAGGAATCATGGAAACCCGTGTTTCTCAAGCTTCTTTTGGCCAAAACCCACAATAATAAATATGTTTTATACCCACACACTGAAACAATCATTATCCTAACTATACACAATTCACTTTTTAAAAATGCTATCCTATTCTGTTCTTTTCAGTTCTATTAAATTCCAACCCATTCTATTCTGTTGTACATCATTTCATTACACTTTTTTTTTTTCTTTTTTTTTTTTTTTTGAGACGGAGTCTCCCTCTGTCGCCCAGGCTGGAGTGCAGTGGTGCGATCTCAGCTCACTGCAAGCTCCACCTCCTGGGTTCACGCCATTCTCCTGCCTCAGCCTCCCGAGTAGCTGGGACTACAGGCTTCCACCACCATGCCCAGCTAATGTTTTATATTTTTAGTAGAGACGGGGTTTCACCGTGTTAGCCAGGATGGTCTCGATCTCCTGACCTCATGATCCGCCTGCTTTGGCCTCCCAAAGTGCTGGGATTACAAGCGTGAGCCACCGTGCCCAGCCTACAATTTTTTTTTTTAATGCTGGTCACAATAAACTATTGATTTCACCAGCCATTAATGTGTTGCAATCTGTGTTTCGTTGGTAGTAAAAGGCAGGGAACTAGGATGACCTACAGTGGAATCAGTGACTCCAGCCAGGTGAATCAGTCTAGCTAATAACAGCTCATGTTCGTTAAACAAGTCCTATGTGCCAAGCATTTTGCCATTACTTAGGTACAATATTACATTTATTCCTCAAAATAAACCCTTAGAGTTAGGCAATGTTATAATTATTTTACTGTTGAAGTCTTCTGAGGTTTAAGAAAGTTAAAGTCCTTTGGACGTGATTACCAGGTAAGAAGTAGAATTTGGGTTTAAGAAGTCTGATTCCAGATCCTAAGCTCTGGCCCCACACCAGGGACTAGAAGGAAAAAGATGAGACATCAGTCTGGAGCCAGGCATCTAAAGATCTCATATACCCATCTAAAGGGCATTGATTCTTTTTATTTTTAGTTGATATGCAATAATTGTACATATTTATGGGACACAGAGTGATATTTTGATACATGTGTACAATGTATAATGATCCAATCAGGGTAATTAGCATATCCATCACCTCAAACATTTATCATTTTTTTGTGTTGCAGACAATCAAAATCCTCTCTTTTAGGCTGAGCACAGTGGCTCATGCCTATAATCCCAGCACTTTGGGAGGCCGAGGTGGGAGATCACGAGGTCAGGAGCTCACAAGGTCAGGAGATCAAGACCATCCTGGCCAACATGGTGAAACCTGTCTCTATTGAAATACAAAAAATTAGCCAGGCATGGTGGTGCAAGCCTGCAGTCTCAGCTACTCAGGAGGCTGAGACACGGGAATCTCTTGAACCCAGGAGGTGGAGATTGCAGTGAGCCAAGATCATGCCACTGCACTCCAGCCTGGGCAACAGAGCAAGACTCTGTCTCAAAAAATAAAAAAAAAAAGAATCGCTACAGAGCTGCAGAGGCACAAGAGGCTGAGGCACAAGAATTGCTTAAACTCAGGAGGCAGAGGTTGCAGTAAGCTGAGATCACTCCACTTCACTCCAGCCTGGGTGACAGGGTAAGACTCTATCTCAAAAAAAAAAAAACCTCTCTTCCAGCTTTTTGAACATGTACATTTAATTATTGTTAACCATATTCACCCTAAAATGCCGTAGAACACTAGAACTTATCCCTCCCATCTTACTGTAACTTGTATCTATTAACCAATCTTTCCTTTTTCCTCCCTAGAGGACTAGAATATTTATGTAAAAAATCATCCAATCACCTTTTATTATTATTATAAATATTTCAAACATATAGAATATAATAGCAAGTAACAGAATTAACTCACAGGTATCTACCACTTGGTTCTATCATTTCATCATATTTGCTTTATATTGTTTCCTTTTTTAACCTATGTCATATTTAAATTAGCTTTTTGTAGACAGCTTATATTTGAGTCTTCTTTTTTATCCAATCTGACAATCTCTGTTTTTTTAGTGGTATGTTTAGCTCATTTACATTTAATGTAATTATTGGTATGGTTGAATTTATGTCTATTATTGTATTATGTGGTTTCTGTTTGTCCTCTGTGTGTTTTGGTTCTGTTCCATTGTTCCTGCCTTCTTTTGAATTACTTAAAGTTTTTAGTATTTCATTTTAATGTATCTGTTGCCTTTTTTGGCAATATCTCTTTGTGTGTGTGTGTGTGTGTATAGTGACTGTTCTAGATATTGCAATATGCATTCCTAGTGTTTTACAGTCTACTTCAAGTTACTATTTTACCAATTCAAAGTAAAATGTAGGAGCCTGACAAACATATACATACTTTTACCCTCCCCCTTTATGTTATACCTGTCATATGTTTATATCTATATACATTGAGAACCTCACCAATGTTATGATTTTTGCCTTCAACAGCCATAAATATTTAAAGAATTTAAAAGGATAAAAATAGGGTATTTTATTTAGCTCAATATTTACCATTTCTGTTGCTCTTCCTTCATTCCTGAAGTTTCAAGTTTCCCTCTGGTATCATTTACCTTCAGCCTGTAAGACTCTCTTTAGCATTTATTTTAGAGCAGGTTTAATACCAAAGAATTCTCTCACTTTTTCTTAATCTGAGAATGTATTTATTTTACCATCATTCCTGAAGGATATTTTTTCTGAATATAGAATTCTGGGTTAAAAGCTCCTTTCTTTAAGCACTTTAAAAATGTTATTCTACTGTCTTCTAGCCTCCATGGTTTCTGGTGAGAAATACTCAGTCATATGAATCCTTGTTCCCCTATATATAATGTGTTACTTATTTCTGGCTGCTTTCAAGATTTTTCAATTATATCTGGTTTTCAACAGTGTGTGATGCATCTGGACATGATTTCCTTTTGGTTTATTCTGTTTGAGACTTGCTGAGCTTCTTAAATCTACAAATGTATGTTTTTCCGAAATGTAAGACATTTTCAGCTATTAATTCTTCAAATATATATTTTTTTCATAATCCAGTCTCTTTTCTCTTTCCTTTTGGTGCTACAAGAACAAGAATGTCAGACCTTTTGGTCTTGTACCACAGGCCACTGAGATTCTATTAATTTTTTTCAATCATTTTTTCTCTCTGTCCTTGAGACCAGATAATTTTTATAGATACATCTTCAAGTTCACTGACTCCTCTGCCATCTCCATTCTGCTATTAAGCCCATTCAATGAGTTTTGTTTTTCAGATATTACAATTTTCATTTTCAAAAGTTGTATTGTATTCTTTTATAATAGTTTCTATTTCTTTGCCAAACACTTTTTTCTTTCCATTTTAAGGTGTTTACCTTTACCTCATGGGCTTGGTTATAACAAGTAAAGTATTTGTCTGATAACTTCAGCATCTGGGCCATCTCAGGATTAACATAATCGATTGCCTTTTCCTTTAAAAAATAATCACATTTTCCTGGTTCTTTATGTGTCAAGTAAGTTTGGATTGTATCTTGTACATTTCTAATATTATTCCATGAAATTCTAGATTCTCCTTGTAAAACTTCTAGAGAATGTTGGTTTCGATTTGTTTAGCAGGCCATTAACCCTGTTGTGTTCAGATCACAGGTTCTGTCTTGCCTTCTGTTTGCAGGGTTCTAGTGTCAGGTCAGTTGTGAAAATCTTTGCAGTAGTACTTTTAGGTCTGTCCTGGGTATATACAACTTGAGGCTGAGCTCAAGATTTGTGTTGGTCCATACACAGAACTAAGGAATCCCTCTTCTCCAGCATTTCCCCTACTCCAGGAGCCCCCAGTCCCTGGGCCATGGACCATTACAGGTCTACACAACAGAAGGTGAGCTGTAAGCAAGCGAGTGAAGCTTTATCTGTATTTACAGCCAGTCCCCATCTCTCCCATTACTGCCTGATCCCCTGTCAAATCAGCAGAGCCATCAGATTCTTATAGGAGCACAAACTCTGTTGTGAACTGTGCATGCAAGGGATCTAGGTTGCATGCTCTTTATGATAATCAAATGCCTGATGATCTGTCACTGTCTCCCATCACCCCCAGATGGGACCGTCTAGTTGCAGGAAAACGAGCTCAGCACTCCCACTGATTCTACCTTATGGTGAGTTGCATAATTACTTCATTATATGTTACAATGTAATAACAATAGAAATAAAAGGGCACAATAAATGTAACGCACTTGAATCATCCTGAAACCATCCCCCTACCCAGGTCCATGGACAAATTTTCTTCCATGAAACTGGTCCCCAGTGCCAAAAAGGTTGGGGACTGCTGCCCTATTATCTAGTTCCCAGGGATCCATTTTCTCAGTCCTCTGGCCAGAAATACAGGGTTTTTCTCAGGATTTTAGGTCCACAACTAGGCTGCCCTCAGATCAAAGTTGGGAAATAGAATGGGGGAAAATGAGAAATTCAGCTCTGAACAATTCATTCTTCAAGTTTTGACTCCCTTCCTCAGTCTGCATGCTATGACTTTTCCAAGTCTTAAGTATTTTCTGCTTTTAAAAGTTTTAGTTATAATCAGTGGGAGAGAGAGAGGCTTAGAGGTTAGACTCCTTCTGGATCAGGACAGGAAGCTGATCTCTTATTTAAGGTTGTTTTAAGCACTACATATACCGCTGAGGCCCCTAATATGTCCCTCCCCCATCCCCTTTTCCTCCTTCCAACTGCAGAAAAACCTACAGCCTGAATGTAGGATCTATTGCCCCCATGTATTTTATGTTTTTTATGAAGATCCATGAATATGGTATAGTATAGTTTTATGGGTTTTTAAGCTTTACATAAATAGCTTCATGATATAAATATCCAGTACATGGTCAAAATCTGTATATTTTCTGTATCTGCTTAGAAAGAATGTATATTCTCTAACTTTTTTCAGTGGGGGGCGGGGTGGTTGTTGTTTGAGACGAAGTCTCGCTCTGTTGCCCAGGCTGGAGTACAGTGACATGATCTCGGCTCACTACAACCTCCACCTCCCGGGTTCAAGCGATTCTCATGCCTCAGCCTCCTGAGTAGCTGAGATTACAGGTGCCCGCCACCATGCCCAGCTAATTTTTGTATTTTTAGTAGACCCGGAGTTTTGCCATGTTGGCCAGGCTGGTCTGGAACTCCTGACCTCAAATGATCCACCCACCTCAGCCTCCCAAAGTGCTGGGATTACAAGCATGAGCCACTGCACCCGGCCTATTCTCTGATTGTTGAGTGTAAAATTACACATATAATTATTGTTCAAGCTTCTTATATTGTTTATATGTTCCATAATCATACTAATTCTCTGTCTTCTTGGTTTATCAATTACTATGAGAGGTATGTTAAAATCTCTCACTACAAGTATGGATTTGTCTATTTTTCCTCCTAATTTTGTAAAATTTTGCTACATATGTTTTAAGGTGATCTTGCTAGGTCAATGGAGGTGAATGTATCTTAATGAACTGTTCCTTTTATCATATGTAGTGACTATTTTTCTCTTTAAAGTGTTTTTATACATGTATTAAAAAGTCCATTTTGTCTGTTATTACTATAGCCGAACTAGTTTTCTTTTGATTAGTATTCCCCTGGTGTGTATTTTCTACCTTTCTGCGTCACTCTCTAAACAAGAGGCATACTAGAATACTAGACTGCATGTGCGTGTGTGTGTGTGTGTGTGTGTGTGTGTGTGTGTGTGTGTTTAACCTATTCTAACAATCTCTTTTTTTTTTTTTTTAGACAGGGTCTAACTGTGGTGCCCAGGCTGGTCTCAAACTCCTAGACTCAAGCAGTCCTCCCACACCATCCTCCCAAGTAGCTGAGACTTCAAGCCATGAGCCACCACACCTAGCTTCTGTCTTTTAACTGAATAATTTATTCTATTTATATGCATTATGATTACTCATATATTTAGTTTTATTACCATTGCTTTATTTTATACTTCCTACTTACTCTGTCTTTTCTTTGTTTCTTTTCTCTGTCTCTTGGATTGTTTGAGTTTTACTGATTCCTCCTTTATCCTCTAAACTATACATATATATTTTTTTAATTCTGCTCAAGAGTAATCAGACTGATTGATTTTTAGGATTTAAGTCTTAAACCAATTCTAAAAAATTTTTAGCCAGTTTCACTTTGACTGCTGCCTCTTCCCCATTACCTTTTTTTTTTTTTTTTTTTTTGAGACAGAATCTCGTCTGTCACCCAGGCTGAAGTGCAATGGCACAATCTTAACTCACTGCAACCTCCATCTCCTGGGTTCAAGTGATTCTCCTGCCTCAGCCTCCTGAGTAGCTGGGATTATAGGCTCCCACCACCACAACTGGCTAATTTTGTATATTTTTTAAGTAGAGATGGGGTTTCACCATGTTGCCCACACTGGTCTTGAACACTTGACCTCAAGTGATCCACCCACCTTGGCCTCCCAAAGTGCTGGGATTACAGGCATGAGCCACCATGCCCGACCCCATTATCTATCTTCTTACCTTCTGGAAACCCCATTACATGTATATTAGAATTTCTCATTCTGTCCTACTTGTCTCTTAATCTCTCTTTCATATTTTCCATCTCTTAATCTCTCTAAACTGCTTTCTGTGAAATTTCCTGTACCTTCCAAGTCCCTAATTCCCCTTCAGCTGTCTCTAATCTGTCCATTGAGTTTTTAATTTTAATGACTATATACTTTTCATTTTTATTAATATTATTCTTTTTCAAATCTGCCTCCTCCTTTTAATAGTCTTATTCTCTTTATCAATTTTCAATTCCTTTTTAAGTCTTTAATAATTTTAAATATATTTATTTTATAGTATATTTGATAGTTCTATTATCTTAAGTTCTTGAAACATAATCCATCAGTTGCTTGGTCGGCTGACTCTTGCTCATGGTAAATTGATTCCTCGTATGTTTTGTAATTGGATTGTGAACTTATATTTAGTAGGACTCTGTTTGTAGCAATCTTCAACTGCCTGAATTGAGGGAATGTTCCTCCAGAGAAGATTTTTTATTGCTTCTGACAGACATTGCAGGGATACCATCACTGCTTGATACCACTTCTATATTAATCTTTTATCTTAAGAATTCCCAGACCAAATGGGTAATATACATTTGAACCTTGAACCTACATGAAGAATTTATAGTATGTTACGTACTGAATGTTTATGTCCCTCCAAAATTC